>NC_000018.10:48523244-48823910 GCF_000001405.40 Homo sapiens | reverse complement strand
TTTCAGATTTGGATGCTTTTTATTTCCTTTTCTTGTCTAATTGTTCTGGCTAGGATTTCCAGTACTATGTTGAATAGGAGTGGTAAGAGTGGGGATCCTTGTGTTATTCCTGATCTTTGATTGGAAGATTTAATATTGTGAAAATGTTCACACTATTCAAAGCAATCTGCAGATTCAATGCAATCCCTATCAAAATCCCAGGGGCATTTTAAAAACAGAAGTATAGAAAACAATTCTAAGATTCACTTGGAAATATAAAAGAGCCCAAATAGCCAAAGCAATCTTGAGTGAAGAAGAACAAAGCTTGAGGCAATCACACTTCCTAATTTCAAAATGTATCCCGAAGCTACAGCAATCAAAACAGTATGGTACTGGTATGAAAACAGGCATATAGACCAATGAAACAAAATAGAGAGTCGAAAAATAAATCCACACATTTACAGTCGACTGATCTTCAACAAAGGTGCCAAGAACACACAATGGGGAAAAGACAGTCTCTTCAATAAACGGTCTTGGGAAGACTGGATATCCACACGAAGAAGAAATTATACTCTTATTTCATACCATATACAAAAATCAACTCAAAATGGATTGAAGACTTAAATATAAGACCTGAAACTGTAAAACTACTAGAAGAAAACATAAAGAAAAAGCATCTTGACGTTGGTCTGGACACTTTTTTTTTTTTGGATATGACTCCAAAAGCACAGGCAACAAAAGCAAAAATAGACAAGTAGGATTGCATCAAACTAAAATGCTTCTGCACAGCAAAGGAAATAATCAGCAGAGAGAAAGACAAAGTATGGAACAGGAGAAAATATTTGCAAACCATACATCTGATAAAGAGTTAATGTCCAAAATATATAAGGAACTCCTAAAACTCAATGGCAAAAAACCTAATAACTCAATTTAAAACTAGTCTAAGAATTGGAATAGACCTTTCTCCAAAGAAGACATGGAAAATGGCCAGCAGGTATATGAAAAGATGCTCAATGTCATTAATCATCAGGGAAATGCAAATTAATTAAAGCCACAATGAGATATCACCTCATACCTGTTAGAATGGCTGTGAGCAAAAAAAACAAAAGACAAACTGGTAAGGATGGAGAGAAATTAGAACCCTTGTACACTGTTGGTAGAAATGCAAAATGGTGCATCTGCTGTGGAAAACAAAATGGAGGGTCCTCAAAAACTTAAAAATAGAGCTGCCATATGATCCAGCAATCCCGCTTCTGAGTATTTATCCAAAAGAGCTTGAATCAGGATTTTGAAGAGATATAGCACTCTCATGTTCATTGCAGCTCTATTCACAATAAGCCAAGACACGGAAACAACCCAAATGTCCATCAGCAGATAAATGGATAAAACAATGTGTGTGTGTGTGTGTGTGTGTGTGTGTGTGTGTTGGGGGTGGGGGTGGGGAGATGAAGAGTGGTTGGGTAATGGGTACAAACATACAGTTAGATGGAATCAGCTCTAATGTTTGATAGCACAGTAGGGTGACTATGGTTAACAACAATGCATTATATATTTCAAAATAGCTAGAAGAGAGGACTTGAAATGTCCCTAAGACATAGAAATGATAAATACTCGAGGTGATGGATATCCTAAATTCCCTGACCTGATCATTACACATTCTATGCATGTAACAAAATATCACATGTACCCCATAAATATGTACAAATATTAACCTCCAAGAAAAAAATTTTAAAGTGGTATATACATACGATGGAATACTATTCAGCCTTTACAAAGAAGGAAACTGCAATATACAACAACATGGATGAACTCTGATGACATTACTAAATGAAATAAGCCAGTCACAGAAGAACGAATACTGCATAATTCCATTTACATGAGGTATCTAAAATAGTCAAATTCAAAGAAGCAACGAATAGTGGTTGCCAGAGGCTAGGGGGAAGTGCAGATGGGGAGTCGCTAATCAATGGGTGAAAGTTTAAGTTATGCAAGATGCATATGTTCTGGAGATCTGCACAACATTATGGCTATGGATACAATACTGTACTTTATCCTTAGAAACCTGTGAAGAGGGTAGATCCATATTCAGTATCCTTACCACAGTAAAACTAAAAATAGAAATTCAAAAATATTTAAAAAATAAAAAGGAGCTTGCTAAGCAAATATGAGTTGTAAATAGCAGAGCAAGGAGACTCCTGCAGCTACAGATGACCAATAATCTTCTTCAATCACTTTGAAAACCACCTCGGCAGAAACTATTTGTTCTTAAACAAGAAAAGCACACATTGAAAATTCTTCTTTTTCATCTCTGGAAGAAGGATCTCTGATTGGCATGTTAGTTGGGGCAAAAATGGAATCAATTCCACCAAGATCTACTGGGATCCTACCATATAGGTGCTGAGTTATGCACCAAGAAAACAAACAGAGTAGCCCCTGCTCTGCCTGCAAGGCAGTGAAATGGGGTGGTCAGATCTGGATTCCAGGACTGATTCTACCGCTTGGTGGCTGTGTGGCCCTGAGCAAGTTGCCTGACCTCTCTGCTCTCCTCTGAAAAATGGGGATGATAATCTTCAAAGTGCTGTCTGAGTTAAAAGAGAAAAGAACACACGAGGCACTCGATTGAGATGGAGGCGTCCATGCAGTGAGATGTGCTGCTACCGTTACTGAACACTACTACAAGGCAACGTGAAGAGGCTGGGGTGAGGATGGAGCAGTAAGGACAGAGGACACTTCCAGGTCCCTTAGGAGGAAGCTGTTGGTGTGCTGAGGGGGTGCCACACAGAAAAGGTGACTTCAAACTGGGCCTAGGAAGAAGTGTCAGGGACAGGAAGACAGAGAGGCAGAGATGACTCCAAAGTTTCAAGCTTGAGTAACTTAAAGAATGGTTAATTTGATGAGGTCAGGGTGTGAAAGGATGTCCCCAGGGACTCCCAGAGAGCTGGGTGTCCTCCAGGCTGAGGCGCCTGGGGACTAAGCACATGCTTGAGCTAAAGGAGCGTGGGGACCGAGTAAGCTTGGACCTCAGAATGAAGGGGGCCTCTGTGAGCACAAGGACCCCCAGACGGGCTGGATGGTGAGGACTTTGCATCTATCCCTTGGGTTTGTCCTCACCCTCAGCAAGACCCTTCACTCAGAGATGGCCTGTGGGTTTGGGTTTTACTCAGAAGCAGCAAGGAAAGCACTGCAGGGGAGCCCCGGGGGTACAGACGCAGGGGATGGAGTGAGTGACTTGACAGCGGAAAGGCCGTGGCGTGGGTTCTGGGGCTGCTACCTGGCTGCAGGGAGGCAGGCAGCATGGGTGGGGGCCTGCATGAGAGCTGCACTGAGCAGGGGGTCTTGGGGTGCAGTTCTGACCACATCCTTTTGGAGGGTCCTGAGGTATGACCTGGGACAGGTGTAGTGGGCAGCTGGAAATGTGGGCCTGCGGGTGGTTCTGGGAGTTGGGGGGATCTCAGGGCAAAGTGGGTGCTGTGGATTTGGGGTCAGACATCTACATGGCCCCAGGGGGAAAGCCTAAGCTTTTCCAGCATGGAGGGGGCTGCAGCTGTGCCTTTGGCTCTGGAAACTTCCATAAGCCGGCTCAACCTGCTTTAGGGATGTAGGTCAAGCCTGGTTATGAGGCAGCAAATGGCTTGAAGAATTCAGGGGTCCCTACGGAGCTGCGAAAGGCAACAGGCTGTTCACAAGGATTGTTGAGATCCGTAGGGCACCCCTTTAAGTCCCCATCTTTTCTTTTGGCCCAGTTTTAGGGAAGCCAAGATTTCTCCTGGAAAGAGCCCTACCTGGAGTTCAGGAGCTCCAGACCAGCTCT
The DNA here is from genome assembly GCF_000001405.40 of Homo sapiens. Classification (NCBI taxonomy): domain Eukaryota; kingdom Metazoa; phylum Chordata; class Mammalia; order Primates; family Hominidae; genus Homo; species Homo sapiens. The sequence goes on along the minus strand of NC_000018.10, from coordinate 48,820,120 downwards.
GGCATGGACCAGCTGTTTGTCCCTGGGCAGGACACTCAGCCCAAGTAGCCCTTTAAGATTAGGCATGTGCTCAGCCCCTAGGCCCCATCAGCCTAGATGACAACTAGCTCTCTGCCAGACGCCGTGCCCCGGGCACTTCCTTCCATCCTCCGGCCTCGTTGTCCCTAGTGCACTTAGCTGTCTCTCCATGCCTTGCCACCCTCCCTGCACCTTGCAGAGAAAGCAGCATGAGCACCATTTACAGATGAGGAAGCCAAAGCTCAAAGCAGGTAAATGCTTCCCAACGTGGTGCAGTTGATGAACAACAGAGCCAGGATGTGAACCCTGCTGCAGCCCGGCCCTAGTTAGCTTGGTACATGGGGCTCTGCCCTCTTCTTTTACAAATTGGAGAAGACCATAGGTGATTTATTTATTCTTCAAGTTTACCATGAGCATTGGATGGGTCTGTGTTTGTCAAACTGGCCCGAAAATTTGAATGCATCCAACAAGTGTGCGTTAGGCGTGGCTCTTTGTTCTTGTCTGCACACATCTCCTGGCACCTCCGGATCTCACACTGGAATATTTGCACTACCTCAGGCGGTGTTAAAAGTGTCCCAGCAGCCAGGGCCGGCGCTCGGCTACAGCCTTGCCTCCCTCTCGGAGGAGCAGGTGACGACAACACCAGGAGGTGTCCAGATCACGCAGAGGGAACGTGTTGGGGCAATTCAGGTCACTGCCCTAGAACAGTGCTGCTCCCTGTCTCGAGGTGGGTTGTCCAGGGCACAGGGCAATGCAGGCAAGGATGGGAGGACCCAAGAGGCCACGCAGGCCCGCTCCTAGCCTCCATGTCATTCCAAAGGGTGCAAAAAGCAGAGCTGCCAGCCCTCCTGGAGCTGCATTCTGAGCTCAAGGCACTTTGAGAGTGAAACAAAGTCAGGAGAGGCCATTGTCTGAATCTGCGAAACAAATCTGATTTCAAGTGCATTTGTTAAGAAATGTGGTTTGGGTACATGGAGTGGCAGAGGCTCATGGGTTTACAAAACACCCGAGAGAGAACTGTGTGCTCTGTGCTTGTCTGGAATGAGCATGCTATTGTTCTATAAACGGATGCTTCAAAAACACTCATAAATACACTCCCTCCCTTCTCTTAAATTGCTCTATTATTGTCTTTCTTTCAAAACCATAAAGATGCCCCTTGACCCCACAGCTCTCCTTCCCTGCTGCCATTCACAGAAAAACTTCTCGAAAGACGTGTCCACACTCCTGTCCTCACCTCCGCTGACACCCAGGGCCCGTGACCTGCTTGTTGCCAAACCCAGGACACTTTTCTGTCCTGGTCCTTTGATTCTCAGGAGGCTGTTCCTCCTTGTGTCCTGGTAGCCCCTGCAGAGGCCTGCCGGTGGTGGGAGGGTACAACATGGGGGAGGCGTCCAGGTCCCAGTGAAGGGCTGCTGTGAGGGTTCTTACACGCCCCCTTCCTCTCCCTCTCCATCTATACTCTCTTCCTGCGTGGTTCCATTTGGTCCCCAGCTTTGAGCACCAGGTGCATATCGATACTTCCCAGAACCCTCTATCCCCTACCTCCATGCGTGACCTCTTCAGGATCTCTAGACCCTTCCACCCGGCCAACCTCCGGGCAGTTCCCTAGGGACAGCTAACAGGCGACTCAAACATAACTGACTCTTGCTTTTCATCCCCATTCTATTTCTCATCCAGTATCCTCCATCTCAGAAAATGGGGCCACCAGGCTGGTAAACGGGGAGCCCATGTCCCCTCCTCCCTTCCCTCCAACTCACATTACCGAGTCCTGCTGGCTCTAACTCAGAAATTCAACTAGAGCCTAAACGTGCTCTTCGCCCTCACTCCGAGGCTGTCTTCCAAGCCACCAACCTCTTGCTGCGCAGCCTAAGCAGCCCCACTCGGCTTCCAGCTTCCACTTTGCCCCCTTTCAATTCTCTCCCCTGACAGCAGCCAGAGGGGTGTAGAAAGTGAGTTATAATATCTGGCAGTGCAACCACCTGCTAAATTCCTGCTTCTCAAAAGTTCCTTGGTCATTCTTGTTTCTTTCTTTTTCAGATGAAATTTAGAAGAAAATATGTTTTCATAGAATAAATAATCCAGTGGCAAACCAGTCCAATCCAATTCCAAGATCGCTCATTGAGACAACACTTACCATAGGCCTCCCCTCTGCAGCCAGTGCTCCCGATTGGGAATGACTGGAGCCTCAGTTCACAACACCCCACGGGGGAAGGGGGTGCTGGTTCCCTTTATATAAACCCAACGAAGAAAGACCTGGCTTTGGGGAGCAGAAGTGACTGCTGTTGCACATCTCTTTGCTGAAGGATGGGCCCCCTTTTTTTTTTTTTGGAGACCGAGTCTCGCTCTGTCGCCCAGGCTGGAGTGCAGTGTGCGATCTCGGCTCACTGCAGTCTCCACCTCCCAGGTTCAAGCAATTCTCCTGCCTCAGCCTCCCGAGTAGCTGGGATTACAGGCACCCACCACCACGCCTGGTTAATTTTTGCATTTTTAGTAGAGATGGGGTTTCATCGTGTTTGCCAGGATGGTCTCGATCTCCTTACCTCAGGTGATCCACCTGCCTTGGCCTCCCAAAGTGCTGGGATTACAGGTGTGAGCCACCGTGCCTGGCCCGGATGGGTCCCTTTCTAAGTGAGCCTACCCTCACAGCTTTGTCCCAGTTATCTGAGACGCATTCCAGACCTGGTGCTGTCTGGCTGTGCAGGGGGCACAGGCGGCAGGTCTCTTACCTCCCTGAGGCAGGTGTAGATGGGGCACACGAGCACACGGAAGGGCTCGCCTGTGCTGCTGCGCATGGTGCCGAAGACCTCGCACAGGAAGGTGATGAAGCCCAGCCAGCGCTCCACGTCCTGCTGCTGCAGCTCCTCGCGCACCGTGAAGTCCTTCTGTGGAGGCATGAGAGACCGCGTCAGCCTCCCGGGGCTGGGGAGGGGCCTGGGTGCCACCCTGCTGTGCAGAGCATCTGTTGTCTTGGGGCTGCTCCTGGGCAGCAGGCAAACCCCATGTTTTAAATGAGGATGGGGGTGCGTGATTGCACTCTCTGTGGCTGGGACCACCCTGACCTGGGGCCATAACACCTCTTCTTCAGGTGTCCCCAGGTTGGGGACACAGCTTCCTTGCCTCTAGGCATTGCCCAGACCTGCTGGTCATCCTCCTTCACTGACAGCAATGCTGATGTGGGAGGATGAGGTAGAACGGGAGGTGACACCCTCCCCAGACTCAGCACTTTTCCACTTAACTCCCTGTGGCTAAACCGTCTCCCTTTGCTAACCCCCAAGTCATGCCCTCTGCGTGGTGGACTGGGGGTAACCAGAACACTGCCCACCCACACATCATCAGCAGTGGCAACAGAGGACCATGTGGGCTAGCGCCCCAGCACTGGGCTACACAGCTACAGCCCGTCCCTCGAGGGGCCTAGGCATTCATTCGTTCATTCATTCATTCATCCTCCTTAAAAATATTATTGCCCCATTGTGTGACAGGCTCTGCACTAGGAGCTAAGATAAGACATATTCATTCATCACTGTGATACAAGAGAAGAAAGTATAAAAAACCAAGGAGCTGGGTTCCATGGGATGGTCGCTAGGGAAGGTTTTGGGGATGGGGCCATGAAATACCACAGTCATACCAGTGCTCAACAGAAAGGTTAATATAGCTAAGGTGTGGAGACCACACAGGAGGCCACTGCAAGCATCCAGGCAGGATGAAATTAAAACCTCAGCGCTCTGAGAGCTGAAAGATAAGAATCTGGGGTAGCTTAAATAATATTCAGAAAGATATTTCCCCTACCTCTTGTCTTTGGTTTTGGCCATATGTCTTGCTTTGGCCAATAGAATGAGGCAGGAGTGATGGTGTGCCAATTCTGATGTGAGGCGTTAAATATTTATGTTGACTTTCATGTTTCTTCTGTCATCCTAAGAAGACTCTCTCTGGGCTAGCCTGATGGTCCCAGGGAGAAGGTGGGCAACATATGCGACAGGGCCTCACCTAAGTCTAGCCTAGGTCAGGTGACCCCCAACCAACCTGCACACACACCATCTACATGCACGCTTACTGCTGCGTGCCACTGAGATTTTTATGGTTGTTTGTTCAGCCTCAATAGCTGACCAATACAGGAGTGACACAAGAGACATTGTGAAGGTCAATAGTACTTGCTAAGTGGTGGGTTGTAAGGGTTGATGGAAAGGGGAGACTCCAAGATGACGCCAAGATTCTTGGTCTGGGTGACTGTGTCACCACCAAAATAGAACATGGGAAGACAGGTTGTAGAATGTGACTCAGAGCATTCCCACAGCCCAGTCCCCCACACCACTGCTGACTTCAGCCAAGCATCCTTGGCACCAGAATCTCAGCATCTCCAGAGATGGAAGGCCCTCAGAGATGACTTGGTTAACATCTGTCCCTTGTGAGTGATGAAGGTGCAATCTAGAGGGTGGGCCTTGGTCTCCTCAGGTGGCAGGTCAGGGGCTGGCTGAGAAGCCCTGCAGTGCCAGCTTTGGATGAGCCTAGGCCACAGCTTATAATGACCTGAGTTTCATCAGTTACAAAAAAGTATATACTTGTGTGTGTATCTATAACTATTTTGATATCTATATTTATATGTAAAACAGTAACAGCAGCAGCTGCTATTTGTGAGCCAGACACTGAGCCAAGGATATTAATTGTGGTATTTTACATAGTTATCACAATGGTCCTATAAGGCAGGTCCTATTACTGCCCCATTTTATAGATGGAGAATCTGAGGATAGAGAAGTTGTGTAACTTGCCCATGACTATGAGCCAGTGGCAGGGCTGGGATTCAAACTGACGTCAGCCTGCTCTGGAGACCAAACATTTTTTCTCCTTATGGTGTTTTTTATTTTTCAAAAAATGTTTTTGTGTATATTTAAGGTATACAACATGATGCAATGGGATACATATAGGCAGTAAAAAGGTTACTATAGTGAAGCAAACAACATATCCATCATCTCACAGTTACCCATTTTTGTTTTGTTTGTTTTTGTGGCAAGAGCAGCTCTTATGGTGTTTTTAAATTGGAAAGTAGTGCATCAGAGCCCACGCTTAGTCACTCTCCAAGTCTGTACTTTCCACGAAGCCATTTGTCCACACGGTCCCTTGTAAGTGCAGCCATGCCTGCAGACCTCATGGGCCTCATATTGACCCCTCAGGCCTCCTGCCTCCCCACTCCTTTCTCACTGAATTGTCCACCTGGGTATGATTGTAGAGTTCTGCTGTTTATCTTTCACCCAGGGTGAAAAGGGACCACAAGAGACTCCAGGGACCCCGCAAGTAGTGCGTGCCCAGCATCTTTGACAGCTTTGTCTCTTCTCCCTAGTCCAGAGCCTGGAGCAGGCAGTGTTCACAGGGGGTCCTAGCTGTTCAGGGTCTTTGTGAATGAATGAATTACATTGCCTGCCACCCCAGGGCCTGCCAAGGACCCTGCACTACTGGGCTTGAAGTCACACATCTTTTGGTGGTTTCATTCTCATGAACCTTTGTTTATCCCACAATATTCTTATGTGATCTGAGCAAGAGTGGGCATTACCATTCTCATTTTAAAATGGGGACAACTAAGGCACAAAGATATTAAAAGACATGACTAAGGCCACACAGTACTAGAACTTGAATGAAAAATTAAGCCCCTTCTCTGCTCTGGGTTAAACGCTCTTGCCCTGGTTGTACATTGGAGTCACCTGGAGGAACTCTGAGGCTGCTGATGTTGGGACCCCACCCCGGAAAGTCTTGTGTAACTGGTCAGGGTGGGGCTCAGACACTGGTAATTTTTGGCAGCTCCCCAGCTGATTCTAACGTGCAACCATGGCTCTGAACCACAACTCTAGGCCTTTATCAAGTGCTAACTCGGGTGTTAAAATGGTGCCCCTCTATCAACCCCCAGCTTGTCATTTCCTTATATTCCCTAAAAATACCCATGAAGGCACACATCAAAGAACAAAGTCCCACAGCAACACTGAGAAGGAAGATAACAGTTCCCCAGCAGACTCCTCCCAGACTCAGGAGGTGACATCATTAACTAAAGTGCTGTCACCAACAAATTCTGGTTGCCCAGGGGACCCAGAAGACCAAAGACAGGGGGTAGCTTGAGGCTTCAGCCCCTTCCTCTATCTGTCTCTGGCTGGTAGACAGTATCTGTCAGTACTAGCAAAGCCCTGTGCCTGTGTATTAAGGCAGCTCCCATCTGCACCACCCTTATTCCAGGCCTTGGAGATTCGGGGCAGTGCAGGGGCAGGAGGAGACTGGGTGAAATGCTGTGTCCTTTAAGGGATGGTGCTCTCAGGCAAAGCCCTCTGGGGCAGGAAAAAACTTGGAGGCAGTGTGTACAAGGAACTGAAGTTTTAAAAAATAGATTGCATCTGATCAAAGAACTAGCTCTTGACTCAGTTTCTTCCTGATCATCCATGGCATCAAGAGAGCATTCTGTTTTGGGCTAGCAAAGGTTACTAGGAGATTGAATGCCTGCTAAATATTGGAAATTGGATTTGAGATGAGCTCATGAAGCCACCCTCCAGCTTTAGGTCTGAGAGGGAGACTCTGCCTAAGCAGACACCAAGCTAGTCCAAGGCTGATGCGCACAGCAAACACAAAAGACCAGACAGGGGTGATCTCATTCAGGATTGAGGGAGGCGCAGAGCAATATGGCATCTACACAAAAATCCTGCCTGGCAGAATAAAGGAGCAGTGTCGTGAAAACTTAATGGAAATGTGTAACTCTGAACATATTAATGACAATCAACCAGATATAAATAAAATGAAAAACTCAAGTGCAAAACATGTGGGCTTGTATGTAAGGAGAATGACAATATAGATTCTATGATGTGTGAATAGGCATTCGAAGGAAGGGATTGTGATTAGCTAAGCAACTCTCAGGCTGAAATGAAGTGTGAGACAGGAACTGGGATTAGGAGAGAGCCAATGGAAACTAGAAATCCAACAGCAAAATCAAAATGAATTGGAGGCAGTAAAGGATAGAATGGATAATGCAGAAAAAGTAATGCAGAAGATAAACTTGGAAACCACCTAGAGAGCAGAATAGATAAATAGACCAGAAAGCTGAATACAAAGATAAATAGACTAGAAACAAAAAGAAAAACGATAGAGAAGATAGAGAGTGGACATCTAGTCTGTGAATTAGAGAAGTTTTCAAAAAGCATACCAGAATACACAGAACAAAGAGAGCAGAGAAATAAACTTTCTCACTGAAAATAAATAATAATAAAAATGAGTTGACTCTTTGGGTAAAAAGTGTTCACAGTGTTCCGGAAGTCCCTTGCCCTGCCCCAGTTTTACTTAGCGGAATAATTTTCTTTTCTTTTTTCATTTTTTTTTTTTTTTTTGAGACAGGGTCTCGCTTTGTTGCCCAGGCTGCAGTGCAGTGGTGCGATTAAGGCTCACTGCAGCCTCGACCTCTTAGGCTCAAGTGATCCTTCCACCTCAGCTTCCTGAGTAGCTGGGACTACAGGCATATAACACTATGCCTGGCTAACTTTTAAATTTTTTTGTAGAGACAAGGTCTACGTTGCCCCCGCTGAATTTTCTTTTTTAGTTTCGCAGAAAAAGAAAAATTTAAAAACAGCTACGAAGGAACAAAAGACAGTCTTCTTACAAAGGAAGAAAAATCTGGTTGGCCTTATACTTCTTTATTTGAGGTTAAAAATTCAGAGACATGAAGGCAACGTCTTCATGAGTTTGAAGGGAAAAGAACAAACCTGCCTATGAGTGAAAGCGAGAGAAAGATCTTACATAAGCAAGTTCTAAAACAAATCACTCCTACATGTTTATCTTAAAAAATTCAATGCTGCAGTTGCTATGAAAAATAGTATGGCCAGCTGGGCGCGGTGGCTCACACCTATAATCCCAGCACTTTGGGAGGCCAAGGCAGGTCGATCGCTTGAGGTCAGGAGTTCGAGACCAGCCCGAGCAACATGGTGAAACCCCGCCTCTACTAAAAATATAAAAAATTAGCCAGGTGTGGTGGTGGGTGCCTGTAATCCAAGCTACTCGGGAGGCTGAGGCAGGAGAACTGCTTGATCCCGGGAGGCGGAGGTGGCAGTGAGCTGAGATCATGCCACTGCACCCCAGCCTGGGGGACAGAGTGAGACTCCATCTCAAAAAACAAAATAGTATGGTGATTCTTCGAAAAATCAAAAACAGAATTACTATATGATCCAGCAATTCCACTTCTGGGTATATATCCAAAGGAAATGAAATCAGGATTTCAAAGAGATGTCAGTATGTAGCATTACTGACAAGAGGTGGGAGCAACCCAGGCATCCACCCACAGATGAATGGATCAACAATACGTGATATATACATACAGTGGAATACTATTCAGCCTTAAAAACAGAAAGAAATTCTGACACATGCTGCAACGTGAATGAACCCTCAGCACATTATGCAAAGTGAAATAAGCCAGTCACAAAAAGACAATACTGCATGATTTCACTTATGCAGGTATCTAAAGTAGCCAAACCCATAAACAGAAACGACAGTAGAATGGTGGTTACAAGGAGCTGGGGAGCAGGGGACATGGGGGGTTAATAGGTAGAGAGTTTCAGTCTTGCAAGATGAAGAAGTTTTAGAGACTGGTTGCATGAGAATGTGACTCTACACTATTGAACTGTACACTTAGAAATGCTTGAAATAGTATATTTTATGTTATTTTAAAACTACAATTAAAAATAATAAAAAATAAAAAGAACTTTCCGAATGCATGTTATGGCCAACAAAATTTATGATTTAACTCTGAGGAAACCATGGTATAGAAGAAACAGAAGGGAAAACTGAAACTACAACCAGGTAGACTTATTAAGTTAAGTTAAAATAAGTCATTATAATTTTGGTTATACAATGGAATCAAAAGCCAGAAATAATCCTTGGAAGAGAAGATATTTAATTTTAAAATGTAATTTAAATAAGAATTTTATAGTAGTAGTGACTTAATAATCCAAGATTAAATTACTAGAGATTAGTAAATACTGGTGGGAAGGGGATAGAAGTCTGTAAAGCACACAACATTTCCTAATTTAGGCCATAAGGATTCACAGGTTATTGCATCTTTCTTAAGCTTGGGAATCAGAGAAAAAAAATGAAAGTATGCCTTTAAAATGCTAAAAGTAAACACTAGTAACCACTAGCAGAACTGAAAACAGGATATAAAAAAATAAATGGATGGGTAAAAACAAGAGTGAGCAAATGAAAATAAAGTAGTAGTAAAAGGGAAGTATTTTTAAGATAACAATTATTAAATAAAATTATAAGGTTTTATATATAAAAATACAATCCATAATAAAGAGATAACACAAAATGTTATAGACTTTATAGTATAGATTTGAATATACCTGAAGCTATTGAAACATAAGAAAAAAAAAAGAAACATAGGAAAAAAACCAGAAAGGAAGAATTATATCAGGAAATAAAACCACTAACATTCTATGGCCGATTAAATGAATAAAAAACAAATGACTTAGGTGATTTAAATAATATAGTTAATAAGATTAAATTGAAACAAGCTTCATAGTAAGCTGTGATCTCAGTATAAATTTCAAAACATAGAAATTGTACAGGTTACATACTGGGACTATGAATTAACAACAATTAAAAAATAGCCAATTGCTTGAATACTTAAAAGGTATTCTTCTAAAGAAAAATGAAATAAAGACATACTCAAATATACAATACCTGTATTAGATTATCTAGGAAATAACTATAAAAACTTGTGGGATGTGGTCAAAACTATAATGAAAGGTCAATTTATAGTCTTAACTATTTTGGCCACTAAATAATGGAAGAAAATATATCATCTAAACCAATGTTATCCAATATGGTAGCCACTATCCACATGTGACAATATATTGAGCCCTTGAAGTGTGGCTATCCCGACTGATATGGGCTGTAAGCGTAAAACAGATATTACTTTTCAAAGGCTTAGTATAAAAACTAGAATGTAAAATGTCTCATATTTTAAAAATATTACCTACCTATGAAATTTTATAACACATATTATTAAATTTAAAATTACATATGTAGATCACATTATACTTCTACCAGACAATGTTGATCTAAACATTTAACTAAAACAATTAGAAAACCAACAATAGCTAAGGAAATATAAGGACATAATACAGATAAAACCCCCAAATTAATTACTTAGGAAATAGAGAAAGGAAATCACATATAAAATCAAGAAAGAAGAAACAGAAATAAAATTAGATATGAAAACAGATATGATATAGAAAAAAAGTATAATAAAATTATTTATAACTCTATGTTGATAATTTTGAAAAAATGATGAAATAGGTGATTCATTAAAAAAATCAACATTTGCTAAAAAAGAAATGAGCCAGAATAAACTAAAAATTCATAAGCTAAAATGAAAGTTATGAAAGAATTACCTTTATAAGGAAATCTCTAAACTTACAATTTTTATAGGTAAGTTCATTCAAACTTCCAAAAAATTAGGTAACTGCTTTCCTTTGCAAACTGACTCAGAACATAGAAAAAGAGACGCTTTCCAACCAGTTCCCTATAAACAAAATCTCATGATAGTAAGTTACAAATAAGGAAGTCTACAAGTTAATCTTGCTAATGTGAATAGATATAAAATCCCAAGTGAAATACTAACAAACAGATCCATTATAACCAAGTAGATTTTTATCAGGAAGGCATGGATGACTTAGTATCAGGAAATCTATAAATGTAATGTATTACTTCAATAGGCTTGATTAAAAAACGGCAGCAACACCTATGACCCTTAGAATGGAAGAGATAAAATGATTTGATTAAATATATGGAAAATCTGAGAGAAGCCTTTAATAAAGAGTATCATTAACAAGAGAGTTCAGTGACTAATTAATAAGAATATTTAGATACAAAATTAATACACAAAATCAACAGCTTTCTTTTATGACAGAATTAACTAGTGAGATTTTAATGTACAAAGCTCATTTAATAAAGCAATAAAATACTTAAGTGACATTATTAAGAAATATGCAAGAATTCTATAAAGAAAATTGCCTAACAAAACTGAAAGATTTAAGAGAACGTCTTCAACTAGCGAAGAAACACACACAATTCCTTATTGAGAAGACAGCATTGTGAAGATGGTAATTCTCTTTGAAATAATTCACAGGTTTAATATCAATCTGTACTCCATATCCCAATGTGAACTTTTTTGGGAGAAAAGGAAATGAAGACTTGAAAAAATAATCCTAAAAGTAATTTGAAAGAATAGCAAGGGAAATAACTAAAAACAAAACAACATTGGAAAGAGTTACACTACTCTTAACTTATCCTTAATAAAGCTTTATTCATTAAGAGGCTGTAGAGCTGACATCCGAATGGAGAGCTAGATCAGATAGCCTAGAAACAAATTTGGCATCCACAAAGGTTTATCACATGATCCCTTGAGGACCACAAATCAGTGGCAAAGGAAGCATTATTCACTCAAGCAACAGTGCAGGGACAGCTGTCTAAGTATCAGGAGGAAAATAATTTAGAATCTTACTTCACACTGGGCTCTAAAATAAATTCCAGATGGAATAAAGAGTCAAATGTTAAAAAAAAAAAAAAAAAGGACCAAAAATTTGAAGAGAATGAAAGAGTATTTCTCACATTTCTGGAAGGAGGGGGGCTTTCTTCACTAAGACAATGGAAGAATGCATCAAAATATTAAAAGACAATTGATATGCTCAGGAAAATACACGCAATAAATGTGACAAAGGGCAATGGTCTTAATATATAAATAGTGTGTTCAAATTTGTAATAAAAGTATGAAATCCCTCATGAACAAATGGGGAAAGGGCATTAAGAGGTAAATCCTGTGTCAAAATGTAAATTACTAATACATATATGAAAACAACTTAATTCAATATCAGTAGTAATTGAATGAATGAAAACGTCTTTTTCCCATCTATATATATAAGGACAACTTAAAATGGTAATTGTCAATGCTGGTAAGGATGCAGTGAGACAGGCACTTATATATGGGCATTGGTATGACTTTTCTGAAAATCCTTAAAATAAGTCTTAAGAGTTCTTATTGTTTGCTCTGGTAGTTGCACTTCTGGTAATTATCATAAGGAAACAATTTAAAATATTAGAAAAAATAAGCTTAATGCACATAAAAATCTAAAAACCTAAGCACCCAACAACAGGGGAACAATTAAGTAAATGATGATTCATGCATCCATTAAAAATTATGTTTATGTGGCCAGGTGCAGTAGCTCACGTCTGTAATCCCATCACTTTGGGAGGCTGAGATGGGCAGATCATCTGAGGCCAGGAGCTCATGACCAACCTGGCCAACATGGTGAAACCCCATCTCTACTAAAAATACAAAAAAATTAGCTGGGCATAGCAGCACATACCTATAATCCCAGCTACTCAGGAGGCTGAGGTAGGAGAATCACTTGCACCTGGAGGTGGAAGTTGCAGTGAGCCGAGATTGCGCCACTGCACTCCAGCCTGGGCAACAGAGCGAGACTCTGTCTCAAAAAAAAAAAAAAAAAACACAACAACAAAAAGTTTATGAAACGTTTACAATAGCATGGGGAAAATGTTTATATAATGTTAAATGAAAAAAGCAAAACTGAAATTGCATTTACCATATAATCTCATCCATGAATAGAGTTTTTTTTAAAAAGAAAGAGGAGAAATAGTGTTTCACAGGAGTTGTCTCTCAATAGCGGAATTATGGATGACCTTTATTCTCTACATTACTTTCTGAATTTCTGATTCTCTGTGAATGTTTCTCTTTATAATCAGAAAAACAGCTATTTTAAAAGAAACTGGCAGGTTGTGACCCTTTTCCTTGATTTTTTGCATTAGGACAGTGGAATTCTTCTGGTAATCTGCCAGTCAGCAGTGATTCTCACGAGAAGGGTGGGGAACTGGGGTGTGAACATGCCCCGCCCAGAGGCCACCAAAACCCAGCCTGTGTGTCTCCTCTTGACACATGTTATAGGTTGCCAGCTTTTCCTCTGGAACAAGGAGTCCTTTCTGCCAACCGAAACAAGCCATTCCTCTAGCTCTGCCCCTAACCTCAGCCTCTTGTATCCAAAAGCAGCAAGGGGCCTCAGATTGGTGGCAGCCATTTCAAAGCCTGGTATTTGGCTCTAGGTTCTCATCTGATTGGCAGGCTACCTCCCAGCAACCCCTAGTGCCTTTCCCCAAACTTTAAGGCTACCATTTAAGCCCCGTTTCCTGCCTAAAACTATTTATTGACGTACTGCTATTTCCTGCACCGGCCACATCAATAAGCCCTGAAAGCCATTCAGTGTCTCAGGTTTCTCAAGGCATTCTGGGAAATTCTTCCCACTCGGGATAACCACATGAGCTCTGGCATGGTGGAGCGCAGTGGCCAAGCCAAAAACAGCTGTATACAGGCAAAGGGGAAAAAACACCCCCACACCACCCAGCAGCGCAAACCACCACAGGGAGATGCTGCTGGAGGGTGGGGTTGGGGGTAGTCGAGGCACAAGGACTATGATGCATATATTTTTTACACTTCCTGAGGGAGATGGGCAGCCCCTACCAATCGCTGCAAACTCACCTTCATTTCGGGCTCCCTCTTGGAAAATGAATGGCCTAGGGAAATTTGCCCATCCAAACGCTATGCCCCCAGTGACCCTGGTTTGTTTCTGTCCAGAGAGGTGGCTGCTGTTGCCATCTCTCCAGTGGGGAGGAGAAAGTGCACTTTTATTTACTGCTAGCAGGAAGTTTCTTTTCCTTGAGAAGCTGGATACATGTGGGAGGGACAGACCATGGGGAGCTGTGGGAGCCCAGCAGCCAGGAGTCAATCCCAGGCATTCTTCTCCCGGGCAATTGGTTGCATGGCTTAAAAAACATATTTGACAGAATTCTTTATACTGAAAAGAGGAAACTAATTTTCAAATAAAAGGTGCTTTATTTTTTATTTGGCCCCAACTTTCCTTCTTTCACCTTCCTGCTCCCACATTCCCTCTTTAGGGAGGCTTCCCTGGCTGTCCCCTCCACCACAGCCCCCGGGACTCCTCATTCCGACTCTGCTATGCTTCCTTCCCAGCCCTGATCACCTCCACTAGGTCTGATGTCTGTTGATGACCTGACTTTTTGCTAGAAGGGCTTCCTGAAGGCAGGAATCCTGTTTTCTGAGCCATCTTCATGTCCCCTGGAATGGGACTTGGCTCGTTGTAGGTGTTCAATGAACGTGTGTGGACCGGATGCATAAATATCCCACGGTACGTGGTCAGACAGCTCTTCTCTAAGAGGACAACCTGTCCAAAGGGTAGGGGGCTGTTAATCTAAGACATAAGAGTACAGAGTCAGCATGTATGCCTGTCTCATCTTTTCTTTCATTTGTGGCTGACAGTTCACTCCTGATATTTTCTTCCCACCTTCTCTGGGCCAGTCCCAGTCCCTGCTCCAAGGCCACCGTCTCATGACATTTGTTTCACTTTTGTGGGTAACATTTTTGCCATACAGTGATGTTTCTTGGCTTATTGGATTTTTTTTCCCCCTTCCCAGGGTTGCTTCAAGTAAGGCCACGACATTCCGCAGAGCCGCCCTTTGGTGGTGTGGTGGGGTCACAGTTGACGTCAATGTAGCTCCACCCCAACCCCGAGTCTCCCCTGTGTCAGACTCTCCCCTCAGGGCTTTGCTGAGGCTAGTTGCAATCCCCCCGGCAGGCTTTCCTCCTTGGTCCCCCCCACCAGTGAAGCCCCCTCACTCCTCCGTTCCTATCACACAGCCCAGGGCCTGCGGCCTGGCCCCCATGGCTAGACCTGGCCTTGGGTAGTTCCTGGAAGGCTCTTTTCTCACCCCAGTCATCATCATTTGGGAGGAGCCCAGGACAGGAGCCTCCAGCTCAGAGAGACAGTGCAGTCCTTCCTTGGCACCTGTTCCTATCAACAGTGAAGCAGAGGGCTGGGAATTCCCAAGCGTAGGGCTGGCCTGCAGCATGGAACCCACAGACACTGTGACACATCAGGTTACCCCCAGCCTGAGAGACGACCCTGAATGTTCCCTTCTGTCCTTCCCTGGGACTTCTGGGCTCCATGAAACCTCAGAATCCTTACAGAAAAGGATTTAGCAATGTTAAGCCACCTCAAGTTGGTTCCTGTGACTTGGGACAAAAAGAACTCATCAGTACAACAGGCTTCTCCTAGGTGACAAAATAATGGATTCCCAGGCCCTGGGGATGAGGATGAGACTGGGGCCTGGATGCTGGGGACTGGACGGTGAGGGGCAGAGTCAGAGAAGTGGGCACTGAGGCTGGGTGGGCAGTGCTTCTAGCAGAGCTGGAGTCAGGATAGGAGGAGAAGCAGGGAAGGGGTGATCTGGTTATTGCCCGGGTCCTGGGTGGCAGCCCATGGACCCTGCCTCTCACACACCCACCTAGGGCAGCATCGTGGAAGGTCTTGGCATCAGTCTGATTGGGTCAGGCAAACCTCCTTGGCTTAAATGAGTAACATGTGCAACGTATCTGGTGCAAAGTAGGTGCTGAATAAGCGGCAGAGAGACCTGGTAGCTGTATCCTGAGTTACTCCATCCACCAAAGCCTGCCTCGGACCTGGCCGCCCCCGACCCCTGGCAGTCTGCACATGCAGCCCAGCCAAGGGGCATGTCTGCTGGGCTGTACTCACAGCTGGCCATCATGCCACGTCCTGGCCACAGCTGCCAGTCTTGGCTCAGTCCTGCTGAGCCCTGAGGCCTGGCCCTGAGGACTCAGCCACACCTAGACTCTGGAGCAGTCAGAATCTGACCTGCATGTCACTCTGCACTCTGGCAACAGTCTGTGGTGGCTGCACATCTTGTCTGGAGGGAGACGGGGACCATGTGGGCACTGGGCTGCAGCCTCCGCCCTGGGACAAGTTTGCTTGAGTTCTGATGCCAGCTGGGCCCTGAACTACTCCTTGGGTTTGGGTGTGTCCCTTTTTAGGTGGACTTGAACCTTTCCCCAAGTATCCCTGATCTCCCTGGCCAACGACCCCTGACCATTCCACTGCTTCACTCTGCTCTGCCCCTAGACACTGAGGATTCTTGGATGCCAGTGACAGAAACCATCTCAGACTAGCTGAAGAGGCACACAGGCCTGGGCTGTCTTACATGGAAGGTGGGCCCTAGGACACAGCCTGTCCCCAGGGCTCAAACAGCAACCCCAGGGCTGGTCCTCCCTTCTCTCCCCTCTCTCCCTTGTCTGGGCTTTGACTTGCATGCTGACTGATTTTTCTGCTGCCACAGACAGGTTCTCCCTTTGCCATGGCTAAGATGGCGGTCAGCAGCACCTGGTCTCTCTCATAATGGTTCTTGAGCCAAAAGGAAGACAGAGCCCCCCCTCCCCAAATGTCAAACCCTCAAATCTCAGGGAAGGATTCTGACTGGCCCTGCTCATCACATGACTATCTCTCAGCCCAATCACTGTGGCTGTGGTGATGGGGTTCCCTGATTGGACAGAACCAGGTCATGTGGTCATTCTGCAGCTGGGGCAGGTGGGCTCAGTGACAGATCCCTGGACCACACGCAGAAATAACAGCTGCCCCCTGCAATCACAGGCCTTACCTAGGACCATCGGGTGGCTGTCACAGGTGCCTGACACTCTCCTGAGCATCATGTCAAATTCCCGATGTACTGGGTGATTGCTGCCCTTTCTGTCCCATCCAAAAGAATGAAGAGAGAGTGATATGATGAGGATTATCTTGAATCTGCTCTAATCAATGGACATGAAAATCAAGCCCCAAATGCCGATCCTTTAACTATTATTAATAAAAAATTACCAGACACATTCTCTGTGACTGATGGTTCATGACACTGTGGCTGGAAATGCTTTCTCCCCAGCAGTTGGCTCTAGACAAAGGGCACACACTGTGGCTGGGAACAGCCATCAGCCACTTCCAGCTAAATCTGGATCACTCTGGAGACATTTCCAAGTTTCCCAGGCTGTGAGCACCCAGCATATTTCTATTGGCAAAATCAGGTCAGGTAGGCTCAGCTCTGCTGATCCGTAGGAGGGGACAGGGAGGCGGGGGGATGGCGCTGGGTTGCAGCAGAGAGAAGCTGAGAAGTCAGGCTGATCCAGCAGGAATTCTGTCTCACACTTAGGCAGGCGCGAAGCCTTATTCTCAGGCAAGGGAGCCAGCACCTGCTGTGGCTGTGGCCTTGAAAAGCCCTCAGAAGAGGCTGGAAGTTTTCCTTTCAGCCTGAGCAGAGAGAGAAGGCTGGATTGTCTGACAGATGAAGAATACCAGTGGGACAAGCAGGAATTCCTCAAAGCAAGGTGTCACTGGACTCAGCCTCAGGGAGGACGTTAGTACCACTTGTCAGGTCAAGGGGCGTGAGGGGGCTGAAGTTCCCAGGCTCAAGGGCAGCCCTCAGTGATTACACACTTAGTAGCTGGTGCCCGTGCTGGCGCCCTGATCTTCTCTGCCGCCTGCCTGATGTTCATGTCACTGTCTCGCCATACCTCTACACAGCACTCTGCCTTTCTAGGCACTTCCTGCAGCTTTCCTGGCTCTGCCCCACACAGCAGCTCACTGGAGGATGAGGCTCCTTGATCTGCCTACCTTCTGAGGTTGACAGAGCTGGAACCCAGGTCTCTGATCCTGGGCCTGGTGCTCTTTGGACCCCCCAAGGCATCAAGTTTGAAAAGGTCATCATGCAGACATGACAGCCACCCACCCCTGCCTTACACTTCCCTCCAGGTCCTCAGAGGAGAGGGCTGAGTTGTTGTCTCTGCAGAATTCGGATATTCCCTGCCTGGCTGCCATCCTGCCCAGGAGAGAGGCCGAGGGCTTGGAGACAGGTGTTTGCCAGGCCTAGGCCCGGGCACAGGTGGTAGGTCTTATCCATGACATGAAGCTCTCTGTGGAAACAGAGTGGGGCTGTGCTCACTGAGGCCTCAGCCTGAGGAGCAGGCCAACCGCAAAATAAAAGGACAGCAAGACTGGCCAACTGCTGTGACTCTGTGTCCCCATCTATAAAATGGAAAGTCACCATGTGACTGTCAGGCCAGTCACCGTGCCTCTGCATCCTTATCTATAAAATGAAAGAGACCTTTGACCTGCACCCAGGTGACAGAGTGACGCAAACAGGTGTAATAACCCTTCCTAATCAGCAAAGGGTGACTGTGCCCATATTCTGCTATGTGAGAAACTGAAGCATAAGTTGGATGAATGTTGTATCCAAGGTTTCCTGTGGGAGGAACTGGGAGCTGGGGCCAGAATTCAGCTTATCCAGCTTTTTGGAGATTCCTAGAGTCTTCTCCACGGTTTCTGCCTGGACCAGGTTCTACTAAGAAGGTTGGGTCCCCAACCCTAGGCAGAAATGGCATCTGGGATCCCTCTGCTCTGGAAGCAGTTGGAAGCTGAAGAAATGACTTTTGAAACCCTACTTTCAATGAGTGGCCCAATTACTTCTGAAATTGTCCGGAAGACTGGCTTTAAAAATAGATGAATACACAGGCGTTACTAAGCTATTTATAGAATTTGAGAAAACCCCTTGAAATGCTCACAAAAAGATTTGACCTATAATGGGGATTCCAGAATGACTCGGCCTGAAGCTCACATCCACCCACAACTTTGAACTTTGCCACAGATGGTCTTTAAAAGTCATGTTAACATTTATGTGGCATTATCCCTCAAGGAAGCTGCAATGGGAGTGCACACATCCTTTATCTAAGCCGTATCCCAAAATGTCTACTGGACAACAGTTGAGGAACAGCCGGAGGCGGAGGGAGCCAGGATAGAGAAGGACACAAAGTCTAGGGAGCTTGGGGGAGACCAACGTTTGCGTCTGTGAAATGGTGATCCTGGCCTGTGCCTGCCTCTGGAGACCATATGGGGTTATAGACCAGGAAGTGACTGTTGTGCCTGCCATTTCTGCAGACGTGGATGGCAGCTGTTTGCACCGGGCTCTGTCTGAATGGGCCCCTCTCTCACAGTGTGCCATTCTGTGTGGTTCTGCCCCACTGGACTCAGTGAGGTCTGTTCTGAGCAGTGCCGGGGGTGGGGGTGGCCCTGAAGGAAGTGCTCAGACCTTCTCCATTCGTTCTGAGATCCGGTCTGAAGACTAGATGGGCCCCTTGTGTTGTTCCCAAGGAGGCTTGGGCCACCTGTGGGGATGGGTGAAGGGCAGTTGAGTGGGCAGACTCAAAGCTCCTGGATCCCAGGCAGAGGCCCTTTGCCAGGTCTGTTTCATGTGGTTGAGGACACGCCTGAGATTGAGTTTGGAAAAACAACTCTTCTGCTAAAAATACATGAAAATCACTAGTGTGTCAAGATATGCACAATGGGTTTGAATGCCAGACAGGCCTGGGTGAGGCACTCTGGTCCGACTCCCACTCAGCCCTTGGACCTGGGCAAGCCCCAGGTCTTCTACCGTCTCACGTTCCCCACCCAGAAAAGGGAAACACGGCTAAACACCGTGATGATGAAAATGCCTGGCCAGGGGAGCACCTCCGCAGATGCCTGCTCCTCCTGCTTCTTTGGTCTTACCAAGGACATGGGTGTGTGGGGGGTTATCCATGCCAGGTGTTATGGGGTAGCCTGGCTGACCTCCCACACCTTGGCCAGTGTATGGTGGGTGTTGGAGTCAGCAAGAGGGAAGGTATCTCTGCAGACAGGAGGGAGAACAGTAGGTGGCTACTGACATCAGGGGACTGAGGGTGGGGAATGTGATGGGCTGGCTGGAGATGGGGGCAGATGTTCCGGCTGGCCCTAGTTTTGCCTGCATGTTTTATTTCCTTGGCTAGACTGTAAGCCTCTTGGGTATCTTATTCCTCTTTTCCTCTCTTGAGTATCTGGCAGAGAGTACAAAACAGTACAAAACTGCCAGGTATAAAACAGCAGTGTGGGGACTCACGTTGACTTGATGTGTGAATGGAGGCCATCAAGATATTTCTGATGATGGGGATGCTGACTGTGAAATACTGGTAGAGTGGGGAAGAAAAATCCATCCTGTCACCATGCATACCAAGGTGCCCCACCTTCACCCCACGGTGCTTCTCTAACCAGAGCTGGGGACCCTCTTCCTCCGGCTGCTGAAAAGCTGGTGCACATGCACCTCCTTCAAGTCTCGGTCTACTTGTTTTCTCCTCCCAGAGGCCCTCTGCCTTCTCTAAGTAGGCCCTCCACTCTTGTGACATCCCTCACTGTGTTGTGTTGGCTCTTCTGTGTGGCCCCATCATAACTGGAAATGACACACCTGTAAGCTTATGCGTTCAGTGATTGCCTCTCCCACTCGGATTGCAAGTTCTGCAAGGGCAGAGAAACTCTGTCTGCTTTATTCGGCAATGTACCTGCTGCGTCTAGGCCCCTGGAGGCCCTCAGTGTGTATCTGTTAACTGAATAAATGGATGGGGGGCTCCAAGGCAGTGGCAACCCCAGGGAGGAAATAATCTGGGTGCACAGAGAGAGGTGGGCTTCTGGCCCCTATATTAATGGGGAAGTCCCTGGCTAGATCTGAGCTT
Organism: Homo sapiens; assembly: GCF_000001405.40. Lineage (NCBI taxonomy): Eukaryota > Metazoa > Chordata > Mammalia > Primates > Hominidae > Homo > Homo sapiens. The sequence continues at coordinate 48,799,647 of NC_000018.10, read as the reverse complement.
GGCCAGAGAAGGCATGAAAATGAAATTACTCTGGCTTTGGGCTATTATAGAAGTTCCCCAGGAGAAAGGGTGGCATCTAGGATGGGAAGTTCATTCTGTCCTTATTCAGGTGTCCACTCACGATGTTAACAAATACGTCCCATGCCAGTGTCCCCAGATAAAAATACAAGAAAGGACTGATTCCTCACCAACATGGGATCCAGTAGGACCCAAGAGGGAAGAGGAGCACAGAGATCCAAATGCTCTAGTGAAAGACCAGAAATCCATCATCTGGGGCTGCTTTTTGACCTTGGGCAAGTTATTTACCCCACTGGGCCTCAGTTTGGTCATCCACAAAATAGGGCTGATTCTACTTGTCCCATCAAGCCCATAAGTTGTTGTGAAGATTGAATGAGGCAAGAGATATACAACCTCCTTGTGAACTGAGAGTATTCTACAAAACTGCATGGTTTGTCTTTATGGCCAGAGACCACACCTTGCTTATCATCCCCTTAAAATCTGGCTTGATCCTGGCCTTGCAGAGCTCAGTAAGACTTTCTGAACTGCTCCGCGTGACCCGAGGCTGCTGGCTGGCACCATTCACCTTCTCCACTCATAGCCCTGCTGACCCAGCCACCTCCTGTCAAGTCACGCGCTGGTGGCAGCGAGAGGAGGCTCCATCTGCCTCAAGATTAGAGCAGCCTTGCCTCATTCTTGGCACTACTGACATTTTCGGTCGGCTCATTGGTTCTTGGGGGGTGCTGTCCTGTGCACCGTAGGCATCTGCCCACTCAATGCCACTAGAAGCCCCTATCCTCACCCCCAGTTGTGAAAGCTCCAGATAAAATATCTCCAGACGTTGCCAAGTGTCTGCTGGAGGCAAAATCACTCCTGGTTGAGAACCACTGCTGAGAGTGACAATGGTGCCCAATGCTCCCACCCATGGGACAACTTCTCAGGACACAGCAAGATCCAGAGGCACTTGAGAAATACTGGGGAGCGCATTAAGAGAGGGGGCTATAATGTAAGGCCTGCAGGTGGGGGTGCACCCCGAAACTGCCTTTAGAAAGCTGCAGGCTGCACAGGACACACACCGGTATGCCACACAGTTACTTCATGGGACTCGGAACTCAGTACTGTGCTAACTTAACACACACTCAGTAGCAAGTGCAGACAACCTGTCCCTGCACTGAACCCACAGACTGCAAGCACTTTCCCACTTGTAGAGAACAGATAGGGAAGCATGGTTTTCAAAAAAGCACGAGCCCTTATGTGTGATGAACCCCAAACCGAAGAGGGTTAAATAAAGCCCGGGCTCTGGAACTGACAGCTCTGGGCTTCAGTTGTGATGGCAGCAGCATAAGCAAATTCTCTCCCAGGAGTCTAACTGTATCTTTAAATGTGAGCGGCTTAGCATGCTTAACACTACTTATTTGAGGGTTCCTTGGACAACAGATAATTCAACTGCGTTTACCAGATGACGTTAACAAATACCTCCCACGCCAGTGTCCCCAGATAAAAATAACACCAGCTCCCTCACAGGTCTGCAGAAGGAAAGGACAGGAGGCTGGAACTATCAATCCTGTCTGGCACCTCCTCACCCGTCTGCTTGCCCCTGGTGGCGCTGGCTCTGCCGCGGGCAGAGGAAGTGCTACCCAGGTGATAAGAGACACTCTGACTGTGGTCAGAGGAGCAGAGAGGCCTGGCAGGGTCTCTCTCCACCTGCTACTGGCTTTGCCCACCACCGAGGGCTCTGCTTCCTGGGCAAACATCCAAGGAGAGTGCAGAGTACCAGCAGAGCTTGGGCAAGTCACTCGGCCTTGCTGAGCTGCATCTGGAGAATAGGTTAGTAAGATGCTCCCTGTTACCTCACACAGGTACTATGAGATCTAACTGCCTGATTCCTGTTTTACAGGAGAGAAACCCAGGGAGGACTAAAAGTGCAGGCCTCATTGGATGAATCTGAGGAACACGTGGAAGGGCACTTTCTGCCTCAGAGCATCCCCCCACCCCAGAATACCACAGTGCCTGAGGTCAGCCCATTAACACCGCACCATCAGGATAAGGCTCTGTCTCCCCAGCAAATCCCCAGTCAACTCACAAGGTAAAATATCAGCTACAATTCATGCCAGCACAGTTCAAGGGATCAGAACTCAGAAACTTGCCCCCCCACCCCTTTTCTTTTTTGGATGGAGTCTTGCTCTATCACCCAGGCTGGAATGCAGTGGTGCGATCTTGGCTCACTGCAACCTCCGCCCACTGGGTTCAAGTGATTCTCGTGCCTCAGCCTCCCAAGGAGCTGGCATTACAGGCACGCACCACCACCCCCAGCTAATTTTTGTATTTTTAGTAGAGACAGGGTTTCACCATGTTGGCCAGGCTGGTCTTGAACTCCTGGCCTCAAGTGATCTGCCCACCTCGGCCTCCCAAAGTGTTAGGATCACAGGTGTGAGCCATCGTGCCCAGCCAGAAAGTTGCCCTTTTATGAGAAAAACAGGACTGAGACAAGTTGGATTTGAAGGGAGAAAAATTAGGGATAGTTTAGATATTCCCTATAGGGTAGTGCTCTGGGAAATCATCTACCGGGTGGCTGATCACAGGAGGCCTTGGAGTCCACAGGGGACTCTGACAAGTACATTGGAGACCTGGGCAGAGGGAGGCCAGTGCTGCAGATGGCTGACATGGCCTTTTTGCTCTGGGGTGGGCACCTGTGATTCCAGCTGTCAGAAAAAAGACCTGAGCTCTATAAAGGATGGTCTTAAGGAAACTGTAGATCTCCAGCCCAGACTCACTAAGCAGTGTGGATAGGGGAAACAATTCTCGTCACACAAGTCCCTCAGATCAGCTACCCACGCGATTTCAGTAGGAGTGCACTTACAAATATTCCAGAAGCTGTGAGCATGTAAAAGAGGCAAGAGCATTCTAAGTCCTTCTCCCCTGGGCAGCTGTGGGCTGGCTTTGCCTGTTCTAAGTCCTTCTGCCCTTGGGTGGCTGTGGGGTTGAGTGTGGGGGCAGGTGTGATGGGATGGCAGAGGTTCGGATGGCCACTTCCTTGTCATCATGTCCATGTTGATAAGCTACTTTCTGTTCTCACCATCTCCAGCTTGCTCCCTTTGTCGGCACACAGGCCCTCACTGATCCATAAACATGCAGAATGATGGACATGTTAGCCAACTTCAAAACTGGGCATTCAGGCCAGGTGTGGTGGCTCACACCTGTAATCCCAGCACTTTGGGAGGCCAAGGCGGGCAGATTGCGAGGTCAGGATATGGAGACCATCCTGGCTAACATGGTGAAACCCCGTTTCTACTAAAAATACAAAAAAAAATTAGCTGGACATGGTGACGGTCGCCTGTAGTCCCAGCTACTCGGGAGGCTGAGGCAGGAGAATGGCATGAACCCGGGAGGTGGAGCTTGCGGTGAGCCGAGATCACACCACTGCACTCCAGCCTGGGCGACAGAGTGAGACTCCATCTCAAATAAAATAAAATAAAATAATTAAAAAATTAGCCGGGCATGGTGGCACATGCCTGTAGTCCCAGCTACTTGGGAGGCTGAGGCAGGAGAATCACTTTAACCCGGGAAGTGGAGGTTGCAGTGAGCCGAGATCATGCCATTGCACTCCAGTCTGGGTGGCAGACAAGACTCCATCTCAAAAAACAAACCAACCAACCAACACCTGGGCATTTGGGGATTGCTTCTCTTCCCTGTCCTGACCTATAGTTCCAGTGACTTCCAGCACAGGAAAGATGGTACCTGGCTGAGAGCTGTGGGTGCCAGGTGGCTCGGCTTTCCCAGGGTGTGGATGGCAAAGACTTGTGTTGGGGGAAAAAAAGCCGTTTTCTATAAACATTAAATTCTTACACTAAACCCTCCCTCAAGAGAGATGGCCTCCCCTAATAGTCTGAAATTCTTCCCAACACAGAATTCTTAGTAATCAGGCTGATGACAACAGAGAAAGTATACCCAAGTGTTGAACTTGATTCTGGGGAACCAGAGGAAGGAGGACTAGTTCTATTTTCCAGGTTAAAGAGCTCCTGGGAAAATAGGACTACCCATCTGAAAGAGCCTGGGGATGCAGGTGCCTCTTTGCAAGCCATTTGAAGAAACCCGAATAAGATAAAACTAAGAAGTGACTTTTTTCCCCAATGGGCATCTTCATTAAATGGAAGAGCTCACTGCAGGCTTCCTTTTATCTGGGACTCCCTTAAAATACTCCTGGTTAGATGAGAAGGTGAAGTACAGGCTTGCATCTGTGGTAGCCCATGAGATGGCCCATTTTTCAAAAACTGCATTATCAGAATCCCAAGAAATTGTGACCTTGGAGAAATCAGGTTGGGGGAGAGGCTAAGGCCCACCTGCAGGGTGTAGGGCACTCTGAAGGGGTCTAGGGAGCGAGAGGAGAATGGCAGTTATGGGGGCTCTTGAAATGACAGCCTCCATGCTCTGATGAGCCTCTCTCTGGCAACTAAGTCCATGGTTTGACACAGTATCCTTCAAGTAAAAGGTAAGCTTGCCAGCCAAGGATCAAAAAAAGCCAGGAGTAATGCCACCTGCTTCCAAAATATAGCTTCTTCCTAAGGTGAAGGTGACATCTATTTAACAGGAAGCTACGGCAAAACTAACCACTTAGGATTGCCATGTTCTGCATGAATCCTCACACAGGACTCTCGCCAGCTAATGTGGAGTCTATAGTCATCCATCTATCCATCTACTCACCCACCCTGACCCATCTATCCATGCAACCCCCTACCGATCACCCATGCATCCACACACACATCCCTCCCTCCACAGATGCTTGTGGGCCTCCTCTCTGCCAGGTGCTGACTCGAATGCAATACACACAAAGGGCCTGGGGGAAGGAAGATCCGAGGCTGCCTTCTGAAATCTGCTGAACAATCAGGAAAACCTCCAGAGTTCCCACATGTTCCAGTCTGACAAGCATCTCCAGAGGGCATCTCCAGAGGGCATCTGCTTCGATCCCACCTGCCTTCAATCATCCTGGGTGGTTTGTAAAGCTGTCCTATTTTTAAAGCTATTCTGGGAAGAATGTTCCCAAACTTCCCTCTGATTCCAAGTTTCCCTTCAACCCCCCACCTCAGGCAGTTGGCTACTGAAATGTCAATCCCCACTACTCAGCCAGAGCCACCCCATCTGTGGGAGAACCAGCCGTAGCCCAGCAACCCCTCCCCCGGCCCCAAGACCCTTCGCCCACCCTGGGGAGGCCAGGTTTGCTGTTTGGGAGTTTAGCTGAGGCCCTTAGCTCTCGAGTTGCAGATGGCCCTTAGATCTGGCTTTCCCCGACCCTGTCTTTCCAGCACTGCTGTGCCGAACCCTCACTGATTCTGTGCCTAATGTGACTTAACACTGTTCAAAGGCTCACCCATGCCTTCAGCTTGGAACTGAGCTGGGAGGAATACATCTGTCAAAGGAGCAGCAAAAGATGTGAGTGGTATTGACTGCATATCTCTAGGAGGAATGGGCAGAGAGCAGGAACCAAGCTGGGGGCTAGAATGGGGAAAGTGAGGTAGAATGGCCCTGGGGCATTGCTTTGGGGGGCTGAGAGCCACCCTTTGGGCTACTAGTCAGAAAACCCAAAGGATCCCAAGGTGGTACAGATTACCTCGCCTCCCCTGGGGAGATGGGGATGGGGATGAAATCTGTAGAGCAGAAGCGAAGGTAACAGGTGCTTAATTTTTAGTATCCCACTGCCAGCACTGTGCGGGCATGGGTGGCTGGGAGACTCAGGATCTCATCTGCAAGGCTGGGCTATGTGATACAGTCCTGTGGTCTGTGTATTGGCTGCCTGGAAATCAGGCTTTTCCCCCAAAACCTTCCCACTTTCCTGGGGAAATGGCACTCAAGTCGGATAAAACTGGGGTGGGCTGCCATTTTGAACTCATCTATTTTCCTGCTTGGGCATTGGTATGGCAGCCTCAAAGAAGTATTTGGGAGCAATTTTAGGGAAAAGTCAATAAATGAAGATAAACTTGAGCTGGGCTAATTGTTAAGAAAAGAGAGGAGGAGAAGGGGGCACACAAGAAGCCCCCTGGAGCCTGTGGCCACCCAGCATGTCACTTGCGCCAAGGGATTCTGTTTACTGAGCTATCATCATGAGGGAGGAAACATTTTGTCAGAAATACAGAGCACAAAATATAGTGGGCGCTAAAAACTTAATCCTGCTGGCACCACATTACAGAAGCCAGAGTTGTAAATGGCTGTGGGGAAAGGCCTGAGTTATATAAAGCCACAGGGAGCAAAGCTGGCCCCCAGGCACCTATCCTATCCTCTCTGTCAGTTTCCCAAAGCTGAAATTTAAGCCTTACCAAGGAATAAAATGATAAAATGACACCACTTTCCCAGGAAATGTCAAGAGACTTAGAGGGGGTGGGGTTGCAGCCTGCCCCTCCCTGCTTCTCCCTGGCAGGAGCCTCCTGATTTATAAGGATAATTACTTGTCTCTCCTGAGCCCTCCCTTGTGCTAGCCTGCAAGGGGATCCCAGGGAGGGGGCAGAGGCTGAAGCCTCTCTCCTGCAGTTGGCCTGTTGTGACAGCGGTGGAGTCAGAGCCCCGTCATCAGCCACCCATTCATAACTCTAGACAACTGGAGACACAGCTTCTGCTCTACACCAAGTGGCCTTTGTACCATAGATCCTCATCCTCTGGAGATGGCATCCTGTCTCATGGTTTTAAATACCACCTAATAGCACCACCTAAATACCACCTGGATAGAAATTAGCTCCCTGAGGCTTATTTCTATCCAGATCACCCCTCTGAATGCCGGGCTCCAACTGTCCACTCAACCTGGCCACTTCCTATTGCACAATTCCAACATGACATGTCCAATAGTGAGCTCCTGGTCCACCCTCCTGAAGCATCTTCCCCACCTCAGTTAGTGGTAAGCCCCTCTTCCAGTTGTCCAGGCCCCAGATCTTAGGTTATCCTTGACCCCAACATTCTTTTGCACCTACGTCCAGTCCTTCAGAGGATCCTCTCAGCTCTTCCTTGAAAGTAGACCCAGACTCTGACCTGTCCCTTCACCCTAATCACTTCACCACCACCCCTTACTTAGACTCTCCCTTATTTACTCTCCCACATTTACTCAACAGATTTGTGGATCCATTGCTTTTATGCTCATTGTCCCCCTAAAGGCTCCAGGCTGGTATCCCTGCATCTACTCCACCCTTTCAGACTCCTCTCAACCCAGCAGCCTGAGTGACGCTATTAAAACTCAGGTCAGACCTTGCCTTCCCTGCTGGAAACCCTCTGATGCATCCCACCCCTCTCAGAGCTAATCTCGTCCTTGTGAGCCTATAGATCCCAGCATCCCGCTGACCTGATGCCTTCCCATGGCTCCCACCCACCCCCCTGACCTGGACTTCTTGCAGTTCTCCCATGGGGCAGGCACACTCCTGCCTCTGGGCCTTTCACTGCTCTTTCTCTTTGACCAGGATGCTCCCCAGGTCTGCACGGCTCACTCCTTCAAGCCTATCCAAGGGTCACCTGGGTGAGCTCTTTTCCAATCACCCTATTTAAAATTGTCCCCCAACATGCCCTGCTTCCTTCTCCACAGCCTTTTGGAAATTTACTTATTTGCAGATCTGTTGCTTTGATGCTTATCATCCCCTCCTCGCTAGAATGTAAGCTCCATGAGGGCAGGTTGCTGAGTCTGTCTGTTTGCTGCTGAATCCCACCATAGCCCAGGGCCTGGCACGTGGTAGGCCTTGAATTCATGGAGTGTTGAATGAACAAAGTTGCCTAAAGTTTGGTTAGAGAGACAGGAACAGACCCAAGAGATGACACTAAGAACACCAGGTGGCAAAAGCTGAGTGCCCAGTGAGGGCACAGATAGACTCCAGCAGCCTGGGTGATCAGGGAAGGCTACAGAGAGAGAGAGATTAATCTGGGAGAAGGGATGACTATGAACAGGTTCTGCTGACTCAGGGAAGACACTCACTAGAGAGGCATGGAGGAAGGTGATAAAAGCTACGGTTGAGACGGGGCAGGCTGCTTGGGGCAAGGAGATGCTGTGATTGAGGTGCTGGCCCTCAGGGTCTCTGGGCAAGCCACAGGCACATTCCTGTGTCCACAAACTGGTAGCTCCCACTAAGGGGAGCCCCCAGGGCCAGGCTGAGGCTGGGTGGGAGGGAGGGGCTTCCACTCAGCTTGGGGGCTGGGGGTAGAGGCTGCCCAACCCTGGGCCACTCTCTTCTTTCCTCTGAGTTTCTGGTAGCCCTGCCTGTGTCCCTGCCTGTCTATCCAGAGCCTGCCTTTCTCTTAAAGAAGGAAGGAAATGAAAAAAGAAAATGAAGTGAAACCATGAAAATGACTTAAAAGAGCTTGGGGCTCAGGGCTTGGGAGCCTTAGGTCTTCCATTCTGCTCTGCCTCTATCTTGCTATAGGGCCTTGGGCAAATCACATTTCCTCTTGGGCCTCAGTTTCCTCACCTGTCCAGTGTGGCTCTCATGGTCTGACCAGCCAGCATGCAGGAGGCCTGGGAGCTATCTGTGGACATGTGTCCCTCCTTTGGCCTGGTGTCAACCCCTCTCTGGGCCTGAGCCACAGTGTAGGGCTTGTACAGGGCCTCCCCTTCCTGCCCCAGGTCTGCTCATGACCTCAAAGACAGAGACATGACATTCCTAGGAGGTCTGTTCTGGGTGCCAGGACTCTCCTGAGAAGATGGAGTGAGAAGGTGGACAGGTTTGGGGGCTGAGGGAGAGCAGGGATTGGGGGAAGCTGGCTAGAGGAGGGTCCATGGCCCAGCAGAAGGAGAAGGGCTATCCGGGAACCCCAGCAGGTGAGCCAGCTGACAGAGGCCCCAGGAGGACGTGTTCCCCAGCACGAGGTGGCCTATGACGTGCCTCTCTGATTTCCAGGGTGGCGACTGCAGGCGCCCGTGGCTCCAGCCGGGCGGGGTCTGAAGTGGGAACTTCAGAGCTAGACTTGGCCGCGTTCCTCTGAAATCCCTGGCCTGTGAGAATGAAGGCTGCCGGTCACGTCCTCCCTTCGTCTGCTCCTCCATGAGAGACCTGGCCTCAAGCCTCTGGCCGTTGAGGCCGCCCGTCCAGCTCCCAGTGCTTTCTTAGTCTTTCAGGAAATGTCTCCAGGCCTGGTGGGGTACGTGTGTCCGGGGGATGGGGAGGGGGCTGCTGAGCTGGGCCCAGGCCAAAGGGCTCCATGGGGCGTCCTGTTGGATTTGGCAGCCTGCCCCTTGGTGACTCATGCCTGCTGGCTGTCCCTTAGCCCCATGCCCCCTCGAACTCGGCACTCCAGAAACAGCCTTCTCCCATGGCCCAAGAAGCACCGCTGTAACTCCTTGCCATGGACCTTTGCTCACACTCCCTGCCTGTTGGACACTTCCTCTGTATTTAACCTTCAGCCAAGTGACCCTGGATGAGCTATTTCCCCAGTCTGGGTCTTAGAAAAGGAGGTGGCTGTACTCACAGAGCCTGAGATCCTTATTCCAGAATTTCCCTTTTTGGAAAGGTGGTTCAGCTTCTAGGCTTTCCTTCTCCAAAGGACATACGGTACTGGGGGCGGAACCTCTGTCCTCATTCTACTTCCATCCCTTCCCCAACACCTAGTAGGCAGCCTTAGGCTAACATGGGTTAGCTCCTTTCATCTTCACAATGGCCCCATGGCAATGAAGCTGTGATCATCCCATTTTATAGATGAGACACCTAGGACATAGAGAGGGGAAAAGTACCCTGCCCAAGGTCATGAGGTAGCAGGTGGCAAAGCCAGCATTCAAAGCCAGGGGCCAGGCTCTAGCATCTATACTCTTCACCAGTACCCTACATTCCTAGGAAGCAGCATGGGGTCTCTTATTAGTCTTCCCCACTAGTCTTAAGGTTCCTGAGAGCAAAAAAACAAAGCCCTTAATTTATACTTCTAATTTTGTTCTTTTTTCAAGATTCCTTTGGATATTGTAGGTTTGAGTTTCCATATATATTTTAGAATCAGCTTGCCAATTTCTGCCCAAAAGGCTTAATGGCATCTTGATTTGAGACTGTTGACTCTAGAGACCAATTTAGGAAGAAGTGACATCATACCAATACTGAGTATTCTAGTCCATGAATATGGTATGTCACTGATCTACACTTGACTGTATCTCCCTAGAGTTTCAGACAGGGCTAGACCTATAATATTAGTGCACACCTGATGAATCAAACTGAAATTAAAATTCCTTTCACTATTATCCCAAGCAAAGTCCAATTGAACCATAGCCAACATTATGAGCACTTATTGAGGGCCAGGGTTGTATTATGCCCTTTACTACATTATCTCATTTAATCCCCAGCAATCCAACCCAATCATTATTACCATCCTCATCTTACCAGTGAGGAAACTGAGGCTTGGAGAGAGTAAGAAACCCATTCAAGGTTACACAACTAGTCTGTGACAAAGCTGGGATGTGAACCCAGCCCTTATTGTCATCATGTTATAGGAAAATGAAAATCAGTGACTTTCCCTAAACCCGAAGAAAATGATTTGAGGCTTCTCTGTGATTTGGTACTTCCTGCCAAGGAAGCAATGGTTCAGAGGCCTAGAGTGACTGTACTAAAGGAAGATGAGGCTTGCAGTCCAGGAACATGTCCCATGGGTGCTGAGGGACCTACGTGCACACACCTGCTCTTTGCCACCTTCTTCAGGCTCAGCACAGCACACGTCCTCCTGAGTCTGCCCAGGGTCTCCCAGGCCTAAGAGGTGTGCTATTGGATGGTGGGAATGGGACAGTTTTGGCCATCGTTAACCAGACTCAGTCATGCTCACTCTGATGTCATAGTACCTTTCTAGCATCCGTGTCCACTGTTGGCCTACCTACACCTCTGGGCCGGTGATGAGTTCACACCCACCCTGTACAGAAGTACAAGTGCTTCTTCTCATTTTTTCTGTAGTGACCTCCCCAAGGGAGACCCTTGAGTTTCCCTGTGATGGTGAGAGGGTCTGTGTCCTGTTCCTATTACAGCCACACCTCTGTATTTCCCAGACTTAGGAATCTTATCTTCAAAGGCTGCCACTGTGCCTCTGGCTGTTCCCACTGCTCCCCTGACCTCCTCCAGCTCCATGAGCCCTTCTTAGTAACAAGGCCTCCGGGGGCAGGTATGTGGCCAGGCAGGGGAAAAATGCTTCAGGTGGTGTGGCCCTGGGATACAGGGAGATAGGAGGAACACAGTCACAGGATTCACTGCTGGCACTAAAAGGCCCTCAGTGGCTTCAGGCCACTTATTTACAGGTGAGGAAACCAAGGCTAGGGAGGAAGAGACAGCTTACCCAAAGCTCTCCTAGGAGTCAAGTGTCTGGAATTCTGGCCTGAAATGTTGGTGTCTGCCCCTCCTTGGGGCACCCCAATTGTGTTTTATGTGGGAAGTGCTCAGAATGAAGCTCTATACTCAAAGCTGGGACGCACTGGCCCCTGAGCATGTTTCCAGCTCAGGCTATTGCTGTTACTGATTCTTTCCTACCCCTCTTCTGGGAAAGAGACAAAAACCCCAAATTCAGGTTTCTTCTCCCCCCAGCCTAAAGGCTAGAGAGGGTCGGCCATCCAATTGTCCCCATGGGGATTATCACTGGGAGACTCTGAAAGGGGGGGTCCCAGCTCAAGGTCAGCAAAGCTGCTCTCCCTGAGCAGTGTTTTACAGGGAGAAGAAGTGCCTGGCCCCAGCCTCACCTCCCGCTGAGATCCTGCCCATGTCACCCCCAGGAGAGACAATCAGGACAGACACCAAACGCAGAGGACTGCCAGACCTCCAACCCTTGGCACTGTGGACACAGCCAGCAGACTTTCTCATGCCTTTCTGTGTGGCCAGTCCCCTCAGGGTGCTGGGGAACTGGGTGAGGAGCAGAAGAATTGGGCAGGAGTTGGCGCAGGGGCAGAGGGAATACTGTTTCTAGCTGGGAGCCATGAATCTGCACTGCAAACCACCCTTTGGAAGAGAAGCAGACTGCACAGGCAGACAGAGGCAGCCGTCTGGGAGATGGAATGCGTGATGAGGCTGACACACACCCTGCCTCTTCTTCCTTCTCAGGAGGGGGCAGACTCAACCATGAGAGGATACCCAGGAGGCCTGGAGCTGGGGCCCGTCACGGTCCCTGGTTGGAATGCCTGGTTTGGGGGCAATTGTATCCAAGGCCCTCAGAATGGAGGCGGCTGAGGCCTAGAGTTGGGCTGCACAGCCCTGAGTGTAAAGCAACCTGCAGGCAGATGATTGACTAAGGAAAGCTCCTGGTGCTTTTTCTCTTCTGAGATGTGAGTCTCCTCTCTCCATCCCTTCCTCCTTCTCTCCCTTCCTCCTGCCCTCCTTCCTTCCTTTCTCCCTATTTCCCTCCCTCTCTTTCTGTCTTTCTTTCTTCCTTCCCTTTCCCCGCCTCCCCTTCCCTTCTTTCTTTTCCTTTCATACTTAACATGTGAACCAATGTGGTCACAGCCATCCTGGGCTGGGCCCCTCCTTTGCCCTATCCCTCGCAAATAGTAAGGACTGCGGGTGGATGTCGGTCATCCTTCTGGGCCGGTGCCCCCCACACAGCTGCTCCCAGAGAGCCAGTGAAAGGCACTGCTGTTGTCCTGACCACAGCTCCGCCCCTGCCTCAATGGTCTGGAGGCTTCAAACAAACTCCCAGCCACAGGGCCCCTCCCAGGCTGCTGATGAACCATATGGATGGGCTGTGGGCTCCAGCAGGGCACAGGCTGAGTGGTGGGGTAGGGGAAGGGAGATTTACTGCCATGGTGGGGTGAGGAGCTCCAGAGGTCATCCGGGCCACCCCCTGCCCCATGCAGAAGGTGCTTCCAGAGTCAGTATTTGACTGGGGGTGGGTGGGGGGAAGGGTGGTAATGACCATGGTGGGAGAGGAGGAAGGACCCCTGGGCTGGGGTGAGGCCAAAGAGGGAAAACAGGTTCCTCCTTTCCCTTCGAAGTTCCAGGTGTGGACTCCATACCCCAGGGGTTCTGATCTAGCTAAGAACAGGCAAGGCCAAAGGGCAAACATTGACTTAAACTTATCACCTTGACTGATTCAGGCCCATGTTCCATCGAGTTTCTGCTCAGCAATGAACTGCACGTTCACAGTCGTAATCCTTAGAGTGCCTGGGATTTTCTTGTTTTCTATGTTCCAGGAACTGCTTTCAATCCTGATATGCACTGTCTCATTTAGTACTCCTAACAACTCTAACGTCACCCCATCATGCAGATGAAGAAACTGACATACAGAAAGATCACTCACTTTGCAAAGGCACACAGCTTATAAGTAGTGGAGCTGGGATTTGAACCTAGGCAGGAATGCGGCTCCTGAGTCCAGGCTCTTGACAGTGCCCACCGCTGGGCTTAGACACTAAGAGCATCTGCTGAGTGAGGCTCAGGTTCAAACTGACCCAGACAGCCTGGATCCCCAGGACTAGGGACCAATCGTGACTTGGGAGGGAGGCTGAAAAACAGGCCTGAGGCTTGCACCCCCTCCCAAACGCCAGGAACAGGCAGACTGCTCCGCCGGCACCTCCCCTGTCTCCCTGCAGTGCTCTCTGAGCTCCTTCAGCTGGCTGGTTGGATCACTCACTGATGCTGTGCGGGGTCTGTACAGGTATATCCAGCCCTGCAAAGGAGGAAGAATGATGGGCTTTGGGATGAGGGAGAACCTCAAGGATCTCGGATGAGTGATTCAAACTCTCCTAGCCTCAGCTTCCTTATTCATAAACCCTGGCGGGGTTGCTGTGAGGATGAACCTACGTAAGTCTCCAGCCAAATGGGTGGGGGCAGTGGTTCTCAGCTGTGGCTGCATGTTGGGCTCACTCGGGAAGCTTTAAACAATGTTGATGCGGGGGTCCTACCCATAAGATGGTGACACAATTTGCTTGGGGCATAGCCTGGGCATTGGCATTTTCCAAATCTCCCCAGGTGCAGCCAAGCAAGGTACCCCATAGAAATTTGGTAAATGGCAGCTGTTGATACTGTTTACCAAAGGCACGGAGGTCAGAGCTAGTTCATGGCAAAGCCAAGCTCACAGCCTGGTTTGGACTCCCAGGGAGTCTGTTAAGAATCCCCAGATCCCTTCCCCTGGGTTTGGTCTCTGGGGAGTCTCACTTTTGAAAGCCTTTTGCTTTCCTTGATGGTCTTGTGGCTGGGTCCAGCTCTTCCGCCCATTTCAGAGGAAACTGTGAACTGTCTTCAGGTAGGCAGGGGGCAGGTTTCTGTAGGATGCCTGACTGCAGGGGTGGAAATGCTCCCCAGCCTGAGATGTGAGGAGTTCCTCCAGCAGTGCAGGCCGCAGTGGTGGGAGCCTCATGACACATCAAGGCCATCTAGCCTATTTTGTGAAACGGCATCCCAAGTCAGGTTTCATTTCTGCAAATTATTTTTCTAATTTTGTAGCCACTTAGAGCAACCACAGCTGAGTTTCGGTTTGGAGCCTCTAAGAGTCAGAAACGTCAATAGACTGTGGTTCCTTCTGCCTTTCTGTGAGCTTTTCTTCATGAAAGAAAGAGAGGGAAGGAAGGAGGGAAAAGAGAGAGGAAGGAAGGAAGGAAAGAAAGAAGGAAGGAAGGACAAAAGAGAAGGAAGAAGGAAGATGGGATGGTAGGAAAAGAGAAAAGAAATTCACCCTAGTGCCTGTTTTTTCCAGAAACAAAGAACTAGAGGCAAAACTGGCCAGAGTGCAAAACTCCATGCTCACGCATGCAGCAAGGCTGAGGGCTGGGCTCTCCCGGGTTTGCTTCTCAGGAACTAGGGGGAAGATGTCTAATGTGGCCATTCCTGGGAGTGTGGATGACAGCGAGGGTTTCCTCCAGCATGTGTGAGAGGAGTTATTCACATGTACACGTGCATGAATGTGCATACATGTTTCTCTGCCCAGCGGTCCTCCTGCTTGTGGTGCTGATGCATGTTAACTGCTCTACAGGTAGTCCCCCCACCTCTCTCTCTGTCTCTCTCTTTTTGCTGACCACTCATGGATCATCCCCTGACCCTTAGGCCCCACTGCCACAGAGTTGAGGCTGCCCACACCTCTCCTGGCTCTCCCAGGAGGCTCCAATAGGACACCCCCAGTGGGGTGCTTTGCTCCTCCCAGGGTCCTTATCCTGCCCTCCTCCATCCTGCTGCAGAGAGAGAGCCAAAGATGCCAACCAGGAGACATCACCTCCATCCTTACAAACCTTTGGTGGTGCCCCAGAGACCAAAGGGTATGGTCCCTCCGACCAGGTAGGGCAAACAGTGCCCCTCCCAAGCTGGTTCTGGCCCACACTCTCTCCTCCCACCTCAGCCCCCAGTGCACACTATACTCGGGAACAACCCCTTCTTTTGCTGTACATGATTCTTGTCTGCTTCTTGCCTCTGCTCATGCTCCTGTATTCGCCTAGACAATGCCCTTCTGCACGTTTCTTTGTTTGGCACCCCCAGCCCAGGTGCTGGGACTCAGGCCTGTGTTCCTCTCTCTGTGAGACACCCTCATGTGAGTTCTCTCTCCTCTCGATGCTCGGGGCCGTCTGGGTGTGCCGCGATGACAGCACCTAGCATGCTGGTCTGGAGTTACTGGGTACTGTCTGCATTCCCCACCAGATTAGGAGATGCCCAATGGCAGGAGAGGGGACCTCCTTTTCCATTTTTCCACCATCTCGCTGCCTGGAACACAGCACATGCTCAGCTGATAAATGAATGAATCTTGGTGTGGAAAAGGCCATCCCCACTAGAGTGCACATGGAGCAATGTAAAGATGTGTGTGAGATAGGGCAGGGGACTGGAGGTTTGGTGGCCCGTGTGGGTAACAGCATACGTGTGGACGCTACGTAAGGCTGGAGGGAGTGAGTGCTGACTGGGTGCCTCTGGGGCTCGGTGGACTGGGGTCAGAGGGCGGTGGTCGGCAGGCAGCGCTTGCCTGGAGGCAGCCTCCGCAGGTTTCCCCCGGCCTACGGGATGGTGGCAGCCTGCGGCAGACAGCAAAACACTGAATTCCCAGCCACGTGGGAGGAAGTGTCTCCAGCCGAGAGGATAGAGGAGGTGGGGTGGGGTGGAAATCCCAGGTGTAAAGATGAACTGGCAGTTCAAGCTGCAAGTTACTGTCAGGGTGAGGCATGCAGCCCCAGGGTCGGAGGCCTCCCCAGGCTGTACCCCACACACTCAACAGTTCCTCTTATCCCCGGGCTCCTCAGTGCCAGGAGAGCTGGGTATCCAGGTGAACCGTGCTGTTCTGGAACCAGAGTCCTGAGCTCCAAGATTTATTGGACTGGTAAAATTTGAGGGTTGCCCACATTTTATTTTGCTAAGCATTTTTTTTTTTAAAGCTTCATCCGTCATATCATAAAAGAAAGGACAACTTAATGCCAATATGGTAGGAAGGATGCAATCTCAGAGTAGTAGCCAGTCCTTCCCAGAAAGGGCAGTCGACGACTTTTCAAGTCATTCCATACATAAGCCGTGCTGGTGCAATGTAGACCAGCTGTGGTTGGTGGACTGGCCCCTGGGAGCCCCCCAGCTAGGCCTCCCAGGTGGTCCAGACCTGTGGTGGCCTACATGGGACCCTGTGTCTAACAGGCCTGGATCCCAGTTGCTCTTCCCAGCTAAGACATCAGCCTTTCCCAGATAGGAAGGGAGGGACAGTACACCCTGTCATTCACTAAAGGTTAGGACCCAGGACAGGTAAATGTTAATTGGAGATGAAGGAGAAAAACATCTGTAATCTGGGGTGTTCTGGGAAGCCAGGCCTGGGCAGGGGAGAAGGGTCTACAGGCGAAGCTCCCCACTTCCCACTCCTGCCCCATGGGCTCTCTGAGTCTGGTGGCTTGGTAGCCAGTGGAGTGGGGGTGGGTGGTGGCAGCTGCCCCGGGCCACAGGCGTGGGCATTCCTCTTCTAAGCTCCACACTCACACTCAGCCCTGTTTATAAGGCACAGGAGCCAAGGAGTCTGTGTGGCCCCGCCAACTCAGCCCGGAGGCCCAGAGGAGGGAACCCAAGCCGAGGTTGGACTGAACCACATCTCATGCCAGCCCCAGGACCTGTCCGCCTGCAGCTTCCCAGAGCCTCGGGCACCTGACCTGTGGCCCTGTGGGTGCACTGAGGGCCTGGGATCTGGGCCAAGGAGGGGAAAGCGAATGCTGAGAAGGCCTTGTGGGTGGGTGGCATTCATGTCCCCTGGGCGCTGCACGCTTTAAATAGCTCAGCTTCTCTCCCGCTCACAGTCTTGTCACCCCTGCCAGCTCCTGCCTGAGTTTCCACATCAGAGAGGGCTGATTTCCAGGTCAGGATGGGGAGCGGGTGGGGGGACAGGGGGACCTGGCTTCCTTGGGTGGCAGAGGCTCAGGAGAGGAAAACAGAGTGCTGCCCCCATCCCTCTGCAATCAGTGGGACTTTATGCTCCAGGCCAGGCAGGGGCCCTGGAGCTTGATGGGCAAGGGGCTTCATATGGCTTCCCCTGTCTCCCTGGAGAAGTCCATGCCCAACCCAGGCCACCTTCTACTTGAATCTGCAAGCCCATGACCAAACACCCCCACCCAGAGAGCTCTTGGACTTCACCCTCCACGCCTGCCCTGGGTCCTGGTTCTGGCAGGGCTCACTTGGCTGGGCCCGTGACCCACCCCTGCCTCCATGGAAACTTCTGGGTCCCTAAGTCTTGATCCTACCCACCCCACCCTCCTGCCCACCACTCAGCACCTAGTTCATCTAAGGCAGGTCTTTAATCAGCAGCCCCAGCCCCTGCTTCAAAGCAGTTTGAATCAGTACAACTCTTTAACATTTACGTGGCACTTTACAGTTTACAAACTATTTTCACGTCCTTATTTCATGCGTGCTATGCAGAGCAGTTATAAATAATCCCCATTTTACAGCCAATGAGACAGAGACAGCCAGAAATATTAGGGGAAGTATCCAAGTTCATATGTCAAATTAGTGGTACAATCCAGACCGAAACCCAGGCCTTTTACCGCACTAAGAATGCTTCCTCTCCTGCCCCCATGCCCCCTCCCTTTTCTACTGTTTGACAAGGGGGAGAGGAGGGGAGACTAACACAAGACAAGGGGAGGAGAGGGGAGGGCCACGTGTCTTCTCTCCCAGGCCCTGAACCCTGCTGCTGGCTCCATAGGTCACTTTCACAACCCAGAACAAAAATCTCGCTAGATATGGCCTCAGACCGCCCGGCTCCAGCCACCCTCGCCGGCAGACGCATGCAGATACACAGAGAACGGGCTGTTATCTCTCCTCTCCAGCCCGTTTCCTCCACTTCTCAAACAGCAGATTTCTTCCAGCCTGGCTGCCTCCCCTGGTCACCACCCACAGCCACTGGCCCCTGGGGCCCGGCCAAATCCCCCGCACCCTCTTTGCCCTAGACTGTGACGCCGAGTCTCTGCTAATCAGACAGTCGCCTCTGCCCTCCCAGCCGCCGCCCCCAGAGTTCCCTGGAAATGTCCCTTCTGCAGGCCCGGCCCCCGCTGCGGCGCACGGCTTTGTCTGCACACACAGCTGACTTGTGTTTGCAGGGACAGACAGGGGCTGGCGCTGGGGCCGGAGCCAGGAGGCACTAGGAGGGTAGAGCAGATGGGGAAAAACACAAAGTCCAGAGGACAAACTTTTGCAAGCAAACCCTTTGGGGTCATTTGGGAGCCTGACAACAAGAAGAGGGGGGCTCACAAAGCCAGAAGCTCCGTGAAGGCAGGGATGGGGGGGTCTTCGCCTTCTGTGACTCCCCCAGCAAACATATTGGCTTGCTAGTCTTTTGCGATCTGAGTACAGGAAAAATCATGCCAGCTAGGAGGGGATGGGATGACAGAGGAGTCCAGGGAGAGAGGGAGGGACAGATGGGCCTCCTGAGGCTATCAGCACGCCCCCCTCCTTAAGCCCTACCCCTGCACTCTGCCCTGCTAGGTACACAGAAGGAGATCCATAAATGCTGGTCATGCTGAAATGGCCTCTGGCCATCTTGCCCCTGTGGGGCCCTTATTCCACTGGCTCCCCAGCACGCTGCCTCTTGTGTGCGGACCGGCAGGAGGGAAGCCTGGGAGAGTGGCTGAGACAGCCCAGCACACCATGCATGCATCTTGATGCATGCTACATGAAAGGATCCCCCTTTATCAGGCAGAGAACCCAGTGTCCACAGTGCCCCGCCAAGCTCGCAGGGAGGGACACGCATGAACCGACGCGGCAGAGGTGCGTGTGCCACGTGCTGGATAAAGTGTCCCTCACCCTCCCACAGTCTCCCTCCAGCCTTTGCAGTTTTGAGCCTGATTTTGAACTAACACCGGGACACCGAGATGACGGGGTCATGATAAATCAAGTTGTATGGGGGTGGGAGGAGTTTTTAGCTTTTGTTTTGAAAGGCATAGCAGCACAGTGAAGAAAGCGATTTACAAGGTGGCTCTTTCTCCGGGTAGCACTCTGGGCTGTGTGCTGAGGAAAGCTTAGAAGGGTTTCTAGAGGACTGAGCAACCCAGGCTGCCTTGGCTCACACCCCAGGGTCCTCACTTCTTAATCATTTAGTGTTAGAAATGACATAGCGCACAGGCTCTAGTTTTTTTTCCTCTCTCCCTCTCCCTTTTTTTCTTTGCAGGCTTGGCCTCTTACACTTAGTGATCTGTAAGGAAGGGACCAGTTAAAGGTGCCATCACCCTTCCTCCAGCCTAGACAGGCAACGGAGGTACACAGCCTCATCTGAGACACAAGCTGCTTCCTTAGGACTTCTGCTGCTGGAACCTGTCATGGGAGACTCTGCCACCTGACCTCCGGGGCTGCATGCAGATGGTGCTCACAGATGCCCATACCCCACAGACCAGGGCCCACCTTCACCCAGAGCTGCAGCCTCCAGCACCTAGGGCTGCCAAGTGGAAGCAAAACATACCGATCTAAGTGGTCTTCTCTTTGCATTCACGAATCATGAAGGTGGTGGGTTGGAAACCAGCCCAGTGGGAAGGAAGGACATGGAGAAGTCTTGTCCCCCTTGGGAGGACAAGGAACCATTCTTCTGTCTGTCTGCAGCTTGGTGGAGACTCTCCCCCACCCCCGGCAAGACAGGAAAGGAGGCAGCAGACCCAAGCCCGCTGCTAAGCGCTGGCCGGGAAGCTGTCTCTCAATTCTTTTGGTCATAAGATGGCAGTGGGGAGAGCCCAAGGCCTGGCCTGTGGGGAGGAGGCTCTGAAAGCATGGCCACCTAAATGGCATGTTTCTTATCTCGTTTCCCTGTCACCTCTCCTCAGCCTTATAACTGACCCCCTCCAGATGCACTCCTGACCAATCAGGGCATGCAGGTGGCAGTGTGTTCTGAGGAGACAGAGTGTGGGGTACCAGGGACTTGGCTCCAGTTCTGTCTGTCACTGACCAGCTGCGTGACTTGACGTATACCTCCTAAGCTCTCTGGAACTTTCTTTCCCCATGTATAAAATGGGGCTGTTAACCCCCACCCACAAAGGTCTAAGGGATACTTATGGCCCACAGTGTATGCATACAGCTGGTATCCAGCCAGTGACTGCAGAGAGCTGGCCCAATGGCAAAGGAGGAGTAACTGGTGTTCCTGTTGGACCCCTGACAGGAACCCCCAGACATGAGCGACACCAGTCAATGTTGTGTTTATACTAACACCATCGTCCCCACCATTCAAGCCTCATCCACCCAAAGGAGGCAGGTATTATCTATTACCCCAGTTTATAAATGGAAAACTGGGGCCCCGAGAGGGAAAACCACTTGCCCAGGCCACACAGCTACGAAGTATTAAACTTAGGATTCAAATCGGGGCTGTCCAGATCCTGTACTCTCAGTCAGGGCTGAAACAGCTTTGTGGCATCATTGTCAGCCAGAACAAAAAGAAACAAACTGTCATTCTGGGCTCCCCAGGGACCAGCGCGACCTGCTGGACTGATGTGTCCCGATGCGGTGCTAGTGAGAATGCCCCCAGAACGCCTCCAGTTCTGGGGTTCAGGGAGCACTCCCAACCCAAGGTGCTCACCTCCTGGCTGCTGGCATTTCAATGAAGTGTAGTACTCCATGCCCATCCTCACCGCCACCTCAGGCCCCTGGACACCCCCACCACCTCTGCCTGTTACCTGCTTCACAGTCCCACGGTGGTTGATGGGAGAGGCCTTCCTGGCTCAGGGGTAGAAATCAGAAATGGGGTGCCCAGGGCACACCATGAACTACCCCTTCTGCCAACATGCCCAGAGGCTGAACGGCCATCCCCTGGCCAGGTTCCCCTGGTACAAACCCCGGATGAGAGTCCCATCGATGAAGATAGACCAGGGACCTTTTCTACCAAAAGGGAATGCCTGTGGCTTTCCCCGGTGCATTTTCTGGGGGATTGAATGCTTGTTCTAAGTTAGCTTGTGACTGACCTGCTCACATCCTCCCCTGCACTCCTGCAGACCTGGGGCTCCCGCCTCCTGATTGATAAATGACATACCCTTTGAACAGCTAACATTTCTGAATGAATAGCTAAAATAAGGAAGTAACTACAATAGAATCGACCCCATTTTTCTACCTGGCTCCTTAGAAGATGGCTGAGAATGCCCTCCTGGCTCAGGCTCCCATGCTGTGCACAGACATTTTTTCTAGAATTCTGAGGCCCTGTGGGCTGTTTGCCTTCTACTTTAGGAACATCCTAACGGGTGGCTGCTAAAAAACCCCAAGAGGAATCCTCACAGAATGTTCCATAAAACATACTGCAATGACCACAGGGGCCCCAGGCGTGGGACCAACAAATTGGCGGTGTTGAAACAGTGACTCTACGGCTGCCCACTGCTGGTGACTCAAGGCATGCCTGTTTCCGGGTCCAGGCAGGTGTGGAAGGAGCTGACACCCCACACGGAAGCCCCTTTGCCTCTGTACAAGGCTACTGAGGCCAGATGAGGCTGCGGCCTGCTCTCTGTCCCACCGCCCCATGGCCTGCCCTTGACCCTGGCTGCAGTCCCTCTGTCCACCCCTACTGCATGGGAGAAGCCTGTTGACAGCCAGGGCTCTTCCCACAACCTCTTCCTGCTGTTTGAGAAAGAACATAAACAACACTAGACAAACCAATGCATTTTAAGAAAATGCAGCCTCAGCTGGTTGATACTCATTCGTTCCTAAGGGCAGCTGGGTCTCTGGGCAGGCACTGTTCCCAGGGAATCCAGGACCCATGCTCTGTCCTCCTTCTAAGCTACCTGAGACCTCGGTGGCCCTCCTGTGGCCTCCAAGAGCCCTGGTTGTCTTGGGTATAAAATGGGAATGAGTACTACACTGGCCCGTTTTGGAGGTCTGGAGGGGACCCTTGCTGTGGGTTCTAGTCCAACTCTCAGCCTGAGGTTTCTGGACTCAGGGCTGGGACCCCAAGGGGTCTGAAAATTGCACATAGGAGGGTGGCTTGGTGGCGGTCACCATCATATAGTTTAAATCTTCCCTGTGGGACAGCCCCCAGGATGCCAAGATGCTGGGAGGTGGCCGCAGGCAGGAAGGGCTGGCCTTGCACACTGGTGCCCCCTGCAGGCCGCCCTGCCCACCCAGCAGGTGCTGCCGCCAGCACACACAAGCCAAGCAGGCCCCAGACTCTGTAAATGGGGCCAGGCGGGTGGGAAGGAGCCGGCCAGACCCGCCGGGTGGGGAGAGTTGGGGATGGGTCCTGCTCTGCACTGGTCAACCCGCTAACCAATCAGTCAGCAACAGGCATTTTAGCAGGCACCCTCTGTTTGCCTAGCGCATCTGCTTTGGGATAACAAAGCTGGAAGGAATGTCTGAAATGACTTCTAACCTCTCCATGTTTTATGGGTGAGGAAGCCACCATCAGGGTAGAAGGCCTGGCCTGAGGTCGCCCAGCCAGGGAAAGGCAGGGCTGGGGCTCCCCACCGGATCTCCTGCAGCCCAGAGCACCTCCTCCCACGCCGAGCCTTTAAATCCTCAGCTTCTGGTTCCCTGTTTGGGATAAACAACTGCCAGATTGCAGACAGAGCAGCTCCCATCTTCTCTTCCCACCCGCAGTGGGTTCCAGCCTCTCCCTAGTCCTAGACCTCCTTGCAACCTTCACAGGCTCAAGGCACTTGAGGGGCTGTGCGAGGCAGACAGAGGTGCCACAGGCTCTGCTGGAGAGGGCCTGGTGCCTGGCTGGGGAGACCTGACCCACAGACCACACCCGACCCAGTGCCCTCGTTTCCCCTATGGGGATGCTGAGGCTCAGACGGTGACATTAGTTGAGGGGCTGGCTTCAGACTTTCTGCCTCCTGCTCCACCACTTGAGGGAGGGGAGGAAAAGGGGCTTCTGCAGAGGGGAGTGAGGTGAAAGCAGCAAGTGTTGCTGTGCAGACCCGCCCCATGGCAGCCTCCTGCACAACCCTGCTCTGGCTCCTGCAGAGCTCCTGGGGGTGGCATCATGCTCCCCCTCCCCCACAGCGAGCACTGCACCTCTGTGCCTGGTTGGGCGGTGGGCGCCCATCTCCATATAGCTCTGGAAGCAGCTGGTGCACAAAGAGGGGCTGGTTGGGGCACATGGGGGCATATGGAGGTGGGCATCCCTACCCTCTCCTACAAGGCAGTAACCTCACCAGGGAGGGGTGGCGGGTATCTTCTGGCCTCAGATGCCAGGCCCTTGGTGCCACACCACCTGCCTCAGCAAAACCCCAGGGTTCAGAGGCCCTGGAGCCTGGCCAGGGTCGCAGATTCAGCAGCCCACTCTGCCACCTGCAAAAGACGGCCCAAGGCTGGCAGGAAACTCACGCCTCTTGAGGTAGAAGTTTTAGTTTTGGATGAAAATATGGTCTTGGCCTGAAATGGCAAGAAGCAGGCGCCAGCAAAATGAACGGGCCAGTGTGGTTACAGTGACCTGGGGTCACGGCCCGGCTGGGCAGCCTCAGCCCTGGGCTTGCTGATTGACACCCTCCGCCAGGCTGGCGGTACCTCCTTCCCCAATCCTCCTCTGCAACCCCCAGTCCCTCAAAGGGTCCTGCCACTTACAGATCCTCTTGTTGTCTTCCTTCCACCCAGATCCTGCCTCTTCCTTCATGCTTCCTCCTCCAGGAAGCCTTCCTCAACCTACTCCACTTACAGGGCTTGCCCCTTCCTCTGATGTTCCTAAACTGCCCTCTGGCTGAGCTGGCCCTGCCCCCCTTTATGTGTCAGGCAGAGGCCAGTGCCTGTTTCACTGGGGTTTCACAGTACTGAGCTCAGGGAACCCTGTGGGGCCTCCAGGCCAGTCCCAGGGCCCCTTGGAGAGCTTTCCTTGTGGCTGGATCCTGGGCTGTCTACAGTGCTGCACCCAAACCTCAAGTCCTACTGTGCCGGGGGCCCCTGGACTTGTGGAAGAATCTCTGCGTGGGCATCTCATGGCGCTTTCCCTGCCTGGGACCTCCCCTAAGAACCTTGAATGAATGGAATCATCAAAAGGAAAAGGAAAAACATGCTGCTATGAAATTCACAAGTTTCTCCTGGAGGAGGAGTCTTAAGGGAACACAGGTAAAAGTCAGGCATTTCAGTGGATTTTAACAATGATAATGTCAGTGCAGTAGGCAGGAGGAGGAGATGGGTATTATGACCCCATTTAACAGAAGAGTAAGTGTAGGGCTGCCACGCTTGAGATCCACCCAGAGTCAACCAGTTGCATGGCGCCACAACTAGAGCCAGGGGGAGGTGGCTGGCTCTTGGCCGCTTGAGTTATTTCTTATGCCACAGGTGGTAAGGCATTAAAGGAAGGGTCTATGGCAGGGAAGGCTGATTCCAGGTGACTGTGCTTCGAACCCCACTTTAGAGATATTACTCCCCTTGCCACATTTTTTTTTTTAATACTCAGAATAATGCAATGACGGTTGCCTAATGGGGTCCATGCTAAGTATGGGTCCAATATGTGGCGCTCCAATACGCAGCTGCTCAAGAATGCACTTATTCCGATTATAGCTATTCACCAGCTTTAGCTGGAGTCTGGCTTTCCCCAAATACCTCCTAAGCTACCCCCTTCTTTCGTATGGCCTTTGCTCTACGGAAAACTGGGAGGCAGGGGCATGACATGGTGACGTGCTGGCTCCCAAGCCCTCTCTGCTTAATGGGTCTAGGTGTGAATGACCTGGGTGCATACAGACTTCTCTGGAATACACTTGGTCTCAGGCTCGGCACTGTCAAGGGGGTGCTGGAGGGGGGACGATTTTGAGCATGCCTGTCCTCATACTTCAAAGTGGCCTGAAGCTTCTCTCACTCTGGGACCTGGGATCTGTCCTGGAAGGGCCAGCAGAGGGTTAAGGGAGGGTCGTTCCCTGCAGGTTCCTCCCTGTCCCCCCCAAAGAGGCCGCTGTTTTTCCCTGAAGACTCAGAGCTCTGCACCCTGATACCGAGTGAAGGCCTTTAAACCTGAGCTCTAGGTGGGAGGCAGTGAGGCACTCTGGCGGTGTACAGGGACCCCTTATTCTAGGCTCTGGGTTTCAAGGGCAGAGCCATGCTGAGCCAGCATGACGCAGACTCCCTGTGCCCATGGTTCTGCTTCTGGTCGAGTGTATCCGCCTCTCCTGGACAGAGGGGCCCAGAGAGGGAAGACCTAGAAGTAGGAAAAGCTGGCCTTTGGGCACACCATGGGTTTAAATTGCTCACATGATGCCGATTGGCCTCAGAGTAACCCAGGCACTGATGGCTGCCCCTGCAACAGCGCCTCCCTTCCATGCACTGCGCCGTGCACTCTGTGTGTTCCTGACCTCTTGGTGGCTGTCTGGAGGGGAGCTGGGGAGACCTCTGTCTCCGTAAGGGGGCCTGCTCTTTATCTAGACAAGGTGGAACCTGGCCACCCTGAACACTGTGGGTATAAATACTCTTAGAGCGGAGGGTTGAAGGCCAAGTGTGGCATTCCTGCTGGCTGTTGAAAGAGTTGTCCTGTCATCTCCTCTTCCTGTTCCTCTCCCCCTCTGTCCCCTCAACTCCCTTCTGGTTCATTATAGGCATCAGAAACGCAGCTCAGGCAGGTTGGTATGGGCGAAGGGCAACAAGGAGATAAGCCCACAGCAGCATGGTGAGGGGCACCAGGGCCGGGGGTGGGGCACCCTGTGCGGAGTCTCTATCCATTCTTCCTATCAGCGGCCCACAGGCCAATGTTAGGGGCCCTCTCTGGAATGCAGGCTATGTACCCCTGGGGAAGCCTGCTCACCCAGGGGCTCTGGTTCGAAGATGCCCACTGACTTGTCCCAGAAGCTCTTGGAGCCCACCATGGCACTTACTGAAGGAAGGGGACCAGCGCTAGGGGAGCACAGTTCCCCATGGCAGGCAACCCCAGCTCCTGGCTCTGGCTGGTGGGGGTGGTGGTGGAAATGCCACAGTTCCATGTGCCAGGGGCCAGAGAGCAGGATCCTGAGAGTAGGGCAGGGAAATGAGGCCTGCCATCACAGCTCAGGTCTTTGAGGGGCAGGCTTAAGCCTGGATATGCTCCCTCTCCACAAGAGACCACGTGGCTACCTAGAACCCCTGGTTCTCTGATGTAAAACATCTTTAAGTCCAACATCCTATGACCTATCAACATGTCTTCATGGCCTCTTTCAACCTCTCCAGGCCTCAAGTCTCTCAACTGTAATACGAGGGGGTTGGACTGGATGATCTATAGATCCTTCCTGCAAGTCTACACTGGTCTATGATTTTTAATTGATCCTGGAACTCTACATCTCAAGAACCCACAATGGCTCCCTGAGTCCCACTTTATAAAGTCCAGATCCTTCTGCCTCTTAGTCGGTCCCCCTTATAGACTTCCTCCAGCTCTCAGCTGAATTTCAGTAAGGCAGTGTCCTTATTGTCCCTCAGTTGTGTCATTTCTTTGGCTCTTGGTTCATGATATTTCCCCCATCAAAAACACCCTTCCTGGAAACAGTTTGGCAGATACTCAAAAAGCTAAAGATAAAATTTCCATATGATCCAGCAATTCCACTTCTAGGTATATACCCCAAAGAATCAAAAGCAGGGACTCAAACAGATATTTGTGCATGCATGCTCCTATCAGCATGAATCACAATAGTCAAAAGGTGGAAGAAAATCAAGTGCCCATTGACAGATAAATGGATAAACAAAATGTGGTATAGACATAAAATGGAATATTAGTCAGCCATGAAAAAGAAGGGAATTCTGACACATGAATAAACCTGGAAACCATGATGTGAAGTGAAATAAGCCAGGCACAAAAAGAAAAATATTGTATGATATCCCATGTGTGCTATTTGTAGAGTGGGTGAATTCATGGAGATGGAAGATGGAGGGGAGGCATTGCTGTAGGGGAGTTATTGCTGTAGGGGAGTTATTGCTGTAGGGGAGTTATGGTGGGTACATGGCTTTTGTTTGGGGTGATGAGAGGGTTTGGTGGGGTGCCGGGGGATGGTCATGGGCATTGTCCAACATTGTAGGTATGCGGGGTACTGCTGAACTGTGCACTTAAAACTAGTTCAGATGGTGAATTTTATGGTATATTTTACTGCAATAATAATTTGCCAAAAAGAAAAGAAAAGAAAAACAGTAACAAAGCTGTCCTGCCCTCTTCCTCCTCTGTGGCCACTCCCTCCCGCTAGGTTTAGCTCTCTTCTTGCTATAATACTGGGGCAGGCCTCTGAGCTCCTTAAGCATTTTCAGGAAACACCTTGGCGCCATGCACAGGCTGGTTCCAGAGGAGGACCTCAGATAACGCAACACTATTTTCTTCCTTTTGAAAGAGTGACCCTCTGTGGTCTCCTTCCTGCCCAGGGGCCACTGCTCTCTCTTGGTAGTGGCTGGGAGCCTCCCTGGGGAGCCAGGGACAGGGCGGTGAGCAGTTACATAACCCGCAGGGAGATTTTTTCCATCAGCCCAGGCGGTGCCAGCTTTCCAGCGGCAGCCACGGCAGGTAGAGGCGCCCTGTCTGGGCCGGCCGTGCCCGGGCAGGGCAGAGATGCTGCGATCTGGAGCCGCTTAGCATAGCTCAGATTCCCCGCGGCGGCTGGGGGCCGGCCGCTCACAGAGCTGGGGGGAAGGATCTGCTGTCTCCTGCCTGCCTGGCTCCGGGGAAGGAGGAGGAGGAGGTGCTGGGGGTGAGCTGCCAGCCAGCCAGGGGTGACCCTCTGGGGCCTGGGACACCCGAGCTGGCCTTCTCCGGTAACCCACTTATCTGCAGGGCCTGCTTCGGCGTGGCAGCCTCAGACAGGGCAGTGCCCGGCCAAGTTCTATCAGGGGATTTAGCAGGGAAAATGAACCCTGGGTGGGGGGTGAGGGCATGCAGGGAAGGGGACACGGTCTGGCAAGGGACACGGGTGATGGTGAAATAATTCCTGACCTGGGTAAAGCTCTCCTGGCCCAGAAGCGAGAGGGAGAAAACCCCAGGCCATTCCCTTTTGTGGCTGTGGCCTGTGCTATTCCCATGCCTGCCTATCCATGCTCCTTCCTCCCCAGTGAAGGAAGCTCCTGGAGCCAGCCAGCTGATGCCTGATGAATACCTTGTGGGTACCAGTATGGTGGTGGGACACAAAGATGACCCAGACGCATTCTTTGCCCCAAGACATCCACAGATACAAGTCTCAGATAAGAAAAGCTTAAACAGGGGAGCCCAGAAGACTTCATGAAAGGGACACATGGTAAATGTTCAAGAGTCAGAGGAAGGTGAGGTCCCTGGGCTGGGAGATCAGGGAAGGTTTCCTGGAGGAGGCAGATTTGACTAGGAGGAAGAGTACACCTGTCAATCCTGGGCCCACCGCCCAGGAAGACAATAGTCTAAAAGCACTCATTGCCTGCCCTCATTGTTCCACATTTAATCAGCGTAGGGGGGGGAAATGGAAATGCTGCCCAAGACTGAGGCATGGGGTGGTCTTTGGGAATCTAGGATGGGATAAAGTTAGAAGGGCCTCCCAGTTCATCCCACCAGGGCAGGGCACCCACACTGATGGAGCCATCCGAGTGGTGTGGCTCAGAGCTGGGGTCCGTGCATGCATTACCTCATTTAAGCTCTACCACAACCCAATCATCCCTTGCAGGACGGAAACGTGGGTGCAGAGACATGTTTTAAATGCTCAAGATCAGCATCGAGGCAGCAATCGATGCTACTGCACAGGTTTGCTACTCCTCAGGCCTCAGCGTTGCTGCCTCAGGGCAAGAAATCCTGTCTAGAGAAATGAGATTCGGGGGCACGACCCACACCTGTCTGCTCCAGATGGCCCAGCTGACCTGATTCATGAAGCTGCAGGCTGGTCTTGCTCTCCCCTCCTGAGCCACCCACGCTCCTAACAACACAGGGCAATGGCCACTTTTCACGGGAAAGGAGTGACTTTTGTCCAAGGCTCCCTCAGCCTCTGCACATCTAGAGTCTCTGACAAGGCCTGCAGTAGACTGCCCATGAGACTTGTAAAAGCCCATGCCGTGCACAGAAAGGCACTTTGGGCTTTCTCAGGAGCGGGGCTCTCTGTGATTTTGAAGAACACAGTAGTGGCGCAGTGGCGCAGTGGCACAGTGGCGCAGTGGCAAAGAGGCAGGAAGCTGGGCACTTGGTTTTGCAGGAAGCTCACTGGTCCCTGGGGGCCTGGGGCAGTAGTTGGCACAGCAGCAGCACCCAGGCCCCCCTGATGATATGATGACTGGACACCTGGCATGCTGCTGTTCTGGGCACTTTCCAGGACTGGCTGAGGATCAGTGGTCATTTTCTTTCCTCGCTTATTTTCAGATTCAAAAATCAAAATGCTTGTTTATGATCCGGTCATCGGCTGCTCTGTCTCACTGAGCACTTCAAAGCTCCAGAGAGAACCACAGGCTTAGCACTCCTGGAAGCCACATGTTCCCCCGCCCCACCCAAACTGAACAGTCAGGGCGATCTGGTCTAAGCACTGACATTGAGGTATCCCACCTGGGTCCTTGAATGCAATGCTTAAGATTTGCACAAACAGATTGAAAGACCACAGTGGAGGGCAAATGAACAGAGACATACAGGACCTGCCACAGTGCATGGTATATAGCAGGTGCTCAATAAGCGTTGAGAAGAAATAAAGATTGGAGAAAAGCAGGTCATATTTACTCATCCCAAAGCAAGTGCAGACAACAAGATTGGCAACGAGGCACACGGCTCCTATCCACTGTGGCTCTGGCCGCAGGGGCAAAGAACATGGATAGGAGTCAGGCATTGGCTCTTCCTGTTGGGGGAGCCCAGGGCTGCCACAGAATCCTGGGCAGGGGTCAAGCTCCTGTGACTGCTGGCCTCCTGTGATGCCAGGCCAGCCTGACGAGGCCTGTTGGTGCCCACCTTCAGGGAAATGTGTGTGCCAACTCTGCATGTCCCTTGCAGGGCACGGGCTTCAGCATGGGGACAGATGGCCCACAGGGGGCAGGGCGGGAGCTCAGATGCCAGCCATTTTTAGAAAAACAGCCCTTTTCTGGGCTTTTGCAAGCTTCCGTGCAGCCTGCCCACGGGGAAAGCGGCTTGCACTGCCTCTGGCCCTTTGCTTCAGCCTTTCTGATTTCTAGCAACTAGTGGAGGGGAGCTCGATGTGGGTATGGCCAGGGCTTTTGCTCAAGCTTTGGAATGCACAGAACAATGTGCTTCTATCCCTGGGTGTGCCTGGCTTGGGCCAACATTAAAATTAGTTTACATGCCTGGAGTGCACATCGGCTCAGCGGTGGGTGTGCAGAAATGAGGGAGGGGGTCTGAGAAGAGGGAGAGGATGCAAGGAGGAGATGGGAACTGGGGCCAGCAGCCTGTGTGGTTTCACAGGGACTAGGGCGAATGGAGAGTGCAGGGGTTTCTTCAGGTACCCTTGACCTCCAGAGGCCCAGAAAGCTCAGAGACTCAGCGACCCCTGGAAACACAGTGGGATTATTCCACAGGGTGGATTTTGAAATCCCAATTGATGACTTCCTGAGATGGATTCTTTTTTGTTTTTTAGAGTCTCACTCTGTCGCTCACACTGGAGCGCAACAGCAGGGACCTAGCTCTCTGCAGCCTTGACTCCTGGCCTGAATGGATCCTCCTGCCTCAGCCTCTGGAGTAGCTGGGGCTTCAGTAGCAATGCTGCCACACCTGCCTATTTTTTTTTTCAAAGATGGGGTCTTTTTATGTTGCCCAGGCTGGTCTCAAACTCCTGGCCTCAAGCAATCCTCCTGCCTTGGCCTTGCAAAGTGCTGGGATTACAGGCATGAGCCATTGCTCCCAACCATGATATGGATTCTTGATTTTCCCAAGTTTTTGAGCCTTACACCCTATTTAGGATGTGGCATGGCATCCAGAAGCTCCAGCTAGCCTCGTGATGCTGGGTCAATCTTGCAGCCTCACTGAGCCACTTTCCCCATGTATAAGCCTGGGGAGGGATCCCTGCCCTGGAACCTACCTCCGATTCACACACAGGAAAGTGCTCAGAAGAGTTTCAAAGCCCCTCATGCCCCAGAGAGCATTGGTACCCATGACTGATGGCTCCATGCCTCCCTTCCACAGCCATTTCCTGAGCATCTACTATGAACCATGAAGCCAGGAGCTGGGGACAGCCGATAACTCAGCCAGGATTCTGGCCATCTAGGAGTTTAAAACTTAGACTCCAGGAATCGATATCAGTCTCCCTCCTCCCTTCCTATGTAAAAGATAAGAGTTAGGAACTTCAAACTTCTGACAAAGGGGAATGACTTGATTTTCCAGAGACCTTGAGAGAATCACAAGAGAACGAGGTTTTCCCCTTAGGAAGAGAGTTAGAGGAATGGCCCAGTTTTCTTCCCAAGCCTGAAAACATGGGACAAGGAGAAGGGCAGGAGGATGGGAGAAACGGGTAGAAGTGGGGGCAACACACACATCCAGGATGAGGTATGGGTAAGATACATCTTCAGGCTTGTCTCACACTTGAGAGATTCACTGATAAGGAAAGCCAAGCCAGAAAATCTTGAGTGCCCCTTCTGTGCTAAAGTCATTCCCAGAGATCCCACAGAGTCACCACTCAACTGAGCGTCTATGTATGAAAAGCCCAAAACACAATGCTTGATGATGACCCAGCCAGAAACTCTGAAGAGTTTCTCCGCTCTTTAGCTCAAGGTCAGCTTTTTAACAGGCTGTCTTCTAGAAGGTGCTAGAGAAGAGCAATTTATTTTGAAATCTGGTCACACACCAGATTCTGATTTTGTGTTGTCTTTTCACAACAGGCCTGCTGTGTTTATGACTTGGTTGAGACAAACTTTTTTTTTTCAAAAAAAGGTATCGCATCCTTCTGTTAGATGTGTTGTTGGCAACGGTTGCTAGGGAGAGCTGGGTTCAGTTACAGACACACTGATGCCGGCTCTAATAATACTTTGCTCTGCATAGCTCGGATGCAGACACCTCTTGGCTAAACAGAGCACACACATTTCAACAGAGGAGGGCTTGAACTTGTACTACCCAAGCCTGTCTCAGCAAAGGAGCATTCCCAGAGCCCACGTGGACGTCCCGGGGCAGTGACAGGGCAGTGCTGGGTGGAGAGGGCTCAGGCTTCCATTCCTGTCATTCCAAAGGTCCCATAAAAAGAGGCACACTCGTTCTTCACTTCTCTGTGAAACTGGAGCCCCTTCACCGCCCTGTATCACACCACAATTCCCTGATGAGGATCCAAGGAAACTTTTGGTTCCTTCTCTAACCCAGGCACCCTGGGCACCCCACATTCTCCTGGAAGTCGGAAACAATCAATGCACATCATCTAGTTAGTCAGTCTAGTCTGCAGTCAGGACCCTGCAAAGCCAGAGAAGTTGGGAACCTTGGTGGGAAGGTGTATGGGGAGACAGGCTGAACTGCGAAGTGTGGCCCAGCCTCTGGTACAGCCTGGCACCGTGGGTGAGAATGAGGCCCTTTTCCTAAAACATGTGATAGCTGTTCCGACACACATCCCAGGCCAAGGAAAAGGAAAATGGGAAAAGGAGCTGAGGACAGAGAGAAATGGAGGCAGCGGGAGAGAAGAGGTGGCTTTCATCTCATCAAGGAGGAGGTTCAGGGTGATGACAAGAAGAGCCTGAGGCTGGGGGAGTGGAAGGCATGTTCTCAGCAGCTGAGGCCTCCTGTGTAATGGGGTTCTCCTGCCAGCTCAGACTCGGAGTTTTCCCCCATGGCTCAGCAGAGAGCCCAACACCTGGCAGGTATTTCTTGACTGGTTCGCGGCATGACAGGCAGAGCCAGCTGATTCATAAGTGGCCGCGATGAACCAGTTCGGTGTCTCTGGGGTGTCTCCTCAACAGTGGTGTTCCACCCTGGCTAACGAATGCCCAGGTTGCGTCCTTGGAGAATCTAATTCAACTGATTAGGGGTAGGCCCCCTGCCTGCTGTGTTCTCATGATTCTCATGCATAGCGAGGCTGAGAACCACTGACCTAAAGAAGAGCCAGTATCTGAAATGCAATATTCCCAGGCCAGACCTCCACTCTGACCATCACACTGATGACAGACTGTGCCTTAGTTTGCCCATCTATGAAACAGAGCCACCACCTACAAACCATCAGTCATTCAATGCCTTGTGACTTCCCACTGTGGTCCCTGGACTAGAGCACTAGCATCTACCAGGAGCATGTTTGAAACGCAGAATCTCAAGCCCATCCCAGGCCTCTTGCATCAGAATCTGCATTTAAACAAAATCCCACGTGATTCATATGCACATTCCGGTTTGAGAACCCCTGACCTAATAAAGACAACATGCTTGGCACATTAAGAAATGTCTGTTTTGTTGTGGGGTGGGGGGAGGGGGGAGGGATAGCATTAGGAGATATACCTAATGTTAAATGACGAGTTAATGGGTGCAGCACACCAACATGGCACATGTATACATATGTAACTAACCTGCATGTTGTGCACATGTACCCTAAAACTTAAAGTATATAAAAAAAAGAAAAAATGATTAAAAAATAAAATAAAATAAAAAGTAAAAAAAAAAAGAAATGTCTGTTTAATAAATAGAATTTTACTTACAAGGACACTACTAATAAAAGGGCCACATTTCAGGTAAAAAGGAATTGGCTTGGATGTAAAAACTGAAGACCATTTTGGAGCTGTGGGATTGGTGACGGGGTCCTCTGAGACCCCAAGGTCTCCAGCACTGTCATGGCTCATGAGAATGGTGCTTCTGGGTTCCTTGAGATAGCAGTGTTGAGTCTGGCTGGGAAGGGTTAAAGGACCTTAAACCTTCTCCCTTCTCCCACCCTGCACTTCCCACTCCATGGGGGCTGCACCCCAGCTTGGCAAGAGCCCTCAGACCTCTGCTGCAGAATGTTTACCACATCTGCGGTTGCCCCTCTCCCTCCATGCTGCCGGCTCCCATCACTGAAGCCCTGGCAGCAAGAGAAGTCAGCCAGGGAGAACCAAGTGTAAAGACCACTGCTGGGAGCTGTGCTAAGGAGGCACTTCACACCCTGGCCCCTTTGTAGCCTGCATTGCTAAGCCGGGGCCCAGAACTTGTGTGTGGAAGTGGTAGCTGAACCTGATCCTATGGGGGCATCTCGGAGGCTGCCAAACCCAACCAGGTGCTGGTTGGGGACCGAGAGCCAGATGGGCCTTGAGTGGATGGAGCTGAGTGCAAACCTCAGGGAGGAAGCAGGGGGCAGGGCTGTGCAGGCCGGGTCTAGAACTGCCTGCCAGGAAGGGATGCAAACATAGTTTGCCAGAAAATGAAGTCAGGTGAAAAAAGACATCCCTGGAGGTGTTAAGAGGGAAAGCAGGTTTTGCTGAGCCCAGCCCATCGCTTTCTTTTCTTGCACCTCTCGGGTTTGGGTGGTGAGGGGCCATGAATTATGCTGTCCAGAAAAGCCCACTCCACCTCTGTCTCCTTGGCTGCAGAGAGAAGGCACAGGGCCTGAGGAGGCTCAGCCAGATGTGGTTCAGGTGTCCTCTGGGCCTTGGAGTCAGGGGGCCATTGTGGGATCAGGGCAGCCCCGCACCAGCACAGTCCACCCGCCTTCCCATGGCAGCTGAAAGGGCCTTGTCTAGCCACCCAGGAGGTCTGAGAACGCAGATCAAGCCTCTGGTTATACTCTCAAGGGGCTCCCTCCTCGGCTCACATGAAAGCTGGGACTGCAGGTGGTAAACAGGGGTGAGTGGTGGCCTATGTGGACATTTAGATTTCTAAAGACCTGACCCGCAGATACTCCACCCAGGCAAATGGCTGGCTTCCTCCACTGTGGGGGAGGAGAGGAGGAGCTGCTCTGAAACCTCAGAATGTGAGCCATGACTGCCTTGGGTGGGGGGTTCCCTTCTTGCCCTGGACTTCAGCTGTCCCTGCAGGCCCCTAGCCCGGGAGAAGGGAGGCTTCCAGCGCCTTCCTTTTCAGACATCCATTTCTCCTTGACGACCGAGGGCCCTCCAGCACCAGGCACTATGCAGCCCCTGGGATACAGAGGTGCAGAAAGTAGAGGGGTTCCCACCTCCCAGAGCCCAAGATGGGGGGCAGTAACGGCACGCACCCCAGTTTGTCACTGTGGATTCATGTGGCCATTGGTTTAAGTTCAACTCCTTCACTGCAAACCTTTTAAGGACAAAGCTGTGCCCAGTGACTGACTGCTGTATCCTCAGTCCCCAGGCTGGTGCCTGGCACACTAGAAATACTCAGTGAATACTAGGAGGGTGACTGAACATTGTGGCTGCAGGATGAGAGGTGCTGGGACAGGAGAAGGGCCAGTGTTTCCTGGAAAGTGGGGCCCTAGCACCACCTGAAGTAGGAGTGTGAGATGCTTCAGGGGGAGGTGCATGCTCAGAGTGGGACAGAGAAGTGAATTCTGGGGGAGAGTTCGTCCATGCAGGGTGTACTGGGAGGTTCAGCCTGGCTGATGGGGGGTGGGGAGCAGGATGTGGAGTGCCAGTTCTCTGCTCCAGAGACAAGGTGGCACCTGCAGAACTAGGTCTCTTGGGCTGGTCCCAAAGCCTGCATCACTCATGACAGACCTACTATGGAGCCACTATATGGGGTGAGTGGGTTTGTGAGGACTCAGGGGGACCCAGGACAGTTTCCTACTAGTGGCAAGGCCTCAGGAGCATGAGAAAGGGAAAGGCTCACACGGGGTCCCTCGTGCCCCTGCCCGAGACCCCGGCTCATCTCCAGTAGTGCAAAATCGAGGGTACACTGATGAAGGCTGTTGCTTGCACTTTCCCAGGGAACTATAGAGGCCAAGCTCCAACGGATGACAAACGAATCAGGTCTGGAATCCTTGCTTCCCAGCTTTCAATTTTGTGTTTTCTTCCCTGCTGTAGTGTTTGCCAAACTGTCTCTCAGCACACTAATCCCACAAGTAGTTCTTAACTGGGGAATGCAGAGGACTTTGTTGAGTTAAACGGAGCCAAACAGGTTCCCTTCCTGCTGGGACATCTGGAGCCTGTCCTAAACCAGTGCACGTTGTGGTTGATTGAGAGGTGAGTGCAGGGGCCATAGGGCCCCCTTTGTGGCTGACTGTTCCCCAGGATTGATGGTCCGCTGGACACTTGTGGGTGAGGCCACCCTTACCACGGCAGGTTGGAAGAAATACCCGATCTGAGATGGCCCCTGCAGCCAGCTGCCCTCCCCAAGTGCCCCATGCCCTGGGTGCCTGTCTGCCACCGGGTCTGGCTGGGTTACTTGGAGCTGGCAACCACTGTCTAGAACTCTTGCCCCATCCTGGCCCTTTTTTGAAAAACAAAACCCAAAGCCGAGACCATAGGCTGATGCTGTCCCTGACTCCCCTGTGCCGGGTGCTCTCTGGCAGACAGGCTTCTCTGCCCGCCACTCTCCACACGCTCCCAGGACATTCCGGCCCGCGAGGAACATGCCCCATGTGCAAATCCCTCAGGTAATGCGGGAATTCGTCACCAGGGGAGTGCGGGCGATCCAGGAATGGGAACCTGATCAGGGCCTGGAGCAGGAGAGAAGCAGCCCAGGCTGGCCAGGGAGGGCTCATGTTGCAGTGAGTGCAACTCACATGCAGAGGAGAGGGTGGGTGGGGATGGAGCCCTGCCGGCTGCATGTAGAGGTGGCCTTAGCGGCAACTTCCTCCCAGCTTTTAGGGAAGACGGCAGACTGCGAACCACATGGTTAAGGTGAGGGTGGCCATATGCCCTTGTTTACACCTGTTGTCTAGGCATAATTATGAACTGAACCCCCTTTGACTTTCACAAGTGTTGCAGTTTGGATGATCTATTGTATGGTCACCCTAGTTAAGATGGCCCTATAGCCTGCCATTCTACTTCATTACTTGGAAACTACCATTTTATCTCATCTGGACCAGAAACTCACTTTGTATCTTAACTAGTCTCTAAAATACAAAATAGGAGGAAAGGAGACATGGCTCTCCCCCAGCCAAGAGTCTCCAAGGACAGTCCCAGGACCTGATGTGGCCACCATCCCATGACCCTGCTATCTCTCCCTGACGTCACCAGTTTTGGGGCCACCAGCTCATCTGCTACTGCCCATACAGGCAAGCAGGTACTTGTGAGATGAAACATTGCTAAGCTCCGTCCAAGTGCACGCGCCTACTCCCACGACACACTCATGCTGATAGAACCACTGGACGTGGGCCTTCATGGAGGAAGCAATGATCAGGGGTGGGGTTACACTGTCAGAGGTGAAGGGATATTAAGAGGGAAAGAGCAAGGATGAAGACAGTCTTGCATCACCGTGACTTCCCTCTGCCCAGGAGCCATAGTGTGTTGGTAAACAGACTATCCCTTTTCTGCTCATGTGTGGCTTTACTCAAACCCATCTCACTACCAGTGATGATCAACTGCATATCTGCAAAGGTCTAAGGACCTAGCCCTGGGTGGAAGGAGGAGGAAAAGAGAAGTCCACAGCAAGTTCATGTCTGCTTGGATGTAGAGAGGTCAAAGCACATAGCCAGGTTGAGACCAAGAGCCAGCCTCTTATGAAAATAGAAAGTGGGAAAGGCTGGTTAAACATAAAGCACCTATAAAATTATATTGGTCCATTGTAACCAGGGAGCCCACACATAAACACACACAAATCCAGCCGCTCATTCCTGGCCCCTTAACTGCCTTTGTGTTTTCTATAATTAATCGGGCAAGGGCGGAACTTGGGAAAAGTCCAACTGTGGCCAGAACTCGCAGCCTTCTCGCTAGGAATAACTCACCGAACGCAGAGGGGCAGGGGGCGCGGGGCGGTGGTGGCCGGCGTCCAGTTACCTGCAGCATGTTGAGGAGCAGGCTCCGGAACTTGGTCCCCTCCACCATAAAGAGCGCCATCTTGTCGCAGAGCTTGGCAGCGGTGAAGGCGAAGCTGCGGTCGGACACAGCCTTCTGGTAGATTGTGCGCACGATCTCGCCCAGCATCTCCTCGGAGTTGGTGGAGTTCTGGGCCTCCTCCATGAAGGTGGTGAGCTTGGTGTCCACGTCGCTGCTGTTGTTCCGCATGCTGTTCAGGATCTCGATCAGCTTGTCCATCTTGTTCTGCTGGGGAGTGGTCGTCTCCACGGCCACTTCATCCTGGGGGTGTCGGAGACAAATGAATGTGCCTGAGTGAAGCCGAGGTCTCTGTGCAGGGGTGGCCTGGTGGAAAGAGGGTGGCCACCCCCAGAAAGCAGGACCAGGCCTACTTCCCTGGATCTGAGGGCTGGTCCCTCTGGGAACCTCCACCAAAGACCCCTCATGCGCCAAAAGCTCCTTGTTGCCTTTTTTCTTGGCCCCTATGACATCCAGGGCTGATACTGTTTTTGGGTTCTAGCTCCTACCCAGGATTCTCATATACATTGGCTTTTTTTGTTTATTTGTCCATCAAATATCTTAATCTAGAAAAGATTTAATGGAAATTATGAAAGAGGAAATAAGATAACAAATATGAAATCGGGCCAAAGAGAAAATGAGGGTAGGAAGACTTGGTCAGGAAGGCAGGTCAGATCCAAAATGCCTGCAGTGGTGGTTAAAAGCGGCCCAGGCAGTGGCCACCTTGTCCCCTACACCCTCAGCTCCAAATGCCCAATGATGACTTGTTCTCTGGGCATAGGGCCCCCTGTGGGCACAGCCCTGGCTTTTTGTCCTGTGGAGACTGTGCTGGTCTTCTGTAGACATATGCCACACACCAAGGAATCCTCCCATGTGCCACTAAAACAGTTGGGCTTCTAGGAGGGATATTACAAGTAAAAAGCCCTACAGCCTTATGAGATTTCACTGCAACTAGGACCAGACCAGGGGCTTGAAGAAGAAAAAAATGTCATCTTATTGTATTGACTCATTCTTGGTGGCCAAGAATGGGAACAACTTAACTGCAAGGAAGTGAGATCTGGCTGGAAGGGCAGGGTCAGGGTCATGAAATGAGATCCAAGCTTGGTCTTCTGTCCCTGACAATAGAAGCTCTGGCCTAGAAGGCACAGACCAAGGCTCTAGATCCCACTCTCTGCCTCTAGCTGTGTGGCTTTGGGTAAGTGATTTCACTCTCTGGGCCTCAGTTTCCTCATAGGTAACACAGTGAGGTTAGACGAGAAAATCTATAGCTTTCCTTGAGCCCTTCCATGGTGGGATCAAGTTCCAAGGGCAGCTAGTCTCTGGCTTGAGAACCAAACACTCAGGAGGCTGAGGCAGGAGAATGGCATGAACCCGGGAGGCGGAGCTTGCAGTGAGCCGAGATTGGGCCACTGCACTCCAGCCTGGGTGACAGAGCGAGACTCCATCTCAAAAAAAAAAAAAAAAAAAAGAAAGGGCTGAATCCTGGGTGAAGGAATAGGGTGGCCTAGTTCTTCTCCTCAAACCCAACCACCTCTTCAGGGAAGGCTACTCTGAGTCCCTGGGTAAAGTTAACAGGACACAAATCCCCACCCCAAGAGACATCTCACGCTTTACCTGTCTCTTGAAAGAGAGAAGGAAAGTGTTGCTCTCCCTGATGAAAATGTTTAGGATGTGGCTGGTTGGCCACCTAGGATTTACCCTTTTTTAGAGTGAGCAACTAGCAGAGTGGGGAGTGACCCAGCCTGAGCCTGAGCCCATGTCTTCTTGGTCCAGGAGTTCAGGAGGCCTCACCTGAGTGGAGTCCTTGAAACTGATCTATAGGTGCTATAGATCTACCTTCTCTGTTCCATTCCCCCATGTACCCCTCTCTTCCGACCATCTGGGCCCCAGGGCAGGAACAGTGGTCTGCATATAGAATAGGAATACCCACAAGAACATATCTGTACACGTTATTTCATTTAACCTTCACAGTCTCTCAGCAAGGTGTGTAGTATTAACACCCATTTTACAGATGAGTAACTGGGGCTCAGGGAGATTAGGTGACTTGCCCAAGACCACCCATCCAGTCAAAGGCAAAGTGAGGTCTGAGCCTGCTCAGCTGCGCTCTAAAGCCCGTGCTGTTTCCACTCTGCTGCCCTGCAGTTACATTTAGCAGAACTCTAGAGGACTCGGTGGAGAGGATACTGGGAGCAGCATCTCATCTTCAAGAGTGGATCCAAGAAGAGGTCTGACCTGCCTTATCCTGCCTGAGTGTGGACCCTGGGCCTGGCCTCTGGGGCAAGAGCTTGAGGAGAGTCGGCAGTAGGGGAGGATGGAGGAGAAGCCCAGAACATGGAGCTCTGCGGAAGCCCCAGGAGGAAGCCTCTGTAGGCCCTGCTGCTGTGTGGGAATGGCTGTGGGCAAGTTGGCCTTTCTTGGGACAGTTCCTCTCCAGGGTGACCTTTCCTGTGCCCCTGCTGGGCAGTGGGGTCGGGGGTGGTGGCACTGGGGTGAGCACAATGGACTTACTGCTGCAAGTACAAATCCCCATCCCTCTTCTGGAGGTTTAGGGTCATCTCCTGAAGCTACAGGCCAGGCCAGGACCAGGGTGCAGAAAGAGCCTCCTGGGAGCAAAAGTAAGGAGGCCTCACTCTCGGGTTCATGCTGGCACAGGTAGGCACCTGCGTGATGCTGAGAATGGAGCCACCTTACGGTGTGCACTGTAGAGCACTCCCTGGCCTCTGGGTGATGAAGGCGGGAAACAGGAAGGCTGGAATCAGCCTGCCCCCACTCTGAACAACTCACCTCTGCTCCCCATTCTGGCAGAGACCACTGCCTGGATGGTACTCACCTGTAGAAAAGCTTCAGTTCTTATTTCATAAGCTCCATGTTTCCCCAAGTGCTCTTCAGCACAAACAATATCTAACCCTAGAATATGCTCCCTGCACCTCCCCCATCACTCCCAGGCATGCATCTCTTCCCCCTACTCCCTTGGGCTGGGGGCTGGTTCCAAGTGCCCACCCTGGGCCTCTTGGAGTTTGGAAGGTGAAAAGCCCAAGTGTGCTGGAGGGGTTCATGATGGCCCTACCTGCTGGCAGTGGTGGACCAGTGTGGTTGGTCCCCACAGTGACCGAAGCCCCTGCTTCCCTGTACATGGCTCCCTAGACCCTCAAACCCACAAGGCTCTGCACTGTGCCCACCTACCAAAGTGCCTACCTCTTGCTGTCCTCCCTGGTGCAAGAGAAGAACAAAAATTCAATTACCGGTACCTTTTCCTTTAGCCTTCGCCGCAGTCTGTCTTTGGAAGACTGGAGCAGGGTAATTTTGGGCCGCTCCCCGATGCGCTCGGGAAGAATACTGTCTTTACGTTTTGTCTCAACCTCTGGCCCCCCTGACTGCTGTGGGGGCAGCCGCTCAGAAGCCACCGGGGCCAGGGTGTCAGGGCTGCGGGGGGCCTCAAGGCTGCTGTGCCCGGTGTCCCCTGCAGTGTCCTCCAGTTTTGGGTTCTCGATGGTCATGGTCTCTTTGGCATTGCGGTGTGCGCCTGCCTCCCCCTTGTCGCCTGGTGGGTGCTTCATGTTGCCATGGTGCCAGCGCCGGTTCTGGCTGTAGCCATGGTGAGTGGGCCTCCCTGAGGGGTGGGGTGCTGAGCCCCCCTGGTAGGATTTCTGGTGGTCCCTGTTGTGTTTGGCACTGCCTGGCTGGTGGTCACCATGCTGTTGGGGCTTGTTGCCCCCCGGAGGTCTCTGCTGCCGCCTGCAAACGGAAGAGGAAAGACAGAGAAGGCGATCACTGGGCGGGCTGGTCAGAGTCCCTGTGCCCAGCCGCCAGAACAGGAAGTCATTGCCTTGTCCATATATTCATTCTTCCAACAAACACTTCCTGAGCACCTTCTACGTGCCAGAGTCTGTGACAGCCCCTGGGGATACAGCCGAGAACAGGCAGACCGGTCCTTGCTACTGCAGAGGACCAAAGCCAATTCTTTCCTTAAAATCAGTACTTTATTCGCTTACTAGAATATGTGTGAATGCAAGCATGTGGAACAAAATTAAAAAGATCCAGTAGCAGATAACAGTGAACCCTCCTGCCTCTGACTCTGTCATCACATATGGCCTTTGGAAGCAGCCGTTCCACGTGTGTGAATCTTCCAGACATATTCTATGCATGTACCAGCAAAGATGCATACGCAGACCTGCTTCTTACAAGCACCTTCCTATGAATGACTGTTCACCATAATGTTTTTTGAAAAGTTATATCCCTTTCAAACAACTTTTTTTTTTTTGGAACATTGTCATTTTCACCCCCAAACCCACAAACTACATATGCTATAACAAGTTTTCATGGGCTAAATTGTGTCCCCCATCCACCCCGCAAAACTTCATATGTTGAAGCCTTAACCCCCAATACTTCAGAATGTGACTGTATTTGGAGATAAGACATGATGGATCACCTTTAAAGAGGTGATTAAATTAAACGAGGCTGTTAGGATGGGCCCTAATCTGAACTGACTAATGGCCTTATAACAAGAGGAACCTTTGACACACAGAGACACCAGGGAGGCTGCATGCCCAGAAGAAAGACCACATGGAGACACAGCAAGAAGGTGACCATCTGCAAACCAAGGAGACAGGCCTCAGAAGAAACCAACCCCACCGACACCTTCATCTTGGACTTCCAGCCTCCAGAAGTGTCAGAAAATAAAATGCCTCTTGTTTATGCAGCCCAGTCAGTGGTACTCTGTTACAGCAACCTAGCAAACAGATACAGAAGGAATATTTAACATGATGGGTGTAGGTCAAGACAGGCTCATCTGACAACACTTTCTAAGCACAGGGAACAGGTGTGAGTTGTGCAGCAGGAACAAACCCCAAACTTTTGAGTTGTGGCCAAAAGGCAAGTGAAGGGGTGGTGAGGGACATTCTCATGACCCTTCTGGCTGGCTCAAAGGCTGCTTCCTGCCACTGAAAGCACTACTATGTTCAAACTCCATTTTACCCTCAGGGTGTTTTCCATGCCACAACTTTACTGGAAGTGCAGTTGGAGCACAAGATAAGCATGAATTCTGCAAAGGTTGTAAAATAGTGGAAAGATTTTGCAGAAAGATAATGTTAGCTTCTAAAGAATAAGCGCTGCACCTCCTCCGTGACCTATCTTGGGTACCACAGACCTTCATTGCATTGCATGTTATGAACAAATTGTATTTATTTACTTACAACTTATTGCTTATTACTTATATAAATTCAATTTTAATATTTACTTGATACATTTTTATCTGTGAAAAATTGAGGGTATCCTGGGTTGGGGTTAAATGCATTATTTTTTTCCACTAAAATGAATAAAATTTTTTTTTTCACTGAAAAGCCTCCATTGAAAAGCTTAGTAGCTCATTATCCCCAATGGGGATGACAGTCCCTTTGACACCACCCTGTTGGGGTGCTGGGTACCTTGTCACTGTCTAGGCCCCTCATTGGGCCTCCGCTGGAGTGGTGGGTGGGGGTGTGGCTACAGTTCCTGCAGAGGTGTTTGGCTGGAGGAAAGTAGCTACTGTCTCGAGTTTTCTGTCTTGCTAGGCTGCCCCTTCCCTGGTCCTCTGGCTAGAAAGAGTGGACTTTTGTTGGGGCTCCGTTTGTCTGCTCAGGCCTCATGGTGTTTCTGGGTCTCCAGTTTCTTTAGCTCCAAGTCTGGGATATCTGAGCCAAGAGGAAAACCCCAGGAACTCACCAGTGTGTCATTCTTCAGTTCCCAAGGTCCCTGGCCTGTCTGTCTTCTTTCTACCTTTCAGAGTCTTCTTAGGTTTCTTTTTATATACAGTGTCCAAGGTTTGGGGTTGTCTATATTTATTTCAATAATTTAAGAGTCATTATTAAAATATCTGTAAAAATCTGGTACCCTGAACTGAATCCTGCTGACTAGGCATACCCTGGGCCCTTCTCAGGAGGCCTGTGTGGCATTTTTCATCCTTGGTGTCCAAGTTCAATCTTGTTGGTTTCTGATATACATTCCTGGGCAAAAGCACTGTTGCCTTGACACTTGGGTGGGAGAGGCAGCCCCTCCATTCCCAAACACACCCCCCTCCTCACTGGCATTGCTGAAATATTCAGTTTCACTCCCCATGGCAGGTAGGAGCTATCAGCAC
The DNA here is from genome assembly GCF_000001405.40 of Homo sapiens. Classification (NCBI taxonomy): domain Eukaryota; kingdom Metazoa; phylum Chordata; class Mammalia; order Primates; family Hominidae; genus Homo; species Homo sapiens. The sequence continues at coordinate 48,755,538 of NC_000018.10, read as the reverse complement.
CAGCACCTGGAGAAGAGTTGGGCCCCATGAGAAAAGTGGGGCCCTTGAGTCAGGTTCCTCCCAGTGATTCTACCACCAACTGGCCTTCCGACTACCCAGCCCAGCCCAGCCCCAAATGCCTGAGTCAGCGGGGAGGGCTGCAGCCCTCATTCTGCAGAGTGTAAGGCAACCCCCATTGGAAAGCCCAGAAGAAACTGTGGCCCACAGACCACTCTCCAGGGTGCCTCGTGCCTGTGACTTTTTGTGAATTCTCCCTCCTTTAACTTCTCAGTTACTTTCAACTAATTGCTCCTTCCATTCTCTTTGTTCTTTCAATGTGAGTTATTTTTAAGCCCAGAGAGGAACCTTGGAAATTCCCTGGCAGATAATAATTGATTCTCACAACTTTCGTCATCCTTATTTAGAATTTTTGTGGCGCCTGCAGCTATGGCCCAAGAAATGTCCCCAAAGGATGGTTGACCAAGCCCTTCCCAACATCCGTCTTGAAACTGCCTGGTTTCCCACTTGCCATACAGGGATTTCCCTCTCTCTACCCAGTGCACTCCTCCACCCCCAGAAAAGAAAACAACTTCTATCTACCTGGAGGGGGAAGGAAGTAATTGCTATATGGCTAGTGGTCAGGGGCTCCAGAAAGAAATCAGCTGGCTCCTGCAGGGCTTCTGCTGTTCATTCCTGGAAATCTGGAGGGACCTGGAATTCCATGTCTTTCTGGTTCGAAAGAGCTTGGAGCCAGCCAGCCCTGACAATATAGCAATGGCCAAGAATGCCCCAGGCCACTTGGCATTAGTGGGCGTTCTCAGGCTCACCCTTGCTGGGCGGCGGCTCCTTTGCACATGTGGAAAGCCATCCGTAGGTGGGAGGGAAGCCAGGGAGTCCACCTCAAGTGTTCCCTCCTAATTGGGTAGGAAAGACTAACAGGTTCAAAATAAGGAGGTCTTGATATGGAGCTAAATGGCAGATGGAATCAGCTGGGTGAGCCCTGGGAGGGCAGGGAAGAACCCAGATGCCACTGGAGGAAGAGGCACTAAGACTGTCCCTCTGTCCTCCCTTTTCCTTCTTCCTGCACAAGGCCTTGCTTAGTTCTCAGGGTGAGTGATTGCTGGGACTGGCCTCTGTGTGCAGGCAGGCCAAGAACCTTTCTTTCCATTCGACAGATAAGACAACCGAGGCTCCGTGAGGTGCACTCCTACAGCAGAGGGCCTGCCAGGGGCTCCAGGAGTGAGCTAAGCCTGTCAACTAATCACAGCACCTTGCAGCCACCTCCCATCTGTCTCCCATTCGCCTTTAGACACAGCCTCCTTGGCTGATGAACACTCAGGGACAAGGACCGCAGTGACCTGTAGTAATGGAGACAAAGGGCTGAATGGCCACTGAGACCTCGGTGGTGATAACTGCATGAGGTCCAAATTCTTTGCCTGAGAAGGAGCCAAGAGGGCTGCTAAGGGCACTGGAACAGACTTGGAGTTAGGCCTCGTTCCCCAGCAATGGAGACCTAGGCTTCCCTGCTCTGGCCATTCACAAATATTTGTCAGCGGTCGTTGGCTGGGCCAGCCAAAACCAGCTCCTCTCTCTTCTGTATTTGCTGGCGCTGGGTTTCGTCGATACCTTCATTCAGGGGCCAGCTGGCTGCTCCCCACGAAACCTGCGGGTTTGGGGTTTGGCTGGGCCAGGGATGAGCCGCTTTTGCTCCCAGCAACCCGGCAAGGAGGCTGCACTTGGTCTCAGACACATGGACATGTGGGTCCTGGGTTGGGAAACATACTGGACACCCAGTTTTGCAGCCCTGCAAGTAAGAAGGGCAAAAACCCAACTCTCTGCCTCTTTATTTCTGGGGAAGTCTTCTTCGGGTGAGGAAGAACAGCACAGGAGATAAGATTAATATTCCATTTGTGCTACTGGCAACACCTGCTGTTAGGAAAATAATGCTTTTTTTTTTTGGAGAATGGAAATTGTCGGTTTATGCTTTTTCCATCGTTCATTTAGTTTATTCTTTATTCTTTGGGTTCTGAAATCAGATGTCTTGTTTTACTCTAAGACTGCTCTCTTTTATACAAAAAGACAAAAATGTTCTCGGAACACCACAGCTGCATTTTGGGAGGTGGGTGTAGGGAGAATAACTTCAAATTTTGTTTAAAAAAATGGTTTTAACAGCAGTCCAAATGGAGACAAATGTCCCTCTGTTCGTTTTTTATTTCATAATCGTTCCCAACTAGATATTCTGAGTGCCACTGACTTATTATGGTTCTCTCCATGTCGGACATTTTACCACATAATTTGTAGGTCTGCTTAAAAATTTCTGAAAGCAAAATTCCTAGGGCAAGTGGTTTTAAAACTATGCATGGGCTCATATTTCTTGCCTTCAGGAAAAGTGATGACTGCTTATTACCAGCGTAGGCACCTCCACTCCTGCCCACCTACACATGCCCTGAGTGAGCTCTGCCTGCCCTGGCCCAGTCACCTGGGACAACGCAAGGGTTGCGGTGAGGCTCGGAGGCACAGGCACCAACAATTTCTCTGCAGCTCAGGGGCTGCTTAGTCGAGCGATGGCATATAGGACCCAGGAACAAAAGTCGCCACACACACCCACCCCAGTTTGCAGAATGATGGGGAAGCTTAAAAAGGAAAAGTATAAGGGAGGGGAGGTTTTCTTCCCTCATGAGGGAGTCAACCAAGGGACATCATGGTATTGGCTGATGAACACTCAGAGACAAGGATCACAGTGACCTATACTAACGGAGCACCCATGGTGCGCGCAGGGCTGATTCGGATGATGGGTGTCCCCCGCAGGACACTCCTTGCCAGGTCTGTCTGGGGTATGGCAGCCTGCACAGAGCCTGGCACTGTGCCACTCACAGTTGCATGGGCTGGGTGATCTCACCTCTCTGTGTCTCTGTTTCCAGATGTGCCAGTCCCCACCTGAGGGGCAGTTGTAAGGATTACATGAGTCACAGCATGACGGATGAGAAAACCAAGGTCCAGAGAGGTTGCTTTGTCCTTCTAGGGTCGCCCCGCTAGTTAGTGGCAAAGCCCTCACTGGAACTCAGATTTGTGTTTTTGCTGTAACACGCCATATGACTGGATTTAACAATTACTTATTGGAGATCTCAGTGCTCTTTGGAGAACTGGGGGCATCGCTACAAAGCTTAGGCAACACACGGGCCCTGTAATTGCCAGAGCCATCATTATCATGATGGCGGCAACAGCAGCACTGGGCCAGCTACTTCCTGAGCACTCCCTCCTAACAACGCTGAGAGGAGAGGGCCAGCATGCATCAGAAACACTCCTGCCACCGTGGGCGGCCAGCCAAGCTGCAGACTCCCCCACTCCAATAGATTTTGTGGCTCTCTTTGCTCAGAGTTGGGTAGAAAACAATTCAAGATTGAGGTCTTTGCCAGCCTAGGCAAAAGTTCATGTAAGAAGTGTGGTAGCTCACTGCATGGACTAAAAGCTTTAGAAATCAGATGTTTACCTCGCCAAACGATGCTCTGGAATAGATGAAAGGTCTGATTGGTACCTCTGCACCCTACAGGCAAAGACTTTTCTCACTAACTGTAGAATGAATGAATGAATGAATGAATGAATGAATGAATGAATAATAAATGATGCAGAGAAAGGCTGGTTCATTATTGTTTCATTAATTAAACACATGCTGAGACTCTGTTCTGCCCAGAGGTTAATCAGAGATGTCAGTGGGTTTGCCTGAGGCCACATAGCTCCTGCAGCCCTCTGAGAGAAGTTGGGGTGGAGGCAGGGTGTTTGTGTGACAAAGCTGTTCAGCTGTCCCTACAGAGTCCTTCAGCACTCCCCTAATCCTATCCAGGTCTTAAGGTCCAGACCTGAGCAGGAGCCTTCCCCAGCTCCCAGGGTCCTGCCCGAGCCCTCCAGACTCCTGATATGATTACAGTCTGGAATGCCCTACATCACACCCACGTCTCTGCCACCAGAGTGTCTTGTGTGTGCCTCTGAACTGCTCCCAAAGCATCCACTTCCTTCAGATGAGGCAGAACCTTCTCTCTATCTTCCTTGTGGTCTGGGGAGGGGAGGTAGCGATGACTCCAGCGCACAGGGCTGCTGCCTTCATGAAGCTGAGGGTCCATTTGGAGAGACAGATGTGAATCTATTAGTTACAGAAACAGGTCTCTAGCTTTATCCCAGGACAAGAATCACGAAGGAAAGGAAGCAGAGAGCAGCACAGGCCTATGTTCTACTCTGGCCTGGAGGCAGGACTGGCCACATAATGAGCGGAACCCAGTGCAAGATGAAAATGTGGGCCCCTGGTTCAAAAGCTATTGAGAAAGTCAAGACAGCCATATTGGAGCATAAACCAAACGCAGGCCCTGGACTCGGGCAGTTCACACACTCTGAGGGTGGTCCTGAGGCCACAGGACTCAAACTCACATCACAGGGATGCAGAAGAATGGTTCATAGCTAGCATGTAGGAAGCAGTTACAGTAAGCCAGGCATGGCTTTCGTTCAACCCCAAGAGAGGAACTATTGTTCACTCCATTTTCCAGAGAGGTCTTCAAGGCACAGAAAGGGTAAGAAACTTGCCCAAGGACACACAACTTGCACCAAGCAGAGCCTGGGTTTGAACTTATATAGTTTGGCCCCGAATGTGTGCCCTCAGCCACCACACTGAGTGTTCTGAGAGTGTAGGGCAGCTTGCACACCATTGCTGAGCCACTAAACCCAAATTCAGAGGACCACAGGCCTCAGCCAAAGTCAGCAAGGAGGGAGCTGTGGGCTGTCCTATGGCAGCGTGTGGTGCAGAAGCAAAGGCGGAGGGCTGAGCCAGGGCCCGCTGGGAATGGGGAGGCCGGGGCTGGTGAGGGGAGAGCCTGGGAGGGCTCTGGATGGGAGGGTTGGAGATCCGGCCAGCCAGCCTTGGCTCCACTGCGTCTCGGGAAAACCACAGAAGCCACTGCAGCCCTTGGTTTCCATCTGTGCTGGGAACAGCCCTTTCCCACCACAGTCTGCTGGTTCCTGTGGCTGGGGCCTGTGGGGCAGGGCTCGGGGATTGTTTTTCGGGTGGCCCCTCTGGCTTCATTGCTGCCTCGTGGGGAAGGGAGGAAAGCGTGCAGACTCCTGCCACCTTCCTCCATCTTGCGGCAGCACAGAAGGCCAAGGGAAAAAGGCTTTCTTGGGGATACTCTATGGGGTTCTGAGCTTCACTCAACTGCGGACCCATTTCTGAGGCCTCCCCTCAACCCCACTGGAAATCCAGGGCTCTTGGCCCACATTGCCCAGAACCAGTTTGCTGTGCAGCTTTGGCCAACCACTCAACTCCCCGTGGCTCAGTATGCCCACCTGCAGAATGGGGAGACCAACCCCGACTCAGGTTCTTAGGGTGGCCTCCCACCTACAGGACTCCTGCCTGGATCACAAGGCTAGTCTGAGGCTACAATGAAATGAAGCCCAGGAAAGCCTGTGGGGAACAAAAGCACGTTATGAATACGAGGTATTATTTTTGTTCCAGGGTGAATCCAGCATTCCAAGAATCCTCAGCCTCAAAAGTTCTGAGGCAGTGTGATGTCATGGGAAGAGCACGCGGCTGCCCTGGGGAGTCGCCAGGCTCCGCGTGAACCTGGTGGAGTGTTTCCAGGGGAAGGCCCTCGCCCTTCCGCTCGGCCTGCCAAGCCCTGCAGTCTCCCAGATCCGGCCCATGGACCCTCACTACAGCCTGCTGGTGGCTCTGGGCATCCCCCGAGCTTCACAGTAGTTCGTGGTAGTTTGAAGTGTGGACTTTGGAGCCAGATCCCCAGAGTTCAAATCCTGACGCTACACTTTTAGCTGTGCAACTTTGGGCAAGTTCCTTAACTGCTCTGTGCCTTAGCTTCTTCCCCTATAAAATGGGAACAAATAGAACACCCATCTCATAGGGTTCTTGTGAGTTTTAAAGGACTTGATACAAGTGCTATATTAGTGTTTGTTTGTAATATTATTATGCCATGGGTTTTCCAAGCAACAGAGCATGAATCCTCCAGCTATGCAGAGGGAGGGATCACACTGTGCACCCATAGTACAGATGGGAAGACAGGGGCTGTTTCAAATGTTAGGTCAAGGAAGAGACCTCAGGATGCCTGGCTTCTGTTCTGATTTTGGGCTCTAAGGGCTGAGCTTTGGGCATAGTTTCCCACCATGAAAGTCTTCATCACCCAACATTCACTACCATCATCCCGAGGGAAATACTGTGATGGGGTCCTCGCAGCTTGGGGTCCACCTTCAGTGACTTCCTTTATCCCCAGCCCAAAGCCTGGCCATTCGAATCCACCACAGCTGGCCTCGGCACCCTGGCTGATGGGCCTTAGCTGGCCCTCTGCTGTCTCACTCACCCTACGAGTTGATTGACCTGGAAGTTGCTCTCCCGGAAGTCACTCTTTCCTTGCCTGTTTTAATCTTACCACCTTGGTGTGGTGGAACAGCCCTTAAACTAGAAAAGCTAGGACCAAGAGGAAGGCACATGGACAGAAAGTCGCCTAAAAGTTATTTAAAATCCCAGGTGCGACCAATCATGGAGCCTGTCTAATAAAAGAGGGCTGGGGAGAAGGGGCCAGTGGAGGGAAGGCTCAGAGATGCAGAGATGCAGCCTGGGCTCACTTAATGAAGGAACTTTCTCATGGGGAGGGCTGCCCCGCAACAGAGGGGTCTGTCTGGGGACATGGTGAGCTTCCTGTCATGGGAGGTGTCTGATCACTGACCAACAGTTAGAAACTGCAGTGCCCTATACCTCACTAGTTAGCTGTTGCCCATTCTGCAACCAGCACCTCATCCAGGAAGCCCTCCTGGACCTCAGCAGCCCTCTAAGAAGTTCTCATCTGGAGAGAAAGCCTGATGTGGTAAAAACTTGAAAGCTGGACACCCTTGGGTTCATATGCTGGTTTTGCCTTGGTCTAGCTGGGTGGTCTTGGACAAGTCACTTAACTTCTCTGCCCCTCTGTTATCTTATCAATCAAACGGACCTCACAACAGCTATGCACATGGTAGCTGTGAGGATGGGGTGCGCTGATCTTCGGGAGGTGCCTTCCCAGGGAATGGGCCTGCCTCCATTATCCCATGCTGTCCCACACCTCTAGGCTTCTGGCTTTCCTTCCACTCTCAGGGCTGGAGTGAAGGTGGAGTAAAGGTATAGTGATACTCAATTTAGCACCATCATTATCCCTCCCTCCTTCCCTCCCTCCCTTCATCCCAAGTCACCATGGTACTCAGATTTAACAAACACTGAGTGGCCCCCACCTGCTGGGGGCACACATGCTCACCCTTGATCCTCACAGCAACCCTAGGGGAGCCTTTCCCCCTTGGGAGAGGTTGAGCAGAAAGCCCATCCAGGACCAGGGCCCGAACCCCCGTCTCGCCCCTATGCTCTTCACTCCAAGAGACTGACCCATCTGCGCTCTTCTAGAAGAACTTCCTCACTGCTATTTAAAATAATCTAGTAGGAATAGCTGAGAAAATGCAAAGGATTGGGCATTTTAATTCGTCAAAGTCCATCTTGGGACTGGTGGAAAGGGCTGCTTTCTCCATTACTTTGGCCGTCAATGGGGGTGACTTGCAGCTGATGACAAAAACCTCCTTTTTTTTGTTAAATAATAATAATAATAATTATTATTATTTCTTAGAGTCAGGGTTTTGGTTTTTGCTCTGTTACCCAGGCTGGAGTGCAGTGGCATGATCACAGTTCATGCAACCTTGACCTCCAGGGCTCAGGTGATCCTCCCACCTCAGCGTCCCAAGTAGCGAGGACTACAGGCTCGTGACATCATGACTGGCTAATTTTTTTTTTTTTTTTTAATTTTTGTAGAGACAGGAGTTTTGCTATGTTGCCCATGCTGGTCTTGAACTCCTGGGCTGAAGCAATCCTTCTACCTTGGCCTCTCAGAGCGCTGGGATTACAAGTGTGAGCCGCAGCCCCTGGTAGCAAAATCCTCTTGAACAAGCCAATTTCTCTTCTCCTAAACTTTCTGAATGAAGTGTTTCACTTCAAGGCCTGGGCATGAAACTGAGTAGTGACCCCAGGACTCCAAGTTGTCGGGAGCTTCCCTAGGACAATGAACATGCCTCAGTGGCCTGAGCTGCATGTGGGCCGCCACCCTGTTGGCTCCAGTGCAGGCCCTTCCCCTGCCCAGCGTACCTCTCTACTTCTGGCTACAGGCCCTCCATGCAAGCCTGCCTACTGGGGTTTCCCAAGTTTCTTAGCCAGGAACCTACTGGGGAGCTTGCTGGGGCAGAAGATGGGGCGCTGGAGGCTCAGCACCAGTTGGCAAGCTGGCCGATGGTGGCTTCCTCATCCATCATAGTTTATTCTTGATTCATTGAAAACCACGTTTGAGCTAACGAATGAAGAATATTGCTTCTCAGGCTGGCCTCTCCCCTGAGATCTGGGTAGAGCCACATACCAGCTTTGGAGTCTTCCTTTGCAATCCTAAAATCTGATCAAACTCTGGTGTATTTGTTACGTGTCGGGGCTCAGGTAGCCACAAAGCAACATAACATATGGTTCCCGCCCTTGGGGATCTTAAAATCTAGCGGCAAAATTGCTATGTCTACTCAAAGAACCATCTACGACAGCATGTGGCGAGACATGGGGTCTGGTGAGTTCTCGGGGTGAGGTTAGGGAGGGCTTCCTGGAGGACGTGAGGTAGTGGAAGGACCCACATAACTGAGAGGAATACCCTTAAAAAGGAGAAGAGTAGAGACACCAGCAGTGGTTGCAGGTGGGATGGAGACAGAGAAGTAGTGGGGATGGGAGGATCCCCCTAAGACTGCAGGGGAACTCAGCTCCCTCCTGGGTCAGGGGCCAGGGGGCTGGACTTGGCATTTTTGACCCAGACCTTCAAAGTCTCTGTTTCTGGATGAAGAGACCATGCCACACTGAGGCCTCTCCCCTCCATCCTGCTATGTGGCCGTGACTATCATCTTGCCACGCTCTGACCTGAAACCTTTGGTGACAATGCTCCCTCTCACCTAATTCCTGACTCCTCCTGGCCAGCCTGGACCTCCTGTCTACCAGGCAAGAGCTAGAGAGGTGGTGCCACCATCATAGTGCCGCATCTGCTTGTCCCTGCGCCTGATCTTCCCCATCCATCAAGACCCTCCCCACACGTTCTCACTTCAATCAGTATGCACGGAGTACTTCATCAGGCCAGCAAGCTGTGACCCTGGTGTCCCAAACATAAGCATCTCAGAGGAGGGCAGCACAAGAGAGACACTTTTCAAGAGGGAAAGTGTGGAGCCTGGGGCACCTCTGAGAGCAGGCAGGTGTCATGGGTGTGCCTGGGGGCTGGAAAACAGGTAACAGCCCAAGCTAAAAGTGCTGACCACAGGATGATGATAAACCTTGTCCAGCCCTTCTTGGGGAAAGGCCCCTACGTGAAGCAAAGATGGCCCCACAGATGGGACACAGAGGAGCCGGTTGGGCTTCCTGGGCTGTGGAGCCTCCAGGCTCTTGGCGGAGAACGCCGCCAGCCGCCTCACTCCATTAGGCCTCACAGCCCAGCCACCCTTCTGGGACTGCCTCCTCCACTCATGACTTAATTACTGACAGGTTCGCTTGTCCCTGAAGGGCTGTTTTTCCATCCTGGGAAGGAGAGGAAATGTGAAACGGAGTTAGCTGGAGTAGGGCCTCCCCTGGGCCACGTTTTTGAGCCAGGGCTGGTGGAACTGATGGGGCCATGGTGAGACGTTATCACAGAGAGGACTCCTCAAGGCTTCATGCATAGTGGAACCCCCAGCCCAGCCATCTTGGGACATGGCTCCCCAGCAGATAGTTTCTTTGTCTAGAACCTTCCAAAATACAAGGGACTTGTAGCAGGACGCTGATAACCTTCACATTAAACACCACTCAGCTAGGAGACAGCCCGTGTATTCTGGGACAAGGACCTGCTCTCCTAGTTCCCAAATGCTGAGGTCCTGAGGCTTAGAGCAGTGAGTTAAAAGTCAATGAAAGGCTTTCCCTTATGATAAAAGACAACTAGTACATTTAGAAGGAATGATGGAATTAGAAAATCATTTGGCAACCACCATAAGAACAATTGTTTCAAGCAAGAATCATCAATGGAAGTCAGTGGATGAAAGTTTTGAAGAAAAACAGAACATTGGCGTAGCCTCTAAATATCTCCCCAAAGATATTTCTTAATTACAAAGGGAAAACTTGTAACTTTACAGTGGAGAAACTTGGCAGTCACCACCTTTGCCAGGTAATCATAGTTAACATCACCAGGCAGGGGATTAAAGAACAGCACGTACCTCCTGACATGGTGCACTGGGAAGGTCACATCACTACAGTGCCTATAACCCAAGTCCAATCATGAAGAAATGCCAGAGAAACCGACGCTGAGGGACCTTCTACAAAAATAACTGGTCACTCTTTAAAAAAAGGCCAATGTCATGAAATACAGAGACTTAAGAACTGCCCCAGGTTGGCTGGGCACAGTGGCTCATGCCTGTAATCCCAGCACTTTGGGAGGCCGAGGCAGGCGGATCACATGGTCAGGAGATCGAGACCATCCTAGCTAACACGGTGAAACCCTGTCTCTACTAAAAATACAAAAAATTAGCCGGGTGTGGTGGTGTGCACCTATAGTCCCAGCTGCTGGGAAGGCTGAGGCAGGAGAATGGCATGAATCCGGGAGGCGGAGCTTGCAGTGAGCCAAGATTGCGCCACTGCACTCCAGCCTGGGCAACAGCGTGAGACTCCACCTCAAAAGAAAAAAAAAAAAAGAAGAAGAAAGAACTGCCCCAGGATAAAAGATACTAACAAGTCATGACAATCGAATGCAGCCCACAGTCTAGGATCGATCGCTGGAGAAATATGAATAAGGTCTACAGACTCAATTACAGTATCGTATCTATATCAGTTTCCTGATTTTGAGAATTGTATTGTGGTTATGAAAAAAAGTCTTTGTTTTAAAGAAACACACTGTGAAATATTTAGCAGTAAAAGGGCATCATTTTGGCAACTTACTTTCAGACGGGTCAGAAAAAAATGTATACGAGAGAGAGAAGGATAAAATGTTAACATCACAGGAAACTGGGTGATGGATATATAAGAATTCTTTGTACTATTCCTGCAACTTTTCTGAGAGTCTGAAATTTTGTCAGAATCAAAAGTTTTTAAAAATAAGCAGGATTTAGTTAAAAGGGAGGAGGGAAGAGGCCATTCGAGAAGAAATGCCAATCTCAACAAAGGCTTGGTGGCAATTTTTCTTAAGTCAATTTCTTACGCACCAGGCAAACCAAATGAAATACAATAAAATTGACACAAGGGGGTCCTGCTGCACCTAGCAGGAGGTGAAACTGCAGAGACCCCTCACCGTAGGATGGCGCTACCAGGGTTGAACACAGAGCTCATTGTGCATCTGTGTACTTGGAACCAATAGAATCCCTAATGGAACTTGAGTGTCTGGGCACAGTCTGAAGGGTGGCCAAACCCTCCCACATCTTGGGGAACTTGGGAGGGCCTGTGTACCAGCACTCACCATAAGCAAGTCAGTTTGACCTTCTGGAAAGCACTTGTGGTCAAATTTCTCAAAGTACGCCCCTCCTCTCAGGGGTGGGCCTATAAGGCACTTACCAGGAGACTTAGCCCCTCAACGGGAGGGAAAAGGATGAATTCTCATTATTCTTATTTTTACCTTCATGAAAACTGGGGCAGTTTAGAGGGCTGCCACAGCTGAATCTTGCTTGACTCTTTGGGATTTGAGAATTCCTCTCACCATAATAGTTTCTCTTGGAAACACTCTTAAGTGTTAAAAAAAAAATTGTTATTTTTGGTACTACCAGATAAAGAAGTTATTTTATGTCAAATACAGTTTTTAGATTGATATGTTATTGGAAGTGAATTACAAGGTTTGTGTTTAACCCGATCTTTAATAACATTTATGAATACAGGCAAAATTTAGCCTTCTGCCAATTATCAAGTGATGCATTCTTCTTCATTTATTGTAAACGAGTTGTAAAAGCAAAAGCATGATTTTCTACAAAGAAATTTCAAAATGACATATTACCATTACACTGTGGCTTTGGCATCAGTACACACTAAACTGCAGGCTAAAGTTTGACTATATAAGGCATAAAAAGAAACAAAAAGCAAAAACTGATTTCATGGCCCGCTGTTTGGAATTCTTGAATTTTATGTTTTTCTAAAAAAATGAAAGTCAACTGGTTTGATTTTGTAATATTCTTGCTTTGTTTCTAAATGCTGAGACCCGAGAGTTTTTAGGAAGTGCTTCTGTCCAAATTGCACGACGTGAGTGAGGAGGGCCTTGGCTCCGTGTGGACACAGAGTCAGATGGGTGTTGGGCTCTGTCTGCCTCCAGCCCGGGGTTGTGAAGCTCTGCAAGCTGCAGGAGCTGCCACACGAGAACTCTGACCAGATGAATGAGGCTTGCAGATCCGGCCAGAGCACCCTGAGGCATATGTGCAGAATTATTACCACTTACGTGTTCCTCATGAACCAGCCTTTTAATATCAGTGTTCTTTAATGCTTCCTGCCTTTAACCAACTGTCCATTATGGGTAAAAAATTAAATATTTGACTAAGAATAAAAATAATTTAAAATGTGTAATGGGCAAAACCACCAGAGTGGCTCTCTGGGCTGCTGAGTGATAGACTGGTGGAGGGGCCAAGTCCTGGGTGTGCTGCTCCCATCTCCGTGAAGCCCCGATGCTCACCCCATGACCATAGGCAAGGACTCACACTGCACTGTTTAAAGATGAAAAAACACCCCAATACCCCTGGCAGAAGCAGGGAGAGCCAGACACTGGACCCAGACAGACTCTGGACCCAGTTACTTTCTAGCATGGGCCCCTGGGCAAGGTGCTTACTGTCCATGCCTCAGTTTCTCCATTTGTGAAATAATGATGATAAAGTCTATTGCACTGGCTTCTGAGGGTTAAATGAGCTGCGCCTTGGCTCTGACACAGAGCAAGGCTCAATAAGTTGATCCCGCTGCTGCTGTCATCACTCACTCGGGAAATGGCAGCAGTGATAAGTCAGGACTCTGGGCATGGTGCTCTCGCTGTCTGCGTGTGAACCAAGGAGGCCCGAATGCAGAAGGTGCCTCCTCTGGCATTGCTACGGTTCCTGTGGCAGGTTCAGCCTCTTAGAGGCGGGTCTGCAGCCCCTTTGGGGAGCATCCACAAGGGTTTGGATTCCTCTGCTTGCCCTCTGGGGAGCCTCAAGACTTGAGAAGAATCCCGGGGCACCCTGCACACTGTGCTGTAACCTGCCCTGCTCCTTTCTTTTCCCCTATGAGCACCCACGCCATTCCCCTGCAGGAACTCCCACCCCACTCATCTTTGCCTCAACACATCTTCTCTTGGTTCTTGAGGAGCTCGTGTGTTGTCTCCTTCGGGAAACGGTCCTGGTCACCCTGGCCCATGAGAAAAGCCCTGTCTGTCCCAGGACCTTTTCCTAGTGTTGAGAGTAAATGTCTCCTTGTTTATGGCCTATGTCCACAGCTCATCCCTGGAGGCAGGCAGGGACCACATCCTGTTCTTCTGCCCCTGCCTGGCTTTCTGCAGATGGTATTGAGCTCCACTGGAAATGAATGTTTAGATTTTTGCTGTGGGTCAGGAGCCCTGGTAAGTGGTTTCTGAGCTGGGGGACAAGGAGGCAGGTGTCAAGCCCTTGGTCCCAGTGGCACTCGCTGGCTCTCTGTTCCCCGGGAGGCGCCCTGTGCTCCCTTCTTGTGCTGAGTGTGGCCCAAGGGAAGATGAAGATGACGAGAGGACAGCAGAGTGGGAGGCTCTCAGCCCCATAAGTCCACTTCTTTTGGGTGGGAAACTGAGCCAGGCCTCTTAAAGATGGCCTTGGTCGGCCGGGCATGGTGGTTCATACCTGTAATCCCAGCAGGTTGGGAGGCCAAGGCAGGAGGATCACCTGAGGTCAGGAGTTTGAGACCAGCCTGGCCAACATGGCAAAATCTCATCCCTACTAAAAATACAAAAAAATTAGCCAGGCATGGTGGTATATGCCTGTAATCCCAGCTCTTCAGGAGGCTGAGGCAGAAGAATACTTGAACCTGGGGGGCGGAGGTTGCAGTGAGCCGAGACTGCAACACTGCACTCCAAGCCTGGATGACAGAACAAGACTCCGCCTCAAAAAAAAAAAAAAAAAAAAGCCCTGGTCACTTGGCTGATGGAGTGGGCCAGGTCAGTGCTGGCAGAGCTGGCAGGACACAGGGTGGGGTAGGGTAGCACCTGGGTATTTTAAGCTCACGGAGTACCCACTGCCTGGCAACATGTACCAAGGAGGGGGGGCGGGGGCAGAGTAAAGAGCAGACCCTGGCTGGAGAGGCAGGCTGCTGGCTCCACTCCAACCTGTGGCTGTTAGCTGTGTGACACTGGCTTAGAGGAAACACCTCTCTGGGCCCCAGTTCTCTTCTCTAACAATAATAACAACAACCACCATGATAATGAATGACGTGCATGGTGCTTTCTCTGTCCAAGGCACTATTCTAAGAACACAAATGTGCTTATTCAATCATCACCACAATTCTATGGGGTAGACAGTGGCATTATTGTCCTCATTTTATAGCTGATGAAACAGGCATAAAGAAGTGAAGTAACTTGCCCCAGGTCACACAGCTAGAAAGCTGGAAGCTGAGGAGAGCCTACACTCTTAACCACGATGCTATATTTCTGGACTTGGCAGGGTCGGGGCATGCAGGGCTAGATAAATATTACAAATAAAACACTGTAATATTTCTAGAACCCATGAGGAATTTTTTTAATGGTTTTAATGAGTTGACCACGGGTAGGCAGAGGTCCCAGGAGCTGGAGTCCACTCCTTCCAAAGCCAGAGCATCTCTGCTCCCTGGGGACACAAAAGAACAAGGTGCGTGGTGGGGGAAGAGGTGACAGTCAAGGCAGGACAAGGGCAAGGCCTGAGTAGCCCAGGACATCCTGAGTGATGGATATAAAATACTTCTTGCTCCTGGTCCTCAGGCATAAAACTGCCAGAGTAAACTGAGGAACACCAGTCTCACCCTGACCATTCTGCTAAGAGCAGATCTGGGACTTGCAGCCTGGGTGAGGTTTCTGGAGAAAGGACAGTCCAGCAGGGAAGGCCCAGGCATGGTCAGAGAGTACGGAGGCCCAGCCGATGGAGACACCAGGTGCATGGCCAGTGAGGGTGGGGTTGCAGGAAGAGGTTCTGGAAAGTTAGGTTGGGCCAGGTTTTGGAGGACTCTGGAGGTCGATGGTAGGGGGAAGGGCAGGAACCTGGCTACAGGGGGCCATCTCTTAGTTTGGAAGCTGGATGGTCAGAACTGGGCTTCAGGGGCAGGGCTACGGCTGGGTCACAGGCTGCCAAGAGAGGTCCCAAGGGGCTGAGCAGAGAGAGAAAGAAGGGGAATTGCCCGAGCCTGGACTCTATGGCAGCCTGCCTGCATCCAGGCCCTGGCTTTGCCTCTGACTTGCTGTATAACCCCAGGCAAGTTACAGAACTGCTCTCTGCCTCACTTCTCTCACCTGTAAGATGTGAACATAATAGCACCTACCTTAAAGGGTGGTTGTACTGACAATGTGCATTGATATTTGTAGAGTCCTTCAAACACAGGAGACATGCTCTTAAGAGTTTATTAAATGCAATAGCCTGGTAGACCCCACAGCACATAAGCAGAAGGTCACCTGGGCCACTGCAGATGGCCAGGCAGACATCCAGGGAAAGGGAGGAAGACGGGAGGGAGAGGAGCCGACGGGTAAATATTCCAACTACCAGCACAACTCCCTCCTATGATTCCAGAGCAGAGGAATTACTAAAGGAATTTGTGAGCTTTGAAACCACAACGTATGACAGAGCTGTGCCCCACAGGCCTCTCAGCTTCCAGTGGCCCCTGGGAAGGGCCCCGCCAAGGGCCAATCTGCCGGGCCGCCATTTTGAAATGCTAACCACCCAGTATGGGTGCAGCACCCTCAGCACAGGCTCACTCAGTCTCCACTGCTGCCCTGTGAGTGGCGGTGATGACAGTCTCTTCAAAGATGAAGTGACTGGGAAGAGGCAGAGAGGTTCGTCCACAGGCCAGAGAGTGAGCAAGGGCAGAGCCAGGGCCAGAGCAGGGTTTGTACTGTGGCGCGTCCCACCACACCCCACCAGGTGAGTGAAGGGCCGTCAAGTCCAACTGAAAACCTCCCCGCAGTGGCCCATCAGGCAGGGGTTCCGTCCTTCACAAAGGCGTCATGGGCCACGACACGGGAGTGCATTTGCCTGACATCCAGCTTGGGGGTTAGGTCTGTCCTTCTGACACCCCAGTTTCCCTCAATAACCCACTGTGGCCTGTGCTAACTCTGCCCCACAACTCCCTCTGCTCTGTCCTGAAGGCTCCTATGCCGGGAGGAATCTTGGCTGTCCCACTGGTGATGGGGAGTATGAAGAGTAATGACTCCCACCCAGATGAGGACACTCACATCTCTGCAATGTCACAGGCCCTGGGAGGTGGGAGAAGACTTAGAGACAGGGGGACCAGCTATTCAGGGTGGACAGTGGGAGCTGACCTTTCCTTCTGCTTCAAATCTGGACTCTGAGGCTAAGACTTCCTGGGGTGTCTTATGTCTGGTCTCAGGAGGGGAACTGCAGGATGGGAGGTAGCCCAAGGAGCTGGGCAGGTCCCTAAGCGAGGTGCTGAAAGGCCCTGAGAGGATAAAGTAAGTGCTTTTGAGCAGGGCTGGCTACCTTCTTGTCCATTCATTCACTTACTCGACAGTGGTTTAGTGAGCATTTACTCATGCCAGGCTCAGCTCATCACCCAGCGGGGAGATGCAGAAGATAAACAGAACAAATGCACCATGGAGAATGCCAGAGCGTGGGAAGGCCTACGGAAGTGGGAAGCTGGAAGAACTGGGAATGCTGGTGTATGGTGGGGGCACCCCTGGTGGAGACTGCCTTTTTAGGTGGAATGGTTAAGACAGGCCTCCCTGAGAAGGTGACATGGAGCAGCCAAGGCTTGAGGGAGGGGAGGGAGAAGCCATGCAAATACCCAGGAGAAGAGCAATCCGGGGAGGGGGAACAGCCAGTGCAAAGTCCCCGAGGTGGAACTTCTGGCACCCAGGAAGGCAGGGTGGCGGGAGTGCAGAGTGTGAAGGGGGAGGGCAGATGGTGAGGTCAGAGAGGTGGTGAGAGCTAGATCATCTGGGGCCTTGCAGACCATTGAAAGGACTTTGGCCCTTATCTGGATGAAATTGGGAACCACTGGAGGGTTCTGAGCTAAGAAATGACATTGAAAAAGGTGAGATCAAAGATAGTAATGTTATAGGAGTAATCCCGGTGAGAGCCCACACTGCCTTGGCCCAGCGGGCAGGAGTAGAGGGAGTAAGAGGTGGAGATCCTGGATCTGCTTTGAAGATGGGACCCGCAGGAACTGCTGATGGTCCACTGCGGGTGGAGAGAAGGGCTGGAGTCAAGAATGTCTGCAAGGTGTCTGGCCTCAGCGACTGCAAGAAGGATGAAGCTGTGTTGTCTGAGATGGGGAAGACAGAGGGAGTGGGGCAGGCTTGGGGCAGATGGAAGCTTGGTTTTGGAAATGCAACTTTGAGAAGTGTATTAGACACCCCACCGTGGGATGTTGAGAAGGCTGGGGGACCCTCTGCTACCCAAGGAGCCGGTCTGGATGCCTTAGCTCATGCAGGTGCCTGCCCTCTCAGGCATAGCAAAAGGTTTGTTTTTGTATCAATCTAACTTCTACTTACAATTATGTGAAACATTTAACATGGTTGTAAGGTCAGATCTGCAAAACAGGGTGTTCAGAGATATCTAGTGCTACTAACTCCCCTGTGTCCCATAAATAACCACTTTACTGGTTTTATGTTTACCCATCCATTCATTATCGTTAATATAAGTAAGCAGGAATATATATTTCTATCTGTCTTTTCAGAGAGAAACAGTAGCATACTACATATACTTTTTCTTACTTTGCTTTTTTTTTTCAGTTAACATTAGTAAGGTTCATGTATTTCCTTCTGCTTTTGATTTTTAGGAATGACCTTTTTTAATGAATTGATCCATCTGATTGATTTCTAAAAATTGCCTGTTCCAAGGTGGTTCAATTCTGCTTTCCAGCAAGGCCTACCACTCTGGGTAAGGGGCAAAGAGCCCCTAGAATTCCATGTGCAGCAGCTTGCAAGAGAATAGGCTATTTTGTGGTTTCTTCCTCTTCTGAACATCATGACCTCACTGCTTCTTCGTGACAGAGTGGGGTCTTGTGAGATGCTGGGAGCAGCACCAGGGCAGGAGCTGGAGACTTAGGAGTCAGGCTCTACTAATGGCAAGGGTCCCACCTTGGGGAGCCCAGCTCTTGCTGCAAAATGAGGACCTTGGACAAGATGTTGACCATTGGCCTTAAAATGGACACTGTGCAGAAGCTGACCCAAACCCACTCCCGGCCAAGCCACAGAACTAGCCAACTTCTCCTTGGAGGAAGGATGTAGACACAGGAGTCTCTCATCATGCAGGGGCCATCACTGGCTTCTCTGCACAGCAGTGGGGCACAGGACTGCTGGGTGACATGGAGCCATGTGGAGAATCAGGGAGACAGGACTGTGAGCAGGAGGCAGAAGAAAGCATGCAAAGCAGGGGTCAAGCAGCAGTTTGAGCAGATGCAGTTCTAGGGAGTTCACGGCTGTGTGAACGTGAGTGCAGCAGCAAGTGACTGGGCAGCTGGTCAGGTGACAGAGGGGTGACTGCTCTCCCAGGAAAAAAGAGGCCATGCCCCCGTGCCTGGCCTGCCCTGACAGGAGGCTCCTTATGTTTTGCCCGCCTGAGGCCGGGCCAATGTCAGCTTCCCCAGGAGGGCCATGTGGGGCCTAGGGGCTCACTGGCCATGGCGCGGCAGGTCCAGAAACTTCCTGACCCACAAGAGTTGCTTTTATTCTCTCTTCCACTGTGAAAATTTCAAGTCTGGAGCCACCCATTCTATATGTTTTTCCTTCTTCCCCCAACCCCCATCACGACTCACACATGCAAAGGCAAGAGGCCAGGAAATATATATGCCCAGAAGGAAAATCATCGGAGGAACAGGATAGAGCTAAACTCTGGGCATCCCAAGGCGGCAGTCTGGGTGGAGCGTTCCATGAAGCCCTGCATTGCACATTCCTGCTTGAGTCCTCTCCCAGCTTCTATGCACAGCTCTGGCTTCCACTCAGTGCAGCTGGAGGAAGAAGGGGACCCCAAACCCCAGAGACATGGTGGTATCTGCTGAGTGGTCCCAGAGCATGCCGAGTGCAGAAGGCAGCTTGCTCCAGAACTTGGAGAGGCACAGGCATTCACTCAAGCCCTTCACCTTCCTCATCCCAGACATGAAATACATAATCACCAAGCTCATTAACCACAGCCCCATGGGGCTATGCGGGACGGAATGTGGGAGAGGAACCCGCTTTCTGCACTGACCAGGTCTTGACTCAGTGTATCTTGGAAGAAAGAAGAGGAGGTCTGAATGCTCGCACCCAGAGGCGGCTTGGTAATTGCAGGTTTTCATAACACTCCGGGAAGGAACAGTCGCTTCTATGGAGAAGCCAGGGAAAATGCTTCGTGGCAACCATTCCCAGGAACGGGGCCATCCTAACCACCAGACCACCCGGGTGTGCCCTTTCCAACTCCTCCGCTTCCCATGACATACAGGATCACAACCAGCCCAGCCCTCCCCAAGAGGCCATCCACAAACATTTACGGAGTGTTTAGTATCTCTGTCCCAGATTGATGGCTGCAGCTCGCAGGGAGGACTGGAGATGGAATGGGAGCGCCTCCTCCTTCTCACCAGACCCAGGCACCTTTGGGTAAGGGAATCTCAAGTCTCCATCATAGCCTATTTTGATGGGGGAAACTTAATCACTGGCAAGAATCCTCAAGACTCCAACTAAATGGGTAGGAACTGGGCTCTGGGACTCAAGACAAAATCCAAGGCTCCACTGGACACTTGGAGATACAGAATCTGTTCAAACACCCTGTCCTCACCTCCTTCCCTCTTTCCCCTTTTAGCTTCCAGTCTTCCAGTCTCCTTCTCTCAAGCATGCACTTGCTTCCTCCACATCCTCCACCTGCCACGTGCTTCCTGCCACGTGCCTGTGCGCCGGCTGTCCCTCCAGCAACACGCTCTCTTGGACTTGCTGCCTGTACATCTGCATGCAAGACATCCAAAGATGCAGCCACAGATGCAGTGAAGAATTGGCGCACTGGCTCTAATTCTTCACTGGCTTCTCACACCTTCCTCCCTGGCTTGGCCTCTTTCCTAACAGTGTTCTCTGCTCCTACCTCTGGGCCTTTGTCTCTGCTCAGTCACTTATCAGGAATGCTCTCCCCTTGCCCTCTGCTGGCCCCATTGCAGAGACGGATCAGGTTCCACCTCCTCCAGGAAGGCTTCTTGGCTACTCTAAACTGCAAAGCCTTTCCTTTCTCTGAAGTTACAGGGCCTTATGGGCTGCACTGTGCCATCACACACACACACACACACACGCACACAAACTGGACATACATGCACATATGCATAGGCACATAACACATGCATATACATACTTGTACACATATTGCACACATGCAATATGCATGCATACATGTGTGCATATAAATGCATATAAACACACATGTGCATATATACCATATATGTATATGTACACAGGAGTACACACACAGCAATATGATATTAAGTGTAAATTGTTCAGTATATCTTAATCACCTCACTCCAACTAGACGGGATGCTCCTCTAATGCCTGGCTCAGTCTAGGCTTGCGAGAAGCATTCACAGAGCCTCCCTTCCTGACCAAAACCTCCTCTCCAGCCCCTGCTTCCTATCCATACAGGGGCTGGTGAAGGGCATTGCTCCCACCACCCTGGGGTCATGAGGTGGGTGAGGTCAACACTGCAAAGTGATTCAGCCTCTTGGAAGTCTTCCCTTTCTCTCCCAGAATGTTGCCGTGATGATGAACAGGATGCAAATGAACCCCAATGAATCCTGGGATTCAAATAATTTTATTTTATTTTTTGAGACAGAGTCTCACTCACTCTGTCACCCAGGCTAGAGTGCAGTGGTGCAATCTTGGCTCACTGCAACCTCTGCCTCCCGCGTTCTAGCGATTCTCCTGCCTCAGCCTCCCGAGTAGCGGGGACTACATGCCTGTGCCACCAAACCCGGCTAATTTTTGTATTTTTAGTAGAGACGGGGTTTCACCATGTTGGCCAAGCCTGTCTTGAACTCCTGGCCTCAAGTGATCCACCTGCCTCGGCATCCCAAAGTGCTAGGATTACAGGCGTGAGCCACTGAGCCCAGCCCAAATAATTTTAATGTAGCTAACCTGGTATTATCTCTGACCACAGCAATGCTGGGGGTGGGGGACAGAAGGTGCAGCCGAGGGTCTCCCCACTCCTTGTCCCAGGGGAAGTGGGTGGGGACTCGAGGTCTCTTTTCCAAACAGCCTGGCCTCTTCCCCTACAGGAAGTTCCCATGCTGGGTTTGAGCCACGGCTCACAGGGCAGGCTTAGCAGAGTTAGAAGAACACAGCGTCCCTCATGGCATTGCCAACTGGCTTTGCTGGGTGGATGCCCAGCTTTATTTTCAAATATCCCTTTTATTGAGCCCCAAATTGTACCCGCCTCCTTGAGAATGAAGACCCCTGCTGAAATGCTCCGAGCATTCTCCGGCTGGAAAGCTTAGTTCTGAGACAGCCCTGAGAGACTGGGGGAAGGGAGGGCTTAGTTATGATTTCCAGGGGGAAGGGCTGCGAGGGTGAGTTGGGAGCAAGCACTCTGGGGTGGGCTGGTGGGAGCTGAGTGTGAAGAGCCAGGAGGGTCCCCACAGGCGTGGCCTGAAGCTGACCTCTTGGCCAGCTGACTTCATCACGGGCTGCAAATGAAAACCCTAGGTGGGCTCAGATAATTTTCCTCCTTCTCCTCAATAATCCTAGTTGCTCTGTGGTGGATGTGCCAGCTCAGCACCCACACTGTCTCCAGACACTGGTGTGCCCTCGACTGCCAGGGAGGGGGGCCAGAGACCCTTGCCCGACAATCTGTTTCCCTGTAACTCCTCCCCAGCCACAGGATGTTCCCTGGGTCTTGGGCATGGCTCCATCAGTGTCTGAGAGCACCCCACTCCTGACCCTGCACTCAGTGGTTTCCACTGGAGACAGTGGTCAGCAAAGAGCTCAGCTAGCCCTATTCAACACTCAGGCTGCGGCTGGATCTGCAGGGTTAATGCACATGGAGGCAGTGACTCCCAGAAGAGACAGGCAGGGGCCCAGCACCATCATTAGAGGACTCAGCTTGATCTTCACTTCCACTCTGAGCACCCACCCCCTCCCACACAGTTTCCCACTTCCCTCTCGGCCCCTCCTCGCCTCCTCCCTTATCTATAATCCACAAACTTGAAAAAGTTAGTGACAGAGGTGTCCGAGTGCCTTGGGATACTGCCTCCCCAGGGCAGCTACGCTTTGGAAGGGACCACAGGGATTATGAATTTTTAACCCAAATAAGCATGCACTAATGATGAAAGTCCAGGCAACCAGGCCCCCGATGCCTCTCAAAATAACGCTCCTCCTCCTCCTTCTTTTTCTGATGATGGTGATGTTGTCTACAGCCACACCACCCTGAACATGCCCAATCTTGTCTGATTATGGTGATGTAGATCAAATATCTGCAAGGCACACCACGGCCTCTATTGAAAACGCGAATGAATGAAACCCTTAGACAGCTCTCACATCAGTGACATGTGCCTCCTCCTGCCTTGCACAAATTGGAGACCCTGGCTGGGATCTGGACAGCTCTGTCCCTCCGTGGCATGGCTGGGGAGGGCTGGAGGGCATACAGGAGCAGGTCACACTGGCCAGGCCATATTGTCTGGAGGAGAGGCAATGCTGCGAGCCAAAGGAACTTGAAGAGGGTAACAAGAAACCTCATGTCCAGAAGGAGCTGGGGAAGGATGGGCTGCCGAGAACAAGAAAGAAAGAGACCTCTTCTTACACCTGAAGATGCTTTGGGCTCTTGTTTTAGCTTCAAGCTGTGGCTCCCATAGAAGGGGACGGCTTTGCAGCAGCTTCTCCAGGGGGGATGCTGGAGGCAGTGGTTGCCCTGTGGTGGGCATAAAAAAGGTCCAAGCAGGGCAGTGTCCGGCTGGTCAGCCCCGTCATCAAGGTAAGAGCTGTCTCCTGGGTGTGCACTGCCCTGCTGGTCCCCTTCTGCCTTCTCGGGGTTGCCTTACAACCTCAGTGAAGCAGGGGAAACAGGCTTCTATTTTTCCTACAGCCTTCCAGGTTCTTCTGTTACCCCTGAGGCATCACTGGCTACTCCTGGGTACCCCGAATCCTGAGGTCTCCCGTGGCAGCCTCTGGCAAGGCCTTCTGCAGTTCCACATCAAAACGTACCCCAGGGAATGGGAGTCCTGCTTGGATAGGCCTAGGTCTGCCTCAAAAGGCATGTGAGCCCGGCGGCCAGGTGAATGCACTGCTGCAGCATGGTCTCCTCGGCTGTAAGGTAGGAATGGAAACTTCATTCTCTTCGGGGTGTTGGAAGATTCATGATAACCTACAACAAGAATTGGCCAATGGTGGCCTGTGGGCCGAATGGAGCCGCTATCTGGTTATGGAAACAGAGTTTTATTGGCAAGCAGTCACTTTCATTCATTTATATATTTCTATAACTGCTTCTGTGCTACAATGGCAGAGCTGAGGAGTTATGATAGAGACCCTATGGCCTGCAAAACCTGAAAGATTTATTCTCTGGTCCTTTGTAGAAAACTTTGCTGACCCCTAATCCAGATAGAATGCACAGCCTAGGAGGTGTCCCATAAAAAGCAGCTTCAATAATTGCTGTTATAATAAGCGGGAATGAAGTCACTGCAGTGGTAAGGGACCATTGGGTTTCTGGTCCCAACCCGCTAAAAACTAAAGAGGTCTTCTTTATTCAGTGGTTTATATGGATAATTTCCATATAAGACTTTGAAGAAATCCCATCCATCCACACACCTTTCACTTATCACAGACAAACCAAGCCCTTACTAGGTCCCTAAGCTGAGTTAGGTGGCCACTGGGAAGACATTGTTGAGATGTGGTTTGTGCAGTTCTCCAGGAATGAGAGGGTTAACGGAGTTCCACTCAGGCATAGAGGGTGGGGAATATGGTGACAAAGGACCAATGGTGGGTTAGGAAATGGGGACCTCTCCATTCTCCAGAAGCTTCCAGGCATCTCTCCCTATTCCAAAGGATTTGTCCTGAATTGACCATCATAATGAGCCTTCTCTACTCCCTCCCAGTGATGCCCATCAGCTGCTGGTGAGGCTGCACAGCTCTTGGGGGTCCTGGTGGTCTGCAGAGTGGGCCTGGAGCTTTTGAGAGAAGGTGCTGCAGGAGGTGGTCCTCCCTTGTGGGTTTTAAACCCCAACAGGGTAGGCACTGTCTGCCTCTCTGAGCCCCAGATCAAAGAGGAATGACCATTTCCTGAGCACCCAAAGGGGCCACACACTGCTCCATGAGCACCCCTTCTCTTTCTCAGCTTCTTCTTTCTCATCCTCATGCCTTTTCCCTGGCCCCCAGACCCTTCCAAATGGTTCTCCACTTTTCTCTTCTCCCCCAACTGCCCCATGCCTGCCTCTCTGGGCTGGGAGAGTTTCCCCAGAGCAGGGTCATCTGACAGGATTTTTGCCATGATGAAAACGTCCTAGAGCAGCATGGTCCACTGTGGAAGCCCCTCACACTGCGGGAGGCCCCTCATGCTGCGGGGGTCCCTCACACCACGGAAGCCCCTCACACTGCCAGAGGCCCCTCACACCACAGGGGGCCCTTCACACTGCGTTCATCGTGGGGGCCCCTCAAGCTGCGGGGGCTCCTCACACCACGGAAGCCCCTCACACCGCGGAAGCCCCTCACACCTCAGGGGCTCCTCACACCGCAGAAGCCCCTCACACCGCAGAAGCCCCTCACACCACAGGGGCCCCTCACACCGCAGGAGCCCCTCACACAGCAGAAGCCCCTCACACCACAGGGGCCCCTCACACCGCAGAAGCCCCTCACACAGCAGAAGCCCCTCACACCACAGGGGCCCCTCACACCGCAGAAGCCCCTCACACCGCAGAAGCCCCTCACACCGCGGAAGCCCCTCACACCGCGGAAGCCCCTCACACCACAGGGGCCCCTCACAGCGCAGGGGCCCCACACACCGTGGAAGCCCCTCACACAGCAGGAGCCCCTCACACCGCAGGGGCCCCTCACACAGCAGGAGCCCCTCACACCGCAGGGGCCCCTCACACCGCAGAAGCCCCTCACACCTCAGGGGCCCCTCACACCCCAGGAGGCCCTCACACTGCGGGGGCCCCTCACACCGCGGAGGCCCCTCACACTTCGGGGGCTCCTCACACCACAGGAGCCCCTCACACCTCGGGGGCCCCTCACACTGTGGAGGCCCTTCACCACATGTGGCTAGCCCTGAATGTGGCCAATATGACTGCAGAACTGAACTTGTGGCTTTATTTAATTGTAATGGGTGTAAATCACCACAGGCAGCTCGTGGTGACTGCGCTGGGCAGCACAGCTGTGGACAAAGCCGGCTACTATTACTTCACCTGAGACTCCACCTGGAGGTGAAGCCTCCTGAGGCAGTCCTCCCAGGGATGCCTCAAAATGCAGGGAAGGGCATCTGGGTGGATTGGAAAGAGCGGATTAACAGGAGTCCTCTTCTGTCCATCGCCACTGTCCCACCACTGGGTGCTCCCTCACAATCTTTCCTCATGCCTGCCAAAATATTTCCGTTTCTGAGGGACTTCTCTCCACAGCATTCTGAACCCCCACCATATCTGGTCCTCTACCCGAGGCAGGACCACCCTCCCCAGACAGGAAGACAACTCCAGATCACCACGGATCCCCAAGTGGGTGAAAAAGGAGCACGTGTTTTCCACCACAGGACCAACATTCCAGAACCCTGTGGAAAAGAATCCAGACGTCTGGATGTCTGGGACCAGCCTCAGCTCTGCAAGGCCTGGAGTAAATCGCATCACCTTTCTGAGTCTCGCTGATCTCACTCTTCTCATGGGGACGCCAGCTCTCATCCTACTGCCTCCCAGACCACTGGCGGCTGCTGTGAGAAAGGCTGGGGGAGCCATCTTTATTTGTGTTGTTAATATTTGGGTTATTTTCCCACCTAAGCAAGGAAGCCTTCTCTGTCAGTGTCTGACAGATGCAAGGATTTCAATACGCTTCCAATTAAAGCCCAAACTTTTTATAATCATTGAGATTATAGAGTTTAAGGGAAAATAATTACATGTGTGAGTGTGTGTCTGTGTGTGTGGTAGTGGTGGTGGGGGGAACGTGGGTGTGTATCTTGGAAAGTTTCCTTTTCCCAGAACTATCTGCTGGACCCCCTGGGTAAGAGGGGTGTTCCAAAGTTCTGGCAACAGCATCCCCTGGCTTCAAATCTTCCCCAGGCAGGAAGCGTCTTCACTGATGCCCCACCATGGAGAGGGGCCATGGGCAGGAAGGATGGAAGCGCAGAGGGGAGGACAGGATGAGGAGGGCATTTGTAGAGAGGTTTGAAGTTGAATCAGAACACACAAAAACCCTCAACCCATTCAAAGCTACCGGTGAGTTTCACTAGATCATTTAAAGTGGGGGGAAAAAGCAATGGTACAGGAAGGAACTCAAAACAGATAAAGGTGGCTCCCAGTGGTCCCCACCTCCTGACACTCAAACTCTTGTTTAGTCCCTTGCCACATCACGGTTAGTCTGTGACCAATGGAATATGGCAGAAGGGATGGTATGTTGCTTTGAGACCAGGTTACAAAAGATCCAACAGCTTATCTCTCTCTTTCCTTCTCTCTCTCTCTCTCTCTCTCTCACTCTCCCCCTCCCTCCTTCACAGGCCACTCACTCTGTCATGAGCACCCTACAGAGAGGCCCACGTTGCAAGGAAATGAAGCCTCCAGCCAACAGCCAGTGAGGAGCCAAGGCCTGCCAGCAACCACATCCGTGAGCTGGGAAGTGGCTCTTCCAGTCCCATCTGAGTCAAGTGTCAGATGACCGCAATCCTGGCCAACAGCCTGACCACAATCTCACGAGAGACCCTGAGCCAGAACTCCCCAGCTATATAGCTTCTGGATGCTTGACCGTCATAAACTGTGTGAGATCATAAGTGCTTATTTTAAGCTGCTAAATTTGGGGAGTAATTTGTTACACAGCAAGAGATAACTAATACAGCTTTGGGTACTTGGAAGTAGGGTGCTGCCATAGTGAAACTCTGCAATGTGAGAGTGGCTTTGGTACTGGGCAGTGGGCCGGAGCCAGAAGCATTCTGGGGTGATTCTTAGTGAAAACTTCAAATGCCATGAAGAGACCACTGGTAGAAATATGGACTTTGAGGAGACTGGTGATGGGGGCTTTAAGGGAGGTGAAAAATATATTATTGGGAATTAGAGGAAGGAGGATTTTTATTATGTAGCCCCAAAATGTTTAGCAACATTGTCTCCTACAGATATGTGAAAAGCAGAAAATGTACTTAATGACTTGCATTATCTAAGGAAGAAGTTTTTAGCCAGGGTCCTGCAGGGGCTGCCTGGTTTCTTCTTGCTAGGTAAAATGTGAGAAGAGAGAGACAAGTTAAAAGAAGGGCTGTCACAATAAAAAAAAATCCAGGACTTGCTAGTTTTGAAGAGTCCCAGACTGTCCAGATGGCAAATGATGCTAAAATTAGGAAATGACTTCTGCGTAAAGATCAAATCCAGGCACTCTCAGGAAAGCATAGTCCAAAGATGAGGTGGAGGGTGTGGCTATGAAGTCTTTGTCAAGATCTTAGAAAGTTCAGCGGTGCTGCCTCAGAGTACTATTCAGTCAGACCAAAAGCTCTGTAAAGATTTTAAGAGATGTTAAAGATCTTCTCAGTCAAACAACAGAGCTTCTAAGAAGCTTAAGGGCATTGTCCCTCAGCAGAAGCCCAGCGGAGAGAAGGGATGGTCTTGAAGAGATGTGTGGGTGGGCTTTTATTTGGTGGAACAGACTCAATAGGATCACAGAAGACCCATAAAGTTTTTCAAAGGATTATTTCAGTGGAAACACAACAACTTGGACTGGAAGGGAGAGACACAGTACAAAATATAAAGAAGCTCTTGGACCTCCCAAATTCTACCAGCAGGAAGCTATCTGAGCAACAAATCAGCTGCAAAGACATGCTACCTTTCATAGAAAAGGAAGGATGACTCAGAGGCAGAACCAAGAGCCCAGAGTATTCACTGGGCTCATGACTTGCTGCAATCTCATGAAAGACCCTGAATGCAGAGGGCGGAGACAGCCTTGTAGAATAATTCCTGGGCAGGAACAGAACTGAGTTCTAATCAAGAAACTTCCAATATCTGCCTGGCTGGATTTCAGAACTGCTATGGACCAACAATGTCTATGTGCTTCTTGTTTCCCCTCTTCTTGAATAAGTGTATCTAAGGCTGTTACCCTATGCCTGTCCCACAATTGTATGTTGGCTACGTGTGTGTGTGTGTGTGTGTGTGTGTGTGTGTGTGCAGCTAACTTGCCTCCTTAAATCTCAGGCCTACAGATCAAGAGTGAACTGTACCTGAGGTGCTGTACTTAAGGAGATACACCCAAAGAGCGTCATCTGCATCTGAACATGATCTAGATGATGAGACTTTGGACTTGGAGCTGATGCTATAATCAAATGAGACATTGGGAGGGGTGAGACTATTTTGCATGTGAGTCACTGGGAATGAGAGGGTGGGTTGTGGTAGTCAGCCTCTAAGATTGTCCCCAGTGATCCCCACTTTATGGAATTTATATCCCTGTAAAGTCCCCTCCCACACTGTACCAAGGTTAGTCTATGTGACCAACAGAATATGGTAGAATATGGCATGTCACTTCCAAGATTAGGTTACAAAGCATACTGCAGCTTCGATCTTGGTGTCTGTCTGTCTGCTTGTCTTCCTGTCTGTCTCTCTTGGATCATACTCTGGGACAAGTCAGCTGCTATGTCATGAACAGCCCTATGAAGAGGTCCACCTTGTGACCAACAGCTAATGAGAAACTGAGAACTGCCAACCACCTTGTGAAGGAGGCTGTTCTCCAACTGCTTGGGCTTTCTCCAGCCCCAGTCATGCCTTCAGATGCCTACACCCCTGGCTGACAGTTTGACTACACTCTCAAGGGTGACTTTGAGCTAGGACAACCCTGTTAAACTGCTCCTGGATTCCTGACCCTTGGAAACTGGGTGACATAATAAATATTTGTTGTTTTAAACTCTACGTCTTGGAGAAATTTGTTACACAGCAATAGATAACCCCAATACAAACGTCCAAGCCAAGCTCCATTTCCAGCAAATTATCATTGGAAATGATGATTAGCAGAGTCCTAAAGCAATCACATGCACACGTACATATCCACAACTATAAACATAAACCGAACATGTGTGATTCAAACACAAATATAGGCAATAAGTCCTCAGGTTTGTGTTGCCCTTGGCATTTTACCTCCTTTCTGAGCATCACCTCATTTGAACTGCAGAACACTCTTACAAGGTGGATATCGTATTTTATAGTTGAGCAACATGCCTCAAAGAGGTGAAGGGATGTCTTGAGGCTACATATCTAGTGACAGGACTCGAATGAAGTCTAGGCAACTCAGCATTCTCAAAGGACCACCTACACATTAGGCTGGAATAAGGGCCCTGGTGTGGCTCCTGTGATATGACCTCCAGGCAACAAAGTCAGAGGCAAAATGTGGGTTTGCCTCAAGTGGGATGGTTTTAGGCTCTTAGGAGCAAAAAAATCTGCCTTGAAATAACATGACATATACCCACCCTCACCTACCTCCCACACGTGGGAGCTTCTCAGTGTGCCAGAAACTAAATCATTCTCTTAACTCTGGGTAATCACTGAAGGCTCAAGTGAAAATGCAAAGTAACATGCCCTGGGTTACCATTAAGGGTAGATCAACCACTGACACACCAGTTCACAAAACGGGATGCAGGAGCAGTAAATCTGGGGTCAAAAGGGGCCGCATGAGAGTAGAGGAAGGTGGGAGCTCCTCCTCATTCTCACCCTAAGGGGGTGGTGGGAAGGCAGAAGGTGGCTGTCCTTGACTGCTTGTAGAGTAAGGAAGCACAGTCAAAATACACCGGGGCTGTCTCCCGGAAAGGGCGCCGAGGCTCCCCTGCCATCCTAGGAGGGGCGTTGGGACAGGAATTGGGATGGTGGAGCCTTGGGAGGGAATTGGCCTTTGTGTGCTCTGCCTAAAGAGGCCCTGATGATCACTGTTCCTACCCTACCCCTGACTGAGCACCGCCAGCCCTCCTGAATATCAGGGCACAGTCAGAATCCTGCCCTCTAAGTGTCTCACCCCAGCCTCCGCCCAGCCTCTTTGCACCGTGGCTGCAGCTCACAGCTCAAAGGCAGCAAGCTTCCTGCTCAGGGTGACCAGGCCGAGCCATCTGCTCCCTGACATGCAGAGCCAGTCTGGAACACGTGTTTGCTGTGGCCACACAGACCACCAGACCAAACATGCACACCACCCCAGAACACATTTTCTCTTTCTAAAAACATTTCTCATCTTTGTTTCAAGTTCACACATGTCTTTTCTTGAGTTCAATGTCAGTCCTGACAAGTAATAAGCCTAAAATTAGATCTTTTGTCCACCAAATCCTCCCCTTGAAGCTGAAAGACAGAGTTCAAAGCCAACACAAGGGCAGTCGTATTCCTGCAGGCGGGTGTCAATGCAGATAATGTGGGCTCCAGGCAGCAGCTTCTGTTTTGGGCTCCTCTATCCACCTGCTGAGGTGACTCAGGATCCCGGGGCTTGCCCTCCAGACATGAATGAATGTGTGTGCTGGATGCTCTCCGGCCCTCTGCCCTTCCCTAAGTCCCTCAGTGGCCGCACCTGCTTCAGGTGAGCCCAGGAGCTCACACACAGCAGGGAAAGCTCTCAGTCTGTGTCAGGCTGGACCCCGCCCAGCAGCTGTAGGGAAGGTCAGGGAAGAGGATCAAGGGAGGATGAATGAGGCCATGAATAGTAAGGGGTGGAGGAGTAGGAAGGAGTCAGCAGAACCTGCAGAATCAGAGGAGGCCAGCAGGAACAAGAGGCAAGGGAGAGGGACTGAGGTACAGGGGCTGGTCAGTGTTGGGAGCAGGACAGAGACAGGCCTGTTCAAAGAACAGCGAGAAGACTGGGGTCTGGAGAGCACAGCGAGTGAAGACAGTGGGTGGGAGGGTAGGTGGGGACAGAGCTGAGGGCAGGTGGAGCAGGCCATCTACAAGGAGCAGGGGGTCAGGGAGCGCGAACCAGTTGAGGATTCCAAAGGCCTATTTGAAAGGTTAGAAGCTGTTTGATAATGCCATCCCACAAGTTGTTGGTGAGTCTGTGTCCACCTACAAGGGGGACCTAAATCCTGGTGCCCAGGCTGTTCATCTGTCCAGGCCTACTTGGAAAGAATGGGCAACCCCATCCAGCCCATAATTTGAAGGGCATTGAAATCCCTGCAGGTGCTTAGAGACATGGAGAAGGTGGCATATGCTGCTGCTACAGAGATGACTACACCAAGCACCCAGGGGACAACTTCATCTTAATTTCCCCCGTGGGTGCTAAGTACAGGCATCGCCTCTGGGAACTTGAGGGCCTATCTTCTTGAGCTATTTTATTTCTGTTTGCTGGTGTCTTGCCTAATTGAGTCCCTGCATCACTTTTGGAAACCAAGGCCTCCCAAAATATTCCAAACTGTAATAGAGGCCACCTTGGCTTCCCCAAAACACATGCATTGGAATAAATGGCTATAATTAAATTACTGGGAAGACTCAGAAATAACTCTTGGAGTTCAGGGTAAATGCCGACCCAGGAGGAAAGCTCCTTGGTATTTTTAAAACCTGTGCCCCTGTCTCTCCTGGGGAGCCCTGAGGAGTGAAAGGCACCCTCATGCTCTGGGTTTGTCCTCTTGGGAGTCAGGGGAGCCAACAGCTGGAGGAAGCTCTCCTCTGGCCGGGCTGCCTCCCCACCCCCTGAGCTGCCCACCACTCCAGAACTCACAGAACTTTCCCTCTGGGTGCTCATCGAGTGGGGTCCCCACAATCTGGGAAATCCCTGGTCAGTTTCGAGGGCTTCCTAAATATGTCTATTCATGAATCATCCAGACAAGGAAAGTAATCTATGGGCAGGACTGACCTAGTGCAGGTGGGGAGAAGGTGGGAGGGTGGGTGACCCTGTCTGAGGGTCTCATCTGAAATCTCATCATTCATTCATTCATTCATTCATTCATCCCTTTGAATGAGGCAGCAGCCCTCCCCTAGTCCATTTGACATGACAGCCCCCTCACCCCAAAGAGGACCATGCCGTCTTTAGCTCCCCGTGCATGTGAGTTGATCAGGTGGTTAACAGGGGGAGTATGTAGGAGGCAGCCAGGGAGGGGCCCAGCAGACGGAAGCTGAGTCTGCAGATGGGGAAGGAGGGGGTCCCAGAGCAGTGGGTTGTTAGCAGCACACGCCTGGAAGCCAGGCTGCTTGTGTCGCTTCACTTTTCTGGACTAGTGACTTTCCTCATCTGTAAATTGGAAATAAAAATAGCATCTCCTTCCTAAGGTCATTGGGAAGACTATATGAGCTAAAGGGTGCCCTGAATACAGTGAGTGCTCTGGAAGTGCTTGTGAATTGCTGAGTGACATCCAGGCTTGGCAGAGGGTGGGCCAGGCTTGCCTGGGAGTCTAGCGAAAAAGACCCTCAGAACCAGTGGGATGCACAGCCTGCTACATCAATGAGTACAGCCAAGTGCTTACACCTATGAGCGCCGATGGGTATGGCCGGGTGCTTACACCTGTGAGCGCCGATGGGCACAGCCGTGTGCTTACACCTGTGAGCGCTGATGGGTACGGCCGGGTGCTTACACCTGTGAGCGCTGATGGGTACGGCTGGGTGCTTACACCTGTGAGCGCTGATGGGTACGGCCGGGTGCTTACACCTGTGAGTGCCGATGAGTACGGCCGGGTGCTTACACCTGTGAGCACCAACAGGTATGGCTGGGTACTTACACCTGTGAATCTTGCGGTCCTGGGCAGCATACGATCTCAAGAGGACAGAGAGGCTGGGTGCTGTGGCTCATGCCCTTAATCCTAGCACTGTGGGAGGCTGAGGTGAGAGGATTGCTTGAGGCCAGGGGTTCAAGACCAGCTTAGGCAACATGGCAAAACCCTGTCTCTATAAAATAAAAAATAAAAAATTTAGCCAAGTGTGGTGGCACGTGCCTGTGGTCCCAGTTACTTGGGAGGCTGAGGTGGGAGGATCACTTGAGCCCAGCAGGTCGAGGCTGTCGTGAGCTATAATTGTGCCACTGCAACTCCAGCCTGGACAACAGAGTGAGATCCTGTCTCACAAAAAAAAAAAAAAAAAAAAAAAAGCACAGGGCCAGGAGTATGAGGCTTAGCCTAGTATGACTGTGTGCCAGATCTGGGGAAGGAAAAATATACACAGGGGCAGCAGGCATGGCTGCCTTTCTAGAACCTTCTGGACAGGGCACATGGGCTGAGCTGAAGATACACGAGACACTGGTTATTTGCACTGAAAGCCCTGGCCAGCCTCCAACATGTCTTTCAGAACTGTCTTTCCCATCCCATGGTTAAGGAATGGAATATCCCTGAGAAGTGTCCCTTTTCATCTTCACCTCGCACTCTCTCTAATACATTGTAGAGCTGAAATCAGAGCCCTATTTTATAGCTGAGAAACTGTGTACCCTTAAAGTGTAAGAGAATTGCTCTGAACCACACCACAAGTATGAAAATCCAGATTCCATGACTTCTGGTCCAGTGTTCTTTTCTTCCTGCACAGGAGTGAGTGTCAGGACAGAGAGGGGGGGATGCACGTTCTCTGAGGTTAGACTCAGAGCCGCACACAGGGTCAGGACTTCCCTCGTATCTGCCATCACATGGCATCTAATGGCATCCCTGTAGTCTGCACAATGGTGTCCTTGGGGACATAAGAAGAATGGTTTGTCCAGGGCCCAAGATCCCCTGGCTGGTGAGAGATGAGCTCGTCTTGAAGCCAGTGAGCCTCGCCCTGGGCCTGGGCTGCCCACCAGACACACTGTCCCCGGGGAGGGCTGGGCTGGCTTGGTGCCAGAGGCCAGGTTGCTTGGGGCTCCGGAGAGGAATGAAGGGTTGGGTGTTAGTGTTTGTGAGCCAATCCTCAAATGCCTAGCATTTCAGTAGAGACTAGACCTCTGAGGAGGAATGAAACCAGCTTGGGTGGCTGGTTCCCAAGGCGTCCATTCTACGTCCCATCCTAGACGCAGACCTTGGGGAAATGGCATTTATCTCTCCAGGGCCAGTTTCTCAGGGAGCAGCCCTCCTGTCCTGCAGGTAACTAGACATGTGCCCCTACGTCCTCTTCAGTCACCTTTCTTGTCATTGGGTCTCCCTTTGCTATTTAGGGCTTAAGGGGTCTGAAGGAATTCTAATTGCTGGGGAAAAGGGGATTATTGTGATCGAGAAAGAGTAGTACTCTGCTCTCCAACTGTGGGCACAGAACTAGGGGATGCCCACTGCCTGGTGGGCACAGGGGGTTCCAGGGCTCTGCCAAAATGAGCTGTAGGCAACCTCTTTTCTTACCCATTTGTCCCCCGCGTGGATGTGGGTCCCGATGGGAGAGAACCCCCAGAGCCTTGTATTCCCATGAAGTGTGATGCTGGGAGGAAGTCCTGAGCATGGGGATCGGGGGAAGGTATATCCCTCATGGGTGAGTTGTGGGCCAGCCTCAACAGGGCCACTCTCTGCAGCTTGTTCTGCCCAGGAGTGCGGCCTGAGGCAGCTGCACTGTGCAAAGGATTATTGGGACCATCATGATTTGTACAAAGCGTGGGGCTTTCTCTGGGTGTATCAGGGGCTCCATTTCAATCAAGCATGGACCTGGACATCTGGCTTGAAGAAATGAGCTGCTCTTCTTTTCAAGAGAGAGCCTGCTTGGGGGTGGGCGTGAGGGAGGAGGAGAAGGATCCTAAAAATAATTCTTATCTGACTCATTTTGCTTAGAATCTGACAGGGCTGCCTGCCAGGTGGGGGTTTGCCTGTCCCATTTTCTTATCTATCTTTAGCAGGGACTTAATGAGGGCAATTTCCTTGCTGGGATGGAAAGACAAACCGTGGGCAAAGTGAGCATAGATCTGTCTCGCGGTCCCTGGGCTCGGATGACAGGATGGCAATGACAGTCACTGCAGGGCTGAGCTGTCTGCGAGGGCCTCAGCAACAGTGGCATCCCAGCATGGTGCAAATGAAGCAGTGATAGGCTCAGTCAAACCATGCAGGACAATGACCACTGGAAGAAGCATCCCCCCCGTCCCCATCTCATCCCCTAGCGAAGCTACCACCACACACGAACAAGATAAATCACTCAGACCTAAGATCCTGTTGCCTACAACATACTTCTTTATCTTCAGCATCTCTCTACTCTGTTTTAAAGAGCAAGTACGGTCACTTCTCATTATTTATGGTAGTTGCATTCCATAAAGTTGCTGCAAATACTGAATTAGTGAATACTGAACTATTACTCCTAGGGGAAATGCGGGGTTTGGTTCCTGCAAGCCTCTGGTCACAACATTTTCACCACTGGATCAATACATAACCTCGTTTTGTATGTGTTTCTGTTTAAAGAAACCTTATTTAATACATATTGTTGATTTATTAACATTGAACTCACGGCCAACAGCACTATAACTCATGCCTGAGTGATGCTTATCTAACACACACATTTTCTCCGGAAGGCACATCACAGCCTCCTTGCGCTTAAGAACAGTAGACGGCACTTCAGTACTATGTTTAGGAGCCATTTAAAATAGCAAATTCACCAAGGAAAAGCACAAAAATGTGAAAAACATGGCAGTAAACAGAACCATGAGAAGGGTGCTTGCTTATACTATGAGAGCTGAAACAAGGAGGCAGAGTGTTACTTTGGCCTGGACTGGGATCTTGCAGGTCAGGCAACTCAAATTTTTCACTGTTTGTGTGTCAATGACTGACTGCAAAAACACCATGAGTATTGAGTGCGGTGTTACAAATAAGTTTTACAAGTAGGCGAATGTGCAAATATGAATCAATGAGTAATAAGGATGGACTGCACTTCCAAAAGAGCTATCTTAACAACTCATGTGAATGAGCTGATGTATAGATATAGGACTCCGACTAGGTTAATTCCTCATCAGTTCCCGGTGGGCAAGATCTGGGGGACCTGGTCATTTTTGTAGGATGTGGGACTCTATGACTGGTAGAGTGTTCTGAGGTGCTAAAAGGAGCAGCAAGTTCCAGATAGCAGCTGTGACTTAAAGAGAGGGATGTCGAGAGGCACTTGGTATCCCCCAGAGTCCTTGCCCATGAGCCCACATGTGAAAAGGAATGTGGGGCCTCCTGTAGTCACAGATGACCATCAAAGCCTGGGATACAGAAGCCACAGCAGTGTCAAGGAATGGGGCTTAAAAATATTAAAGACAATTCTAGAAGCATATTTTCGTATTGAGAGTGAGAAGTCAGAGGGACACATGAGGCTACTGATGGGGCAGACAGCGTAGAATTAAGAGGTGGCAAAAAGAAAGCAGACCTCTCCCACTCCAAGTTTGCCTTCTGCAAGAGAACAGGTACCAGCCCAGAAAAGGCAGCTGCAGTTGCCGCATCTGTCAGACGCTGAGGGCCTGGAAGACTCCACGGAGAGCAATGGGTGCTCTGAGTGCTCACCTTCATGCCTCGGGAATGGGGCGATATTGATATTGATTGGAGTAAAAGAAATCTTTACATGAGGTCATAAATGGCCCCTGACCATGTCTGAGGAATCCTGGAGAACAGATATAAGGGTTAATTTCATGTCAACCTGACTGGGCTAGGGGGTGCCCAGTTAGCTGGTAAGACATTATTTCTAGGTGTGTCTATGAGGACATTTTCAGTCAGTAGACTGAGTAAAGATCTCTCTCCCAGTGTGGATGGGCACCATCCAATCCGCCAAGGGCCCAAACAGAACAAAAGGCAGAGGAGGGGTGACTTCACTCCCTCTTCTTGAGTGGCGACATCCATCTTCTCCTGCCCTTGGACATCCCATGCTGTAACACATGGTATGCTTACGGTCACGCTGGGAACCTCATACATGCTCCTGTTTCTTGGCCTTCGGACTTGGGTTGATTACACCACTGGCTTTCCTGGTTCTCTAGCTTGCAGCAGATGGCAGACTGTGGGACTTCTTGGCCTCCATAATCTCATGAGCCAATTCCCATGATACATCTCTCTCTCTTCCTCTCAATATATCCTATCAGTTCTGTTTCTCTGGAAAACTCTGAATAATGCAACAAAAGTGTTAGAGACTGTAGCTAGGTATACACAGTCTAATTTTCAAAAATTGGAAAAATATGGATATCATTTCTCCAAAAGAGATTGCCAAACAGATGGTTTGGAAGAAAAAAGGTGACCACTAATAGCTAGCACAGGTTCACACAGACCAAGTCATGGCCAGACCAAATCTATGTCCTTTTTTGAAACAGTTACTAGCCTGACACATTTAGGGAACCCTGAAAATATCAAGGTTGAAGAGGTAGCTGGGTATGGTGGCTTGTGTCTATAATCCCAGCTACTTGGAAGGTTGACGGGAGAGGAGCACTTGAGGCCAGGAGTTTGAGACCAGTCTGGGCAACATAGCAAGACTCCATCGCTACCAATCAATCAAGCAATAAAAATAAAATTAGTCAGGTGTGGTGGCGGGTGCCTATAGTCCCTAGAACTACTCAAGAGGCTGAGGCAGGAGGATTGCTTGAGGCCAGGAGTTCAAGGCTGCAATGAACTATTATTGCACTACTGTACTCCAGCCTGGGTGACAGAGCAAGACCCTGTTGCTAAAAAAAATTTTGAAGGGGTGTTTCAAGAGGCTTGCCACATCACTTCATCCTGGGACCTGCCTTATTCTTTAAATTTTTTTTAATTGAGATATAATTCACACAGTACAAAATTCACTCCTTTAAAGTATATAATTGAGTGCTTTTTAGTCTATTCACAAAGTTCCATATGTCCTGTTTGTTTTTATCAGTGACTTAGATGATGTTACAGAGAGCTTGAAAAATCCAATCTGATGACTGACACTTAGGGTCTGGGTTCACGTTGGCAGAGGAAGAGAGGGAGGGACAAAATTCTTATTATTTATTTATTTATTTATTTATTTATTTATTTATTTATTTATTTTTTAAAGACAGATTTTCGCTCTTGTTGCCCAGGCTGGAGTGCAATGGCGTGATCTCGGCTCACTGCAACCTCCGCCTCCCAGGTTCAGGCAATTCTCCTGCCTCAGCCTCCCGAGTAACTGGGATTATAGGCTGCACCACCACGCTCGGCTAATTTTGTATTTTTAGTAGAGACGGGGTTTCTCCATGTTGATCAGGCTAGTCTCAAACCCCTGAACCTCAGGTGATCTGCCCGTCTCAGCCTCCCAAAGTGCTGGGATTATAGGCATGAGCCTCCACGCCCGGCCCCAAAATTCTTAATTGGTTCTACATTTAGAAGACACCAAATCACAGTCACGGTCAATCGCAGGACAGAGGCAGCAAGCGCTGCTGTAGGCTGTGGCCACCCTGCAACGTCCAGCATGTGGCCCACTCCGCACGCCAGGTGGATGGCTCGCTCCCCTGCCTCTAGTCCTGCGGAGCCATCTGACACTAGCTGGGCTGGCTAAGGTCTTTTTCTCTTCTTCCTTTCAATCTGCTTTGCACATGGAGTAAATTAACCATTCCGAGACCTCACTTAATGAAACAAATTAATTTGGAGAATGGCTCTCTTGTCTCCCTGGCCGCACAGGCACGGTGCGATGGACCACTAATGCCTACATTAGCCACCTCTTCTGATGGTTAAGAGGCCGGGCTTTGGAGCCTGCAGGGTCTTCTGACATTGCTGACAGTCGGGCGGGATCATCTGGAGCTGGCAGGCTCCAGTGGCTTTTCCCTTCTATGTAGTTCAATTGGGGGTGGTGGCCGCTGTGAGCACCACCCACATGGCTCTGTTTCTAGGGAGCCATGTGGGGACGACTTCTGGGGATGTGGGGAATCCCTGGCTCCAGAGCCTGCTTAGATGCAGAGGAGCATTTAGAGGACACCAAGCCACAGTCACGGTCAATCACAGGACAGAGGCAGCAAGCACCGCTCCTCTCATCCCAACACCCTCCCATCTCCCAAATCCTCCTGGAGGTCTCACTAGTAGTTCAAGCCCCACCTCCTCCAGGAAGCATTCTGGAGCATCTCCCAGGATGGCTGCTTTCTCTAAGCCTCCTCCCTGTTAACACGTGGATGACTGACAGTCATGCACAGCGTTCTGGTTGCTTCTGGAGTCAAGGCACCATTGTGCAAGCTACAGCTCAGGCCCTCGAGAGCAGGGGCCACACCCTATACTTCCCGTATTCTCGGGCACAGCTTATGGCACAGGGTACAGCCCAACCAATCCCAGTAGGAGAACTGAACAGTGCTTCACTGCAGTGTCTGCTGTGATACACATTCAGGAGCGGGGCACTGCCTCCCGGCTGCTGGAAGTGCTGTGCAGACAGCCCTCAGCTGCCAACCCCTAGGACAACTGCTCTGGGCAAAGAGCGCAGCCCCGCCCAAGGTAACGCTCCCTTCCTTGGGCAGTCCCTGCCTGATGACCAACAGACATGGAGGTATCAAGGCCTGCCCCTTTACCCCATCTTGGGACAGCTCTTAAAGAGTCAGCCCAACTTCAGAACCTCCCCTACAGGCTCAGAACTCTCTAAGACTGCACTGCAGCCCAACTTCTCTCTGCTGATACCACTTCCTCTTTTGATCTTCTACCAGTATCAACACCAAAGGCATGCCTTTAAAAGCAGCTGCTGATAATCACTGTCCCAGAGCCTGCTTCCCAGGGAGCTCAGGCTAC
Source organism: Homo sapiens (assembly GCF_000001405.40). Taxonomy (NCBI): domain Eukaryota; kingdom Metazoa; phylum Chordata; class Mammalia; order Primates; family Hominidae; genus Homo; species Homo sapiens. Next base: position 48,715,707 of record NC_000018.10, on the reverse strand, counting down.
AACATCCATTCATTGCCTTAATGTGTTCATCTCTTAAATGCAGCCAGGGTGTGGTGGGGAGAGAAAATATCCTCCCCAGCGGTGAGGGACCTCACTCAGGGTCAACTTGGGCAGTGCGCCGGGTCTCCAGCCCTCTAGTGAGCTTGCTCTTCTGGTCTATGTGCTCTGGGCAGAAAGCTTTGAGAAAAGGGGGGGAACGAGCCTTAGCAGCCCCCGTTCCAAGCAACAGGTCTCCAACTTGCATGGGGCCAGAGCATCAGAAGGCATGCTGCTCTTTGAGGAACGCGTGGAACACTCATTTAGCACATTTATGTCACAAAATGCATAATTTTGTCTGAAATCAGCAAATGTCTTTTCTTAGCTTCCAAAAACAAACAAGTGGTTACTAGTTGTTCAAATGTCAAGAACATTCTTGAGGAAACCTTTGAACTGTCCATGAGCTTAATTTTTTTTTTTCAAAATGGAAAAAAGACATCCACAATTCACTAGACGCAGCCCATGGCATCAGGAGCAGAGTCTGCAGGTGACCACTCTGAAGGGGCCTCCTTCCCTGCTAGCCCAGGCTCTGCCCCCTCTGACAGTGTGGGTAGGGCTTTAAAAGTGGATCCAGGGGAAGGAACAATTGATCCTAGCGGCCCGCCCCTGGAGGGAATGCAGGGCAAGGCTTTCCGGGTTTGCTGCCACAATCACAGGACAAAAGCTCCCCGCTCACTGCAGACACCTGTGCTCCACACTTACCTTGAAAGCCTTCCTGAGCACCTAGGACCCCCTCTGACCTGCAGAGTGGGCCAACACTAAGACCGTGTTTCTAGGTGCTTTATTAGAATCAGCTCCTTTCAGCTCCCTGACTAGTGAACCCATTTTGTAGAAGAAGGGACAGGGCTTTCAAAAGTGATGTAATTGGCAAGATCATAGGGTGAGTGAGGAGAGGAGGTGGGATTCCCATCCAGCTCCTAATTCCAGGGCATGTCCCTAAACTGCTATATAATTCAGCTTGCTAACAGCCTCAGACTTAAACAAGTGGAAAATAAAAGCAGTAAGGCACACAAAAACCCCTGAGAGTGCAGCTGGAACTGGGATGGGACACAGACTTTGATGAAGCCTAGGACTTTAGGTCCCAGTCTGAAAATCCCTGCTCCAGGCTGTGGGAAATTGCATGCTCCTAGCTTCAGCAGCACGCTCATGCTGCCTGGAGTTTGCAGCTATCGGACACCAACTCCAGCCACTTTGCAGGAAGATGGAAAGCCACAGACTCCTCTCCATTCCAAGGAGAGCCACCAAGCCACCAGAGGGATACAGCTGGCCCCTTCCCTTCATATGGTGGGGGGAGATCAGAGGCATGGCACAGATGCTGGCTGTGCCCTTTGTCCACCAAATCTGATTCTGGTCACTTCTCCCTTTGCCACCATGCGTGCCCAGGAAATGCAAGCCCCTCCCAGTGTAGTTTAAGCCCAGAATATTAGGAAGGTGAACCTGCTGCACACAAGTATGGACTTCCAAGGTCAAATATGCAGGTTTGACACTTAGCAAGGCTACTACTATGGGTCATTAGCTGGGAAGGTTAGGGGTCACCTGATAATATTCTGCAGCGGCTCTTTGGGTGGCAGAATCCCACGATTTCCCAAAACAGACTCAGGAGACCCCTGCTTTTAGACAAAAAGGTCCTTAAACTATATGGCTGCCTGCTTTCCTCCTGAAAGTCCCCATCACCTGAGGACTCCACGACAGCTCCAGGCTGTGAGTGAGTAACGGATTCTACCGCATCTAGAAGAGGAATTAGAGCGGGGCGCCCCGACGAGCACACGCTCTGTGTTCAGGCATGGCTGCTGCTCTGACTTGCACAGTGTTGCCCCAAATGGTCAAGATGTTTGCTCCATAAGTCTGTCTTCGGTCTAGCTGAAAACTCTGTTCTTCCATCCAAGCTGACTTCCTCTAGTCTGGGTCCCTGTGGACATGGAGGCAGCGGCCCCTCATCTCTCCGTATAAATCTTTCATGAGTTTCACGGCACGATGTTCCTTCCCTCCGGCCTCCTCTTCCCTGGCCCCAGCCCTCCAGCACTCCTCACAGGACATACTTTCCACCCCTTTAATCATCTTTATTGCCTCACTTTGGACCCTGGCCCGTCCACATCCTTTGGGAGGTGTGCTGACCTAACCCGGACATTGGTGAATGTGAGCGCAGCTCAGCGGAAGCTCGGCTTCCCAGCCGTTGCATGCCGCGCTCCTCTTCCTACATCCCTGGGTCACGCTGCTGCTTTCCGGAGGCCTGCCACTGTCCAGGGTCTTCCTGCTGAGTGAGGTGACCTGGCCCAGAAATGGACATGCAGGCTGACCTGGATGCTGGGTGGCAGCCTGCCATTGCCTGGGCGCAGAGAGGTGGGGCAGAGGGTGACTTCTCATCAGGAAGCTCGGGGACTCTCCACACCTCCCAGACACACACTCTGGGTCTTCCCTGCCATCAGAGACTACAGGGCCAGAGGCAGAGGACATAAAGCCTTTGCTCTCTCTGACACCTCCCAGGCCCCTGTGAACCCTATTCCTCCTTGAGGGGTGCTGCCTCCTTCTTCCCTCTACCAGGAACCCAGAAACCAGGAATTTGCCTCTGTGATGCTGCACAGCAAAAAGGCAGCACACACGATGCGATAAACTGTACTCTGGTCAAGGCAGGAACAGGCCTGGGTCCACCTCTTCCTGCTCAGTGTTCCTTTTTGATGCCTGGTGCTTCTACAGAAAGTGTCTGGTGGTTCTGATTTCTAAGCCAGGACACTGCCTTCTTCCCAAGCTACTTATACATTTGCCATCCTCTGTGAATGTGTTCAGATCCACTTAATCCACCAGTGGATGACAAAGCAGTCTGGGCACCCAGGCCTACATCCACCCTGAGAGTTGCAGTCACCACCTAATAATCCCTATTCAGGGTGTGCATGCGTAGGGAAGGATCAGAGACCCTGGTCTCAGCCTAAGGAGGTGGCCAGCCAGCCTGAGCACAGGCGCCGCTAGGGTTCTGAGCAAGGCATGTCCACCGGCTGTTTCTTGGCCCTCAGAGAACATTCTCTGTTCATTAAAGGTAGAACCAAAAGCCGTCATCTTTATCTAAGAATATATTCCCTATAGAGGAACACCTCATTTTAATTCCTGAGGCATAAGCCTTTTTGTTCGTTCTTTTTTTGGTATTTCCATCCAGAAATAATTTATGCATGTTCAAGCAAAAAATATACTCTAACTCCCCCTTTTGCATAAATGACCACACATAAGAAACATTACTCTGCACCTGAATTTTTTCCACTTAAAATATATCTTGAAGATCTCCCCTTATAAGAAAGCCTTTTTGAAAATAAATGCACACATTCCCAGGATGCTCAATTTCAGCTGCATGTTCTTATCCAGGGCTACCTCATTGCCCCTTTCCTGGCCCCATTGTCACTCGGGAGTCTGAGCTCCACAGGAGATCTCGGTTTCTGCCTTAGTTTAAGTGGGTTCCCCCAGGAATTTGGGAGCAGTAGCATGTGCCATTGCTGATCTGTGTGTTGCCTGTGACAGCAGAGCCAGCACGCATGAGGGACAACCCCCAATGACCAGGGAGGAGGAAAACAGATACTCTTGCACTTGTGAGCTCCAGGAGCCTCCTGGAGGCCATGTCTCAAAACACACAGCCAGCCAGTCCTATTTTCTGAGGACCACTATTGTTGCTTTGAGGTCAGCGGAAACAGCATTTTTCCTCCTGAACTGCAAAGCCTGGTCACTGCCTGACCCCCAGGAAGAGGCAGTGGTGATGGTGGGCTCTCAGCCAAACGCCTGAAGGGAGCCAATCCCTAGGCCAACAAGAGAAGTGGAGCCGCCACTCTGCCCCTGGGGAATCCCCAGCCAGTAACCAACCCACGATGCCACCAACCCCATCTCATCAGGATCAGCTGGTGACTGGGAAAAGCGAAATGCAGGCCAAAGCTGACGTCGCTACAGATGGCAGAAGCAGGAAAGGAAAACCCAAAGCTCACGACGAAGTCTCTCCTACCTTCGATCATTTCTCCTCCTGCGGAACAGCTTCTTGGTGTGTGCGATCTCCACTTCATGGGGCATCGGGTGGTAGCCCTGTGTCATGGGGGGAGGAAGGGGGATCATTAGTAACTCCTGAAAGAGAGCAAAGCACCTCTGGGACTGCACTAAGTACACCAGCATCTAAGACAGAAAGACATCAAGAGTTTGGAGAGACTAGACTCTAACCACCAAATCCAGACTGAAAAAGGAAAAACAGTAGAGTCAATGAACTTCCTACCAGGCAGTGATGCTGGAATTACAGAATCAAAGAACAGTAGGGACAATGAGGACCTTAGAATCCATTATGTCCAAGTCCTTGAATTACAGATGAGACATTCAAATCTGGAAAGATGAACAAGCTGGTTCAAGGTTTTGCAGAAAATGAGCAACAGAGCTGGGGCCAGGTTCTGCAGCTCACTGGCTGTGCATCCCAGGACAAGTTACTTCTCTAAGCACAAGTTCCATAACACAATGGGAATGTTACCCTTCTTCTCTGGGCTGCTAGAGGACCAAGGAGGTGAAGCCTGAAAACCCTAAGCCCTGTGAAGAGGAAATTTGTCTCCTAAACCTAGTCCAGGCACCCCCAGTGAAATTTTTACCCAAGATCTTCTTTCCCTATATTGCCTAGGGAGTATTTAGGAAAACATGGAATTAGCTAAATTACTTTTTCAGCATTACTATCATCATTATTATTATTATTTGAGACAGGGTCTTGTTTTGTCATCCAGGCTGAAGAGCTGTGGTACAAACACGGCTCACTGCAGCCTTGACCTCCTGAGCTCAAGCAATCCTCCTTCCTCAGCCTCCCGTGTAGCCAGTATCATAGGCACACATCACCACGCCTGGCTTGTTTTTTGATTTTTTGCAGAGATGGGGTCTCACTTTGTTGCCCAGGCTCCTTTTTCAACTTTAAAGGAGGAACTGGGGAAAATTCTAAGGATAGTCTTTTGCGTATTGTCATCATGACAGCAACTATTTCTACATCTACATCAAGGTTGGAGAGAGACCCTCTATTTGCAACCCAGGGCAGATCCTGCAAATGCAGGATCACAGGCAGAGCTATTTGCACAAGCTGGGCTGATGGCCAGCTCTGCTCTTACCACCTCTTCCCATCCCTCCTCCAACAGAAAAGTGTGTTCTGGTGTGGACATGGCAGAGAGCACCACCATGCACTACCATTCCATTATGAGCGGCCTGGGGTGGAGTAGGGGGTACCAAGGCTTGGAGTCAAGTGGGAGGGAGTGGTCTGGCTTGGACCTGGGACACCTGGGTATAGGCCTGGATGCAGAGGCCATAGCCTGAGTGTGACTCCCACCCACCTGCAGCGACCTGAGCATGCGCTGGATGACAGGGAGCCACAGGGTCCAGGCTGCTGGAGAGCAGTCAGAGGGGGTCTATTCTGGCCCACTCCCCACCTTACAGGCAGGGAGCCCAAGGCCCAGAGTGGCCACACAGTGAGTTAGAGATCATAGTCCTGTGGGTTACACCCTGTGGTGGGGCACATGCAGCCCTCGGGATTCAGGTTCCATAAAGGAGGGTCCCACTGTTTTGCCTTCACGGGGCTCAGCCCCCAAGCTCATGGGGGAAACTGACCACCCTGGCTATGCTGGGACTGGCCAGTTTTGGGGAGCTTCCCAGAGAGGTAATGGGAGAACAACAGACTCAGGAGGACACAGGGACCTTGGAGTTATGGCCACTTGGCCTGGACTGGATTGAGTGCAGGGAGGGAGCAACACATTTCAAAATACATTTTAATAACAATCCTTTCCTCTCACCCCCGTCTCTCTTGCCTCCAACAATCTAGCCAAGAAAGCATGAATGAATTCCGGGCTCCAGGCAGCCACAATAGGCCTCTGGGGCCTTAGGATGTGCTTTGTTTAATGGTTTTCTCAAAGGATATTATTTGTTTTCTTTAATACAAAACACAAATAAGGAAAAACACCAAGTCTTCCCCTCTCGTTTCCCCTCTCCCACCCTGACTAGGCTCTGGGCTGGCCCCCTTCCCTCTTTCCCTCCCTCCCTGCCTCTCCAGGTCACTTCAGGAACACACCGGGTGTGCCCCAAGGAGACAATGGACAGGAAGCCGAGGCTCCCTACCGGCGGCGGCAGGGACTAGGATCTCGGCTCTGAGGCCGGGCAGAGGGAACTGGCCATAGCCCCTAGTGTAACACGAGCCCAGGGGGTGCCAGCCTCCTCGGTGTGGGCCTCCAGCCCTGGGCTCTAACCTACCTCCTGGCCTCCTTACCTGCACACAGGCAGCAGCCATGGGGAGCTAACCCTGTCCCAAGACTCAGTGTGGCTCAATGGGGCATACCGGGCCACTCGGGGCTTCTCATGAAGCCACTGTTAGGTCCCCTGTGTCCACCCATCCATCCATCCCAGAACAACTCACATCTATGTAGTGTATGTGTATAAACCATGACAGTGGTTAGAGGCCTGTGCTCTAGAGTTAGACTGTGAATGTCAGATCCTGGCTCTTCCTCTTGATGGCTGTGTGACTTTGAGCAGATGACCTAACCTCTATGTGCCTCAGTTTCCATATCTGTAAAATGGAGATAATAGCATCTGGCTGCTAGAATCCTTGTGAGGATTAAATGAGTTCCGAAACATGTAAAGAACATAGGATAATGCTTGGTACATAGTAAGCCTCATTGTCATCATCACTGTCATCGATGCCATCATCATCATCATCATCGTTATCTTTCCTGTGATCCTGACACTCTGCTCAGGGCTGAGTGTGCCAGGACAAACAAGGCAGCACAGGCACCTGTCCTCATGGAGCCCCCAGCCTTGGAAAAGAGTCCAGCAGGAAGTGATTTGCAGGGAGGGAGGGCATGGGAAGCTCAGGCCATGGAAGGAAGACAGAATCTGCACAGTGCCTGGTGGTCCAGGGTGGTGTGCTGGGGGAGGATGGAGAAGCTCTATTTTATGCTGTTTTTGGCCTGGGGCTGGAAGACTATAGTGAGGCGAAAAATGAGTGGAACAAAGTGACAGAGGTGACAGAACAAAGCCTTGCACCCTCTGAGGTCCTCCCTCTCCAGGAACAATCCAGGCCAGGGCTATAGAGGGCTGGTCCTATGTATAAGGCCACCTGGGGCCTCAGCCTCAATGTGGCATCTAGGTGGATAAGTGAATGGACCTTACTGCCTTCCCTGGGGCCTTTTACATAGAACTTCCAGCACCGGGAACCTCCTCCTGCATGCAATGGGGGGCACTGTGTTGACACAAGCTCCATTGAGAACCCCTCAAAATCAGCCATCTTGTTCTTCAAACTCAAGATGGTAGCTGGTACCAAGAGACACATACAACTCAGGGTGCTGCCTACACTCCTCCCAAAACAAGAACACTTGGGTGTTAACAGGGGGCAAGTGTGAGGCCAGCAGAAGAAAGGAGAAAGTCTGTACTGAGTCACAAACCTGTCACCAGATGTGCAGCTCATGCAGGTTGGCAGAGCTTCTTTAAAGTCATTGGTGAGAGGTAAGGTAATATGTGAGTGGTCTGGGCAGCATTGTTCATAAGAGCCAAAACATGGCAACAACCTAGTGCCCGTCCACTGATGACTGGATAAATAAATTATGGTACATATATACAGTGGAGTATTATATGGCCATAAAGAGGAAGGAAGTTCTGAGCCACACTACAACATGAATGAACTTTGAAAACATCATGTTCAGGGAAAGAAGCTAGTTACAAAGGACCACGGAGTGCATGATTTCAGTTTTTAAGAAACGTCCATAATAGGCATATCTGCAGAGATGGAAAGTGGATCCGTGGTTGCCAGGGGCTGGGAAGGGGAAGAATGAAGAATGACTGCTAAGGGATGCTGCGTTCCTTCTGTGGTGATAACAACGTTCCAGAATTAGACAGTAGTGATCGTTGCACAACCTTGTGAATACCCTAAAAACCACTAAGCTGTATACTATGAGAGGGTGAATATCATGGTATGTAAATTATATCTCAATTAAAAAGGTAAAAAGTATCTGGGGGTGGTGTATTCCAGGTAGAGGGAATGGCATGTGTTCAGAGGAAGAAAAAAAGGAGAATGAGGAAGAGGAGAAGGAGGAGGAGGAAGAAAGGAGAAGGAAGAGGAGGAGAAGGGAAAGAGGAAGAAGAAGAAGAAGAGGAGGACAAGGAAAAGAAGGAGGAGGAGAAGAAGAGAAGATCAATCAAAATGAAAAGTGCCCCCCACCAGTTAATCTCAAGGAAACAGCTGCCCTAAAACATTATCTGTTAAGATGCGGCTGGAAAAGGTGGCATGTCCAAGACAAGTGGCACCCAATGACAGGAAGGACCAATACGTTCCTGAAATCTGGAAAAAGTATAAGTTGTTGCTTCTGGTGGCCTGGCCAGGGGAGATAGTATTCTGGCTTTAGACCAAAGACCTCTCCTTGCTTTTTAAAAAGGATAGATCCCTTGAATGGTAAATGGGAAATGTATCCTTTAAAAGCACATACAGTGGACTTTGCTTTAATTCTTTGCTCAGCAAATCCTTCTACTATGTGCTTTGAAAGGGCCCCATGTAGACATCAGTCCAGGTATAAGTATCCCCTCCACCTCCTGCACTCCCCACATGAGAGAACCAGCCCTTGGGTTTCCCAGCTGGCTTTTTGGCTGTCTGGTCTACCTGAGTCAGATGTGCCTCTGTAGCACACTGGGACTACCCACCAGGCCCTGCCTGCTTTTCCCCAACCTCTCTGCATGAGAACCATTCTCCCCTGAGCTCTGAGACCTGGCTGCAGTTCCCTGTCTGTCTAACATCTGACCACTTCCGGTAACTAAATGGGCCTGAGAGACAAGTAGATTATATAAACCAAGCCTCTCCAGGGATGGAGGGAAGCTAATACTCCTTCCACATGCAGCGCCGGCAGAGTACACGTGGAACACACACGTGCACATACACTCCTGTCCTGAGGTCAGTGCTTGCAGAAGACATGACACTGAGGGGCGGCATGTTATTGCTCTGGTTGCAAAAACATGTTATGTAAAATCAGCCCACTCCAGGGCAGGCTGAGGCTGGTATCTCACAACCCAGTGTGGTGGGTATTTCTGAGGGATTAAGGGCAGGCCCAGCAGAGCTCTGGCCCCAGAACATGAGCCCCAGATAGTTAATAATCCTAGGCAGAGAGTGCGAGGCCTTGCCCTGTGATGACAGCCATAAAAAAATAATAATTCTTGAATCTGGGGGTGAGGGGATGGGGAGGGAGGGCAAAACAAACAGTGAGCAGAAAGCATTGTGCCGGGTGGCTCTGTGACCAGCTGACACTGTGATAGGAGTGACACACCTCCCCTAGGCAACAGGCTCCCAGCCACCCACCCGTCTATGCCTCCATCCACCCATCCCTCCATGCACCTGCAATCTCATAAATATTGTTGTTTCAGGCACTGTGGATACAATACTGAAATAGAAAGGCAATATGCTTGTTCTTACAGAGCACATATTCTAATGAAAGGAGAGAGGCAACAAAGTATATCATATGATAAAGGACTATGTTTTGCTATGGAGCAAAACACAACAGGGCAAGGGGATGAGAGAGGGACGGGTGGAGGGGTCAGGGAAGACCTCTCTGTTCAGGTAACACTTGACGTCCATCTACCTACCCATGCCCCCATCCATCCACCCTTGTCTCTCTCTCACTCGACAAATGTAGGGGGCCCGCCATGCAACAGTGCACCTGATGGAGAATATCAGGAGAATAAGACTCTGTCCCAGGCCTAGGGGAACTCAAGGGAACACAAACAAAGAAGCTGATATGTGCCATGTGCGATAGTTGAAGTTGAACGGGCGCCTCTGGCGGCCCATAGGAAGGACCGAGGACTTCTTGGGAGAAGAGTCAGGGAAGGTTCTGCCAGGTGGGTGATAGTTGAGTGGAGCTCTAAGGCATTTGACAAGGCACAAGAGAGGAGAAGAGGGCATGCCACAACCTCAACCCGGCAGGCCGATGGCAGCAGCATCATGGGCTGAGTGCCGGGAGTTGGGCTGGGCCCCTGGGCAGAGGTGAAGCCCTGGCATTCCGAGGACCGTTGCTGGTGATGCTGACCACAGTGTGACCCCATCTGTAAAGTCCTGGTGTGATCCCATCTGTAAAGTCCTCCTCACCCTCCGCAGGAGGTAGAATTGTGTTCCCCAGAAAGACTGGTTGGAGTCCTAACCCCGTGCACCTGTGAACGTGACTTTATTTGAAAATAGAATCTTTGAAGATATAATCAAGTTATGATGAAGTAAGTCCTGTGGGATTTAGTTGGGCCCTAAATCCAACGATGGGTGTCCTTATAGGAGAAGTAAACTTGAACACAGAAAGATGGAGGAGACACAGAGGGATGAAGGCCATGTGAAGACGGAGGCAGTGTTTGGAGTGAGGCAGACACAAGCCCAGGAGTGCCAAGGATTGCTGGCAGCCACGGGAAGCTGGGAAGAAGTGCAGAAGGCTCCTCCCCTAGAGCCTTGGAAGAAGGAGCGCAGCCCGGCCAACACCTCTAGACTGTGAGATGATGCACTGCTGTTGCCGTCAGCAATGGGTCAGGCTGTGCCCGTGGACACCCATTACCCCACCCTCCCTGAAGGATGAACCTGCTTCCCTGGAGACCACAGTGGAGTTACCAGTTGTCCAGCATAGACCAATTCCTTCAGAGGCTGGAAAAGGCTCTTGTCTCCACCACTGCCTGCCAGCCGAGGTGGTCAGCATGCACTTAGGGGCCTCTGGTGTAAAAGTTGTTGTCTCTACCCAGTCCTCACATGGGGCCGAGATGTGCCCACCCTGAGGGGCCTGTGCCTCTCTCCCATGCTTCCTCCTTCCCCAACCAAGGGTCCTCTGGATGATGTCATGGGTTGAAGTGTGATCTCCAAATTCTTACGCTGAAGTCTTAACCCCTGGTTCCTCTGAATGGCCTGATTGGGAAAGAGGGCTACTGCAGGTGTAATTAAGTTAGGATGAGGACACATTGGAATGTGCATGTGTGGGGCCCCGGTCCGATATGACTGATGTCCTTGTAAAAACAAGGCCGCGTGAGGACTGGGGGGACACTGCAAGAAGCTGAGGGGCTACTAGAAGCTGGAAGGGAGCGATGGTCCTTCCCTAGCATCTTAGGGCGGGTGTGGCCCTGCCGACACCTTGATGTGGGAATTCTGCTTTCAGAACAGTGAGCCAAGAAGTTTCCGTTCTAAGTCACCCAGTTTGCGGTCCTTTGTTATGGCGGCCCCGGGAAACTAACCCAGGTGGAGTGGTGGGCAAAATCACCCAGGCTGGGAGGGATATTTTTCTGAGTATATTTCCTTTGCCAAATTTTGAATTTGAATTTGAGATTTGAATTTGTATATGTTGAATGCTCACCAGGTAATTCCACTGTATATCCAGCCCATTTTTATGGAAGAGGAAGAGAAGGCTTAGTGAGGTCAAAGAAGTTGCCCACAGAGGCCCAACCAGTTAGCAGGAAGCCTGTGTCTTCCATCTCTGAGGCACATGGTCCCAATGGTGATGTGACATGGCCTACGGTACCAGGGCAGAGATGGGAGGCCAACCCCCCAGGAGCATCAGAGAGCTCTCTCCCACCCTACCATAGACCCCGTGGTGCTCCGCCATGCTCCCCAGGCCTCTAGAAGCAAGAGGGAGTGGACAAGAGCAAGTCCCTCCCTCATTTCTGTACTCAGAGACAGGCAGTCCCTCCCAGTGACCACTACGCTTCCCCCCAGGCCCAGAAGTGGGAGAGCTGGCGTCTGGCAGGCACTGGTTCAGACAGCCTCCTGTGTCTGCCTGGCATATCCTTGCTGTAACCCCAGAGATGACCCTGGCCACAGCCCTTTTGGCAGGCTCACCTGCTCGCCTCCCTTCTCCTCTCCAGAAAGGGGTATTCCTGGCCACCAAGCCCACCCTGCCCTTCACTCCACAGGCTGGAGTGGTGGTGGTGGTGGTGGAGGGGGAGTCCCCGGGCTGCTGCCCCTGCCCCAATGAGGTTTTGAAGTGCCCCGCAGAGCTCAATTCCATGGCCTGCACTTTCATAGAATCCAATGCCCACTTAACCTTCAAGGAAAATCTTCCTGACAGTCTCATGATCTTTGACCTCTGACCCCTGACCACGAACCTAGGTCTGATAGAAATCATCCAAGCCTAACTATCTCTAGGTCTATTATCTCTCTCTCTCCCATACAGCAGCTTTTTGAAAAGGAAGAAAGCATTATACAGACACAAGAAAGTCTTCCTCCTGCTTTGTTAAAAACAACTACACTAAATGCTTGTCTTTGCAAGGAAGTGGTGCAGCCGTGCAGTGGTGGGGATCCTAGCCCAGGCCAGGGAAGGGGTGGGAGGTCCCAGGCAGGAGGTGGCCACACCGGGCTCCTCACCAGGCACACCTTGCAGCTCCAACCCTGCTCCCTCCCAGCTGATCACCTGTCTGCCCCCACAGTGCCTGGATATCCACTCTGCCCTGGCCTCTTGGAAGCTACAGTCCCCCTCTTCTTCACAAGCTTCTATATTGATTACATCAGGTTTCTGTCACTCCCTGGGCATACCCAGAGAGCATGAGCCCCATGGAGGTAGGGCAGATCCTCAGGCCAAGTCCAGACCCTGCTAGCTCAGGACTTGCAGACTCCCATCATCTCTAGCCCCAACCTGGGTAGACATCCCAAGGGGTGAACAATACAAAGGAACCACAGCACTTGATTAAAGGACCATAAAAATCCCAAGCACAGCTCCTCTGACAATAAGCTTGTCTTAACAGCAGAGGCTTCCTCCTGCTGGGGGTCATGGTTTTTCATGTTTTTTTTTTTCTAAGAAGTTATCCTACCAAGGTCTCTCTCCACGTGGGCAGGATGTGTGGGTCACGTCCAAGCAGAAATAAATAGGTAATGTTTCTAAAATTCCTGGAATCTCTAGGCTGCACAGCTATTCAGAGAAGTTGACCTGATTCAGAAAGGAAAGTCGGGGGTGGGCAGGCTCACCCATGCTTAAATTTGTGGTTTTCTAACTTTTAATTTATTATTTTTTAATCAGCAGAGATCCTTTTAAAAACAATACCTTAGCTGAAGTTCTAATATAAAATCATAGACAATAAAAGTAAACATGGAATTTCTGGAAGCTGCCGCTGAGCCCTGGCACCCCACACATCCTGCCTCCACCTGCCACACATTGGTGCCCTGTGGCGTGAACCTAAAACTCTACCCATTCTGAAAAGCTCTGCTCTCAATACTATCCCAGAGGCTAGCTACACAATGAGCTAGACATTTTTCTAGAAGAAGGGCTTCACTCAGGAACCCCGGACAGGTTTCAGTGGATTCCACGACCCCCTTAAAAGTGCACGTGAATATTTTGCGCAGGGTAGCCTTGTGGGTGAGAGCCTATGACATGCACCCTATATCCAGATGGTTTTCATCTGCACAGCACTGCGGTTCCAGAGGCTGGGTCGCTGGAATGGGCAAGACTTCCTTGGATGCTCCAAGGGAATAACCACCCCTCTCTCCCTTTTCCTTCCAACAGGGTTTCTTATTGTAACAGTCTAAAGAGTCCTGAATAATAAACTGCACACACCCTTTGGGTGACCCGGATCCTAGCTGTCGCTAAGCCTGGATCACCATGGACCATTCTTTTAATATCCCATTCTGCCCTCTCCTCTCTCTTGTGTAAAATGAGGATGAAAATATTTGCTCTTCCTACCTCCTTTGCCACACTATTAAGACTTTCTTTGATTTCATGAGCCAACAAATTCTTTTTACGTTTAAAATACTTTGAGTTGGGTTTCTGTCGCTTGCAACCAAAAAAGTCCTAAATAATTTAACATGATACAACTTTAGGAGTCAGTGGGGCTGATCTTATTATATCCAGGAAGTCATGGAAAGCAGACATGGCCCCTCCCTTATTGCCCTCCACGGGTAGCCATGTCAGGAGGAATCTACCAGGCAATGTCAAATACAAATGACATTTACTTATTAATTTCTGAATAAACAGATAAAATAGGTGAGGACACTGATGCAAAGAACAGGGACTAGGGACCAACAGGGAAGTGTTAGAAGATTGTTTCTACATTATAGAGGGTAAAATGTACAGGAAACAATTAGTAAAATGCCACTTCTTCAACTACCATTGTCAGGCTTCCATTCTGCAGCCAGCACAGTGCACTGAAGGGAGTGCACTGTGTGCACTGGGGGCTGGGGGACGGAGGCACTGGAGGATGACTGTGACTCTCTGTGTCGAAGACCAAATGGGACCAAAAGGCTACGGGCCTTCTCCAGGTCATGAACCCAGGAAAGACTTGAACACAGGCCACTTAGGCTCATGGTGTTCATGCTGCTCATTGACACGGGACACGCACAAGAGAATGGAACTGGAGTGGACTGACATGCTCCATTCCCTGGATAATGGATATCTATTAAGGGTCCTGGACACACTTCTGAACTGAAAATGGCAATGCCTTCAAGCTGCTGCAGACCAGGGGCAGAAAGACGCCCAAGAAATGTGAGAGGTACAAAGGGCCATGAGGAATGAGAGTTTCCATTCTGCAGCCCCTGAAAAAACCACCTGGGCATGATGAGACACATATGGCCTGTGTCCTGGCCCCTCATGAAGTGGTGTGTCTATGGCACAGATAAGACCCAGAGCCTCAAGAACTCTAGAGAGCAAGCTCAAGAGAAGGCAAAGCAATGTTTGCGTTCTGGCCTCTAAGGGGGAAATGACAACTGTTGAGAAGTGGGCAACATTGTGAAGAGTTTTATGTACTTGAGGAGGTTCAAAGACCATCATAGAACTGAAGCATCAACCAACTCTAGAAGAGGAGTGATGCTCAACAAACCCTCAGAGGATGCCCACGGTGCCCTGTGAGCATGCTGTGTGCACAGACACAGGAAAACAAGACTCCACCTCTGTCTCCAAGAGGGGCATGGGCCCTGGGGAAGAGGGACACGCAAATTGAGTGGAGTCACAATGGAAGAACATCCAAGGTCCAAGGAGCTGTGGAGGAAGGGATGCCTGAGGTCACCCTTCGAAGTGAACAGAGGCTCTGAGGTTAGAGTGAGAGAGGCACGGCCCACGCTTGAGGGGCTCTGCTCTGCTTCTTCTGAGCACACTCTGCTGCAGCTCATTATACAAACTAGCAGTAGTCACGTTCGCACAGGGCAGGGGCATCTGTGGGTAGCAGGGAGGGAGCCCCTGCCTAAACCACCTGCGCAGCCATGCTAAGATTCTGAGGTGTACCCCGCTGTGCCGGGGGGAAGCCTCCAAGGCCTCACATGAATGAACAGGTTCATCACTGTCCTGCTGTCTGCCCTGGTAGGTCACAGCTGGCTGGAGAGGCCACAGGCATGTGTATTAGCCTGTTCTCACACTGCTAATAGGGACATACTTGAGACTGGGTAATTTATAAAGGAAAGAGGTTTAATGGACTCACAGTTCCACATGGCTGGGGAGGCCTCACAATTATGGCAGAAGGCAAAGGACGAACAAAGTCACATCTTACATGGTAGCAGAAAGAGAGCATGTACAGGGGAACTCCCCTTTATAAAACCATCACATCTCATGAAACTTACTCACTACCATGAGAACAGCATGGAGGAAACCATCTCCCTTCAATTATCCCCACCTGGCCCAGCCCTTGACACGTGGCAATTATTATAATTCAAAGTGAAATCTGGGTGGGGACACAGCCAAGCCATATCAGCATGGATAAGGAGGCCACAGTGAAGGCGAGAGCAGCAGGACCTGCCTCTCAGTATCTGCCGAGCCAGTGTGGAGTGTGCTCACGTGGAATTGGAGAGCTGGGGGACTGCAGCAATGCAGATCCAGGTGCCCTGAGCAGAGATCAGGCATCAAACGTTTTGGCTAGATGCTGTCACTGCCACTTACCGCAGGAGCTGGCAGCAATGCCTACCTTATTTAAGCTTCTAGTTTTCTCACCTAAAAAATGGTGGTAATAAAGAAGCATACGCATATCAGAGGACCGTTACGAGGGTTAAATGAGATGACTGGGCATGAATGGCATGTCGACAGCCCAGCTCAAGAATGCCCCGCTGCATGTGGAGACCCCTGGGCTAGGAAGGCCTCCAACCTGAGGCTTCGTAAGCACTTGCGTCTGTGGTCTTTGTGCACCTGCTGGGAAGCAGCCGCCCAAACCCCAAAACCATCCTAGAATGTGGTCATACCTGTGTTAATCAACTAACCACCTGCTAAGCTCCCAGGCCGTGTCCAGGACACTCTTGGGCCAAAGCAGTCCCTGCAACCTCAGCTTCCTCCACACAGACCTGCACCACCCGGCTCCAGCCCCAGCCCCAGCCCCAGCCCCAGCCCCAGCCCCAGCCCCATGCTGGCACTTCCCAATCCCTCCCCTCATCTCATCACAGGACTCTGGGCAAGGCAGAGAGCTAGAAGAGGGGAAGCTGCAAGGAGGCTCTGAAGAGCCAGGGAGGGGCCTGTCTCCCAGAGGACCAGCCAGTCTGTGAACCTGCTCAAGGGCAGAATGTTACTCAAAGGCCCTGAAGATTTCAGGCCTCGGCAGCCAAGAAACTCGACTGAGACACTGGGTCTGACTAGCCTGCTGGGGCCGTCGGGCACCAGGAGGCTCGGGGGTATCTAAGAAGCTAGCCACAGCACAGATAAGAAGAGTGGGGAAGAGAGGACCTCTCTCCTCAGGTCTGACCGAGAACCAGCAGGGGCAGCTCAGCCTTGGTGCTGGAGGGACAGAGGGTTGAAACGTGGGTCCTCGTCCAGGAAGCCAATCCGTGGTTTCATTCATTCAGGCAACACATTTCTGCTGAGGCTTATGTGGTGCCAGCGGCTGTACTAGGTGCTGGGGATGCCACAGTGACCTAGGCCACAGAGAGGAACTTCCACTCTACCAAGGGGAAATGACAGTCCCCAGCCTGCAGCTAAAAACACCAAGGTCATTCAAACAGAAACAAGTGTGCTCAAAACCAAACCAAACCATAGGAAGGGGATAATGCTTTAGATTAGGGCATCAGAAGAGTCCTCCCTAAGAAAGGGACAGGTGAGCCAGACCAGAATGACCAGGTTGAAAAGATCGGGAAAGATTCAAGGCTGAGAGAAAACAAATAGGGTATTCCTATTCTGTTTAGTCTTTAATATGTGAAGCTTAGAGTTTCTTTAAATAAAGTCGTAGACCTAAATTAGTGGTGCCCAACATTTCAAATTTCATAAACCAGTAAATTTAAAAATGGAGAATTGGGCTGTACACAGTGGCTCATGCCTGTAATCCCAGCACTTTGGGAGGCCGAGGTAGGAGAATCACTGGAACCCAGGAGTTCGAGACCAGCCGGGGCAACACAAGGAGACTCAGTCTCTGAAAATAAGATAAATACATAGTTGCCTCCCCAGGATGGAAGCGAGTCCCATGCCAGCTGCTGGGCCCTCCTAGCTTGGCATGCAGCCGGGGCATCTCCTGCGACAGGTTCCAGGAGGGCAGCCCCTGCAGCTGAATCACCCAGCTGCCCAGCAGCAGAGGCCAGGAAAGCAGCATTTTGTCATTTTCTCCTTGTGTACTTGGTGTTCCCTTCAAGTGCTCCCTTCATCCATAGGGTTTTCAGAGGGGAGTTTGCTTTTTTTTTTTTTTTTTTTTTTTTTTTTTTTTTTTTTAATGATGGCTACATTTTCCACTGAGTTGACTTTCAGGAGGGAGGAGTAGAGAGTTGCCCTGCAGTGCCACATGGTTCCTGGCTCTGGTCATACCCCACGCTTGACCTGGAAGGCCAGAGTGCATGAGCCAGGCTCAGGGGATCAGATCCTGTGCTTCAGGACTGCAGGACTGCAGGGCTGGGGTGATGGACTCAAGGGCTAGGATGCAACGGCAGGATCACTATTTCTGGCTGCATCACAGCCTCCCAACAGTGGAGGTGCTTTCTGGCTTATCAGGAGGAGGTGATCCCTTAGATTCTCACTACCCCCTCACATGTCATCTCTCAGGAGAAGCCCATCCAGAGGAAAAGCTTCAGCAAATGGATTGCTCCCCAATCCCCTCTGGCCTTGAGAACCACTTTAAACTTCTATTTACAGCAATGCAGCAGAAGGAGCACTGGGCTGGGGGCCAGGATACCCGGGTTCCTGCCCTGGCATTTGGAGTTAGACTGGAGAATGGTCAGCCACTGATCTTTAAGGACCATCTGGGCCTCCCTTTCCCTGTGCACCTGCCATGCCATCCCTGAACACACACTCCTCCTTCCAGGCTTTGTCTTCAGCCTGGAACATCTTCCCACTTCTGTTTACCCCTAAAATTCTGTCAGCTTTTACCATTAGCACAAATGCCCCTGCCATGCAAAGCTGATCCCAGTTCCCATGAGAAGGAATCCATCTGGTCACACAGCACACTGGACAAACTTCCTAGTACTCCATCCTGCTGTCTGAATGGTCTAGATAGTTACTTAAATGCTTGCCTCCCCAAACAAGCTACAAACTTTCAGGAGCTCAGGAGCCATGCTTCCTTCACTTCTGTAGGCCCCACAGTGTCTGGCACAGTGCCTTAGATACCATGAGCCTCCATAATTGTTTGTTGTATAAAAAGTTAAGATGACCACTGTCCTGACAGGCCAGAGTTGGGCCATTCTTACTGGATCCACTGTGGACCAAGAGCATTCATTGGTGGCCCAGAGGCCCAGGGGTCTGTGGCCTTTAACTAGGCAATATCTCTTGCTCTGCAAGAGGCCAGGATCCTTGATGTCCTCTAACCATAAGGCTCAGTGCTTAGTGATTGCTAGCTCTCCTTCAGTTAAAGGGAAAAGGTAACAAAGACCTGGGTCCCCCAGGACTCAGTGAAACTGTAAGCTCTCCGAGGACAAAGGTGGCCATTCACTGGCTGCATGGTGACAACACACCACAGATGCTTAGGCCCACTACTTAGCTCCACAGGCCCCCTGTGTGTAACAAGTGTCTCACTTCTGAGACAGCAAGGCAGCAGGTACATTGGCCAGGCACCCATGCTGCTCATTTATCCTCTCTAAGCTTCAGTTTCCTCTGCCTGAAAATGGAGAGACTAATACCTACCTTTCGTTGTAGGAATTAAATGAGATGCTGAAAACCAAAGGAGATGACAGATAGAAACACACCTGGCCAGTTCTGGATTACATGTTTGCTGAACCCAAATGGGAAATGCTCAAGCCAGATCAGCTTGCAAAGAGAAGGGTCCAAGTGGACCCTAGGTCCCGAGAGCTCAAGCCAGACAGACTAAGAGCGGTGTCGGTACCCATAAAGAGAGCAATATGTCTGGCGGGGGTCACACAAAGTAACACAGGCCGGGACGGTGAGACCAGGAGTTCCACCCTGCGATGGATGGGCAGCAGGGTCCAAGGAGGTAGGCCAGCCCAAACTGTGACCCCAGTCAGCACCAACAGGGGGGTCCCATCCAATGGCCTCTACTGGGTTATAGAAGACACAGGCTCGCTGCCCTAGATTTGTGCTGTCTACTGATGTGAAAGGGCTGGAGGTGAAAGTAAACTCTGGATCACAGCTGGGCCCATAGCCTAGGCAAAGACTAGGGGACTCCAGGGACTCCTAAGCCCCCCGCCCCATGCCAGAGCCCTAAGCTTCACCTCCAGAATTGCATCTTACACGTTGCAGATGCTAATGAGACTGACAGCTGGGGAAGAAGTGGAGAGGGGGAATATCTGTGGGAGGCGGCTTGGGCCTTTGCACGAAACCTGCCAGATCTGTGACACTCCTTGGCTGTTTTCAAAAGGTTCTACTAGCTCCTCCTAGGATACCTCAGAGTGGCAAGAACATAAAGAAAAAGGAGACAGCAAGACCAGGCTTGGGCATCTTTGAGCCGAGTCACATGCGGAGGAGACAGCCCAACAATGGCAGGAAGTTCCCTGCGAACTCTTTCCTTCCCCTCCAGTCCTGCCCGATAAATACGCGCTCTTCTCCTGACTGAGCAATGCCAGTTTCCTGGAAGGTGTTCAGAAAGTCTCCTCGCCATAGAAGGAGCCAAATGATGTCTACATGGATTATGAGCTATCATAATGATAGCAACGGGCTGTAATGTATGGAGGCAGGCACTGAGTGAAAAGTTTCTGATACAGTAACTAATTTAAACCTCACAATAGCCCTGAGATATAGGTACTACGATTATCTATTCTCTACAAATGAGGAAAAGGAGGGCTGGATAGACTAAACAGCATGTCTAAAGAAATGCAGCAAGTAAGCAATGGAACTAGGGTGGCACCTCAGTTCTCTAACATCAAAGCCTATTCCCATGAGGCTCAGGATTGAACCGTAGCGGAATGCTCATAAGAGCATCAGTCATGAGACCCAGCACTGACGGCAGCGAGTGCCCATCCAGAAGTGTGTGCGTGGGTTCCCTTTCTCTGGCAATAGACCCCCAGATCCCATTATAATGACTCTGCACAGCAATGTCACATAGCAGGTACTCAACAAATGCTGATTGATGGAGTGAACAAATGAATGAATGAATAATGAATGTGGCTTTAAACAAGCTACAGAAAGGGTTAGCCCCAATTGTGGTGGGCACTCGCTCTGTAAACAATTCCAGCACTGAATGCATACATTTACAAGGTTGCTGTAACTGGGTTGTGCCAGAGCACCTCACTTCTTCCCTCTCCCTTCTTCCAAATTCTGTGCTGTGCTTCCAAAATAGCTGTGCTGCTTCATGTGAATCTGATCAGTACCAGAAGAAGATAATAGATCTCCCTGACAAGTGTGTGGTCAAAAATTTAAAAAGCATGAGGAACTTGCAGAAATGACAAAGGATAAGGTCTTACAGAGGTTTCCAATTAGGAAGAAAGATTAGATGGACAAAGATGAGTTCCTAAAAAGCTGCTTGCATGCAGAAAAATCTCTGTGTGGAACTGTATTTTAAGCATACTAGGAAATTGTAAGTCCTGTTCCAAATATCTTTAGTAAATTAGACAATCGACTCCAACTTGTTAATTTTACAAGAGAATCCAGATGCTTTAAGGAGACTGGTTGTACCATTCTCTCTGACTATAGTGAAATTTATCATTTCAGAAATTCAATTACTTGTTCCATTCCCAGAAAGCAGTGCTAAGCTTTTGTTGTGTGGATGCACGGCATTAAAGAGTCTGCACCACATAAAAAGGTCTTTATGGGTTGTCTTAAATTGGGCAGCCATTGGTTCTGGCCAGCAGGCTCACTAAGCAATAGTGGCCCTGCTGACGTAGTTGGTATCTCATTCCCACCATGGCTCTGTAGCAGACAGTGATCTGACCTACTTTCAGGGGCACAGCGGTGGCTCAAGAAGGAATGGCGGAGAATTTGAGAACCTGGACTCAGGATATTGAAGCTCAGTCTTTAGGCGCTTCCTGGCCATCCTCCACTGCCAGGGTTCCTGTGGCTCTGACTGAGGGCAGCTCTCATCCCCTCCCTGCTCTCTGTCTCCAGAGCCTCTGCCTCCTGCAGCCCTCCTCACCTGAATCCATTGTCCTTGGGCAGGAATAGCGTCCATTCCTAGCCAGAGTGTCTAACTTCTTACATCTACTAGGTTTTGATATGGGGCTTCCCAAGCCCCCGACTCACAGCCTGCAGAGAAAACAGTAACATCTGCCGGGCACCCTAGGGCAACCAAAGAGAGTCTTTGGGACCAGAGGGTGGGAGCAGCAGCACCTGCCACCCCAACAGCTGAGTGAGGGAAGCCAACCAGGACTTATTGTCAGCACAGCCACCAGGACACTGCTCTGTTTTAAGAGCAACTAAAAATTTACACAAAGTCCAAAATGTGGTTTTAAAAATTCCCCGCATAGGCACCAACGCATAAACTGCAGTTAGGGAGTCTATGCAGGGTCAACCCTCTAGAGCAGGGATCAGCAGATTTCCTGTAAAGAGTCAAATACTAAATATTTTAGGCTTTGCAGGCCATAAGGTCTTTGTCACAATGACTCAGCTCTGCAGCTGTATGGCAAAAACAGCTACAGAAGTGTGGCTGTGTTCCAATAAAGCTTTATTTATAAAAACCAATGGAGGGCTGGACTTGGCGCGTGGATCATGGCCGATAGACCCTTGCACTGGAGACATGTTGGAGACCTGGCGCATTTGGCAGCAGTGTCTTCCCTCTCTGGGCCCTTCTCTCTACTGGGTGCTGGTTTTCTGCCTTGGATAGGTACCCAGCCTTCTCACACTCTCTCCCCACTCCTTCATAGAAGGACCTGACAAATTCAGTCCACCTGAGATGAGGATAAAGGGGTTACATTTACCTGAGGTTGGTGGCTCTCAGCCCTGGTTGCTCAGTGACAGCCCCTGGGGACATTTAAAACATCTCGATGCCCAGGTCCCACTCCAGAGACTCTCATGCATTTGGTCTGGGTGCAGCCTGGGCATCAAAGATGTTAAAAGCTCCCCAGGCGAGTCTACAACGTGGTCGAGAACCACTGCCTCAGACTAAAAGGAGAAAAAGTGAGTATTTTTAGAACAAGCAGGCCAGAGAGGTAGAATTTCTTTTTCCTCTTGTGGGTGGGAAAGGGCCAAAAACATGCCCAGAGCCCTTGGAGCCTGCCACACAGGACAGCCTGGGCCACCCTCCGCTGATGCTGGCACCGGGTAGATTTCACCATGGTCTGCCAAGATCCATTTTTATTTCCCTCTTGATATCTAGTACATTTCTCTGTGGCAACACATATATGCTCATTAACACCGATTCATCATCAGAAAAGCACGTAAGGGCCTAATATCTAATCAGTTGGTTCATCTATCAATGCTCAAAACAAAATGTTGACCAAGTCCTGCCTTAGAGAGGGCTGTAGTCTATCAAGGTCGAGACAAGGTAAGCACAGATGAAATAATAATAGGCTTAGCCATATTCACTTTATGCAATAAGGCAGTGGTTCCCACACTGCACAGTATAATGACCTGAGGAGATTTTAAAATCCCAATGCCTGGGTCAAGCTCCATGCTAAAAACATCAGAGTGTCTAGGGATGGAAGACTAGCACCAGTCTCTTTCAACCCACCCCTCCACAGGAGCCCATTGTGCAGCAAAATGTGGGAACCATTGTTGTAGGGTTCCGCTACTCAAAGTGTGGTCTGAGGACCAGCCGCGTTGGTCTCACCTGGGAGCTGGCTGGAGATGCAGAAGTTCAGGCCTACCCTAGTCCTCCTGAATCAGAAGCTGCATGTTCACCAGATCTGCATGCTATTCATATGCACGCTAAAGTTTGAGAAGTAATGAGGCAGGGTACCATGTTCTGAGAAAGCAAAGATTCTAGAATGTCCCAGCAGAATGGTTAGGAAACACTTCTTACAAAGAGGGGGAAGTGAGAGAGATTTTGATGGATGGGAGAATTAGAGGCAGAGAGGTGGAGAGGACAAGATCCAGGCAAGAAGGAAACTGATCTTCGTGTATGGTGAGCCAGAAATAGGAGTAAGGGTGGTTTTTTTTTTTTGTTTTTTGTTTTTTGTTTTGTTTTTGTTTTTGTTTTTTTGTGGCCCATGAACACCCAGAGTGGCCCTTGGGCACAATCCCTTTGTTTCCAGACCTCCAGAAGTCAAGTGGATTCCCAGTTGAGTTGAGCAAGGGTTTTTTGTTTTGTTTTACAAAGATAAAAACTTAAGTCTCATTTAGTGAGACAATTAACAAGCTCAGGTTTTTGAAAAGGATAAAATCTGAGGTCAGGAGTTTGAGACCAACCTGGCCAACATGGCAAAACCCCATCTCTACTAAAAGATATACAAATTAGCTGGGCATGGTGGCACACGCCTGTAATCCAGCTACTCGGGAGGCTGAAGCACAAGAATTGCTTGAACCCGGGAGACAGACGTTGCCGTGAGCCGAAATCACACCACTGTGCTCTAGCCTGGGTGACAGAGTGAGACTCTGTCTCAAAAAGAAGAAAAGGATAAAATGGCAGGTAAATAGGATTGTCCTGGAATACCTGGGGCAGCAAGTGAGGGGCGGTGGAGGATAAGAATAGATGAGGGAGTGAAGAAACATTCCAGGGCTTCAGATCTGTCTCAGGCCAGGGGAGAGCTGGTGTCACCACTTGGGTCTGGGAGGGAGAGGGAAAGGGGAGACAGGAGTGAGCAAAGATGCTTGGACAATTTCTTTGAGGAGGACAGACTCACAAGAGAAGGAGTGGGGAGACAGGAAGACCAGACAAGGACTGGGGACATGAGCACCTGTTCCCAGCTAGAGAAAGGAAGAAGGAAAGACCTTTTAGGAGAGGACTGATTCTATCTGGTGCAGGTGGCAAAGAGTCACTGAGCATTGGGAGGCCTCGAATCTGGAACACTGGGCTGTGTGACTGACTGGAGGGAAATCTAGAATCTCAAGTGTATTCTAACAAACTATTTTGGTAACGACCCCTACAAAGTTATGTATGGGAAAATACAAAGCCCTTCAGCAAATATGTCTCCCAAAGGGAGGGAGAGAGGAAGAGTAAGCTATACACAGGCCCTGGAATTGTCTTCGGCACCAGAGGGCCACGAACACCCAGAGTGGCCCTTGGGCACAATCCCTTTGTTTCTAGACGTCTGGAAGTCAAGTGGATTCCCAGTTGAGTTGGAAATGCCGGGAGACTTTTCCCATACTACAGTGGACTGAAACAATGCCGGCAGAGTGGACGTTACAATTGTTTCCACTGAAGTTATTTTGGGGGAGTTTAGGAAGATTGTCTATTCCAAGACATTTCCTTCACCCGATTCCCTTTATAAAAATACCGAAGGAAGAAGCCTGTGTTGCAGCCACTCTGTCTGCCCTGCTCACAGGCACGTGCACCATGCTCGTGGTGAGTGGCTCCCAGTGGGCCCCAGGAGCTGCCGTGTGCAATACCTATTTACTGCTGCCCTCTCAGAAGCCCTTAGATTTGACTGGCACCTCACTGTTTTCAAAGAAGTTTCTCCATTATTGTCTTGCTTGATTCTCACTACAGCCTTCTGAGATGGTGGTTTGCAGGGAGGAGGTTTTATTATCTCCATCCTAGATAGGAGGAAATGGGGAAGTAAAGGTGCTTGGTCAAGTCCATGCAGCTTGGAAGAGGTGGAGCGGGGCAGGCTCCTGTGTTCCGGCTCTGGGAGGATGCCTTCTGGGTCCTGTGCGTGTTGCAGGGTGCGCCAGGGCTGCTGAGAGAGTGTTCCTTAAGTGTTTGTGGACTACTTTCCACAGCCAATCCCCGAGCCAGGTCATGATGGATCAGCCAGGAGAAGACAGACCTGGCCCTTCTGTACTCAGGGCTCCACAGCTAGTCCAGTGTGCTGTTACATGGGGTGCAAGATAGGGAAAATGTGGGATGCAGGGTTGGAAGGAAATGCAGGGGCTGGATTGGGATGACCGTGCATGAGAGGAGCTTGTCTTCCACGTGATGGAAGGCAAGGACAGGCTGGAGCAAATCAGGAAACTAGCTAGATGTGTGCACTTTGTAGGTCATGCTAGAGGTGACTGGATTTAGGGGATTTAAACCAAACCCAGGGCAGACTGGTAAGGGGCTGTCACAACAGCCAAGGGGCAAGGAGGACTAGCGGAGGAGTTAGGGAAGCCATAGTGGATGGAAGGAGAGTCTGTAAACGCCCAAATAAAATAAAATTTAGAATGAAATTGATGAGTTTTGGTGAAGGACGGGGTGGGGTGGAGATGGGGGAGAGAGTGTCACCTATAAGAAACACAATGGCAAAGAAGACATGAGCCCTGCTCTGAGGAATCCTACCTTCTTATAGGACAGGGAGAAAATAAGGCTGGGCATGATCAATTTCAAGATGACAGAAGCTACTGAACTAATGTTTTATAAGTTAGGATCAAGTCCTGGCTAACTGCTTATTTTTCTATGATGTAAGTATCTCACAGACTGGGGAAATGGGATAAGTCTTTAATACCTTAGGGCAGAGGGGCTCAGCCATGACTGCAAGCCAGATTCACTCGGGGAGCTTTACAAGTGCCTCATGCCCAGGACCCATTGCCCAGAGAGTTAACTGCGGCAGGGGAAGGTAGTGACCTTTTCTTCCCTGAAAGTCACCTTTGCACTTAGCCCCTCCTGGACAGCAGGAATCTCTCTCCTGTGTACAGTGACCTCTGACTCACAACAACCTTGAGAATTCAGCTCATCTGCGCTGGCCTGGGGCTTGAGTTTGGCTCAGTGCAGACTGAAAGGGGCTGTGTTATATGGACAACCATGAAGGCTCCTTTCAGGTGGGCCCTCCTATGACCTCGTGACTCCATCCTCCTGAAGAAATAGAATGGAGGAAACTTGCCTTCTTGGCTGTTAGACATTACCCTTCAGCGGAGGGTTCTCTGTAGCTGAAAGGTTCTCAACTCAAAGTTTGGCCTTCTAGAAAATGACTTAGTGACCCAAGCCTTCAATTCAAGCTGCAGCATGTGAAATCCACTTAAAATGAGAGCGGGCTGCTGCTTCTGCATGCTTTGAACAACCCCAGGAGGTGACTCGGCCACTCTGTCCTCATAGATTTGAGTTATTTTTATGACAATATCAGACAGAGGCTGTGCTGAGGAAGGGGCACCTCTTTCTAATTTGCAAAAAGTCGCCATGTGGCTAGTGGCCTCCTTCAGGGATGAAAAAGGAAGCCACAGGCCTGACACACAGCCCAGTATGCAGAACAGAGAACAATGAGGACAGGGTACAACTGCCAGTGCGGGATGCCCAGATGCTGTGGCAGTCCTCCTCCTCCAGGGTGTGTCTGAAGGCCCCCAAACACCACCGCATCTTTCGGAAGAGCCCTCACCTCTCTGTGCCCCCACCTCTCTGTGCCCCGGCATGGCGGGGCTGAGGAGTGGGGCCCCGGGAACCTCGGCCATTAGCAGCTTATGTGGTCTTGCAGTTCTCACTTGGATGAGAGAGGGGAGTGTGTGCAGAGACAGAGAGGCAGCTCTGATTGTCATTCCTTTCTTTTTCTCCCCCTCTTTCCTCTCTACAGAACATTTTCTGTGCAGATGCTTTAGTGATGAAGCCTTTTCAAAGACACCTACTTGATGCTGATCTCTAGGAAATTCTAGAATACATTATTAAACAGATGTCCTGTGAGCCTTGTACAAGGACCAATCATTCGGATTCATTATAAAAGAAACTACAGGATGTGTGGGAAGACCAGCGACCAAGGGACCCTGGGCCCCAAGTCAGTGGCTGAGTGAGCTGTGTGGCCTCTGGCCCAGCACTTCCCCACTGGGAGCCTTGCCTTCCTTGTTTAGAAGGACGTGTTTAGGATGGTTTAGAATGGTGACTAGGTGCTTTTCAAGATACATGCACAGAGGACATTTCATCTCTTTGTTCCTCCATCCAATGCTGGCTGTTCCTTACTCTGGGCACCATGGTGAGACAGCTAAGTCTTCTGTGTTCTCTCTGGCTGGTCTAGGTACCCATCCTTGGCACCCCTATACCTGAGCCTGCCCTCATCTGACCCTCTCTTCTTCACCAGCCCCATCGCAAGTATACCCAGCTTTATCCTCCACATCAGGGGCTGAGGTGACAACATGTCGGTAGGAGGAATCCTTGCAGGTGATCTGCTGGAAAAGGAGCACTTCCAGGTAATAAGGATGCACCCAGAGCCCTTGCCCTTCAGGCCTTAGTGTTCTTGAGAGGAGGAGCAGCTGACAAAACCGTGCACAGACTGGCCTTGCCTCAACCAGACTAAGCTCTGAGGTTTCTACCTCTTTATCACTAAGATGCAATGTATTATACTGGAAAAGCTGTCTTGACTTTCCTTAAGGGTAGACTTGCTTATTTAAACATTTCCAGAAATGAGCAGGAACTCCCAAGTAAGGAGATTAAAGCTACCAGAAGTTCTACACAAGCGGTTTTCAGGAACTGCAGAATGCGTGGATTGTTGAAATGTGAATTGGCAAAAGGCAAGGACAGCTTGTACTTTATATGAGACCTTCTGGGACTGGGCTACCACTGGGGGTGGGGGCCACATTTCTTAGTAACGGCAAAGGACAGCGGGACTCAGGCGGCTGCAGAGACAGAGGTGCCAGCAACTACCTGGTGCCTTACAAGTTCTTAAGGGCAATTTGAAGAGGCTGCTTTCAGGCTCACCTTTGCACACAGTCGGCTTCACATTTGCTCTGGCAATTTCAGCAACGATTCTCTGGTTCTGTGATTGATGGAGCTCCAACAGCGTACCAGTGCTGTCTCAGAGGTGGTGTCGGACAAGAGCCCTGCTCCCAGGGCTCTGGAGGCTTGCTGAGGAAGAGTCTTTCCCACCAGGAAGGGGCAAATACAAAGCTAGGCAGGGTGTGGCTGGAATCCTAAGCAGGGGAGGACAATAGAGCCTTATCCTTGAGTCCCAGAGCACTTTTGCCCTGGTGGCTCTTGTGTAGGGTCTGAATCTTTGTAAGGTCTGAATCCAAGCAGAGATTTTCCCAGGCCCCTCAGACGACTGGGGCTTATACTCTGCTCACTCTGCCCATCTCCTGGTTGGTAAGCTTGGTGTGTGTGTGTGTGTGTGTGTGTGTGTGTGTGTGTGTGTGTGTGTCCCCTCCTAGAGTTCTTTGAACAACAGCAAAGAAAAAAATCTATGTACTGGCATTCAGGTACATCCTGCACCCCCTTTATCCTCTCTATACAACCTGTCCAGGGCTCAGCCACAAGCCAGTTCTCCTGCCTGAACTCTGAAGACAGATCGCTTTATCCCCGACTCCCACACGACACCATCTGCTCCCGTTGCTCCTCTTGACAAGCACACAGAGCTCAGTCTTCCGACCTTCTTCCTGTTTCCCTAACTATTTAAATCCAAACAAATTAGACTTCTGACTCGACAGGATTGACCACATGCATTTAATTCAACTCCTGCTCTCTCATGAATACAAAAACTTGTAAACCCCCATAAGCACAGAGATCAAGAAAAGAGATTTCAACAAACTTTGCAAAGACAGAAAGTAAACGAAGGAGGAGTGGGCAACTTGGCAGTGTGGGGACAGGTGCAACCTAAGTTATGTGCAGAGAGGAATACTGATGAGAAATGCATGGATGGAGGCTGCAAATCTCCGAGGACTCAAAGCTTGCAGGCCCCAGGTACCAGGAGAGGCAAGGCTCAGGTGTTGGCAGGAAACAGCAGAACCAGATCGAAGTCTAAATATGAGACTCCCCAAGTCCCCTTCCCTTTCCACATAGCCAGGAAACTACACTTTGGTCCCCACCACCAGGCAAAAGATTCAAAGTTTATTTCTGGAGAAGCAGAATAACAGAAGCTGTGACCTGAGAACCCAGGCACTCAAGGAATGAGGGAGGAGAGAGTAAAAAAACGTGAGAACCGAGCAGCAATGAGCACACCTAGGTCCCGATCTTGGCTTCTAAGAACCATTCATTAAAAGGTACCAGGGCTCCTTAGATAACACTAGATTCCAGGGCTGGGGCAGAGAAAATACCAGATAAGCCCAGAACAAGTTCTCATGCCTGAAAGTCAAGAAGTGCTCAAAGAATAATGGGGACATTTTAGAAACACACAGAAGCCAGTTTGCAAGGGCTCCCACTGGGATGATTTGAGCATCAAAATAAATAATAGTAATGGATTATAACCCTTAGAATAAAATAAAAATCTATGAGCCAAAACATATATAAATAAACAGATAAAAGAAAAATAGAGAAGGAAAGATCTTTATAGCAGAAAGCCAACTAATAAATGTAGATGGAATTTTTTAAAACCACTATTTGCTGATCAGCATGATGACATTTCAGGCACGAATCATTAAGGAATGCTAAAATTTGTGAGTGAAAGTATTAGCAGAAACAGTATATTTACATAGTCTCAACTATCTCCTTGCAAGATACTTATTAATTACAAAGAGAAAAATAGTAACTTGGGGCCGGGGCACAGTGGCTCATGCCTGTAATTCTAGCACTTTGGGAGGCCGAGGTGGGTGTATCACCTGAGGTCAGGAGCTTGAGATCAGCCCGGCCAACACAGTGAAACCCCATCTCTACTAAAAATACAAAAATTAGCCAGGCGTGGTGGCAGGCACCTGTAATCCCAGCTACTTGGGAGGCTGAGGCAGGAGAATCACTTGAACCCAGGAGGCAGAGGTTGCAGTGACTTGAGATCGCACCACTCCACTTCAGCCTGGGCAACAGAGCATGACTCTGTCTCAAAAAAATTAAAAAAAGAAAAATAGTAACTTCATAGCAGTGAGGCCTGGAAGCTACTATCTTAACCAGTTGGTCAATGTCAACATCACGAAATCCCTGTGCCTCTCCATGAGCTGCACGAAGAGGGACACAGCGCCATTTCTGTGGTATTCCCTTAAAAAGTGCACATACTCAGCCGAGAGTGGTGGCTCATGCCTGTAATGCCAGCACTTTGGGAGGTCGAGGCAGGCGGATCATCTGATGTCAGGAATTCAAGACCAGCCTGGCTAACATGGTGAAACCCCGTCTCTACCAAAAATAGAAAAATTAGCCGGGCGTGGTGGCATGTGCCTGTAATCCCAGCTACTCAGGAGGCTGAGGCATGAGAATCACTTGAACCCGGGAGGCGGAGGTTGCAGTGAGCCGAGGTCGCACCATTGCACTCCAGCCTGGGTGACAAGAGCAAAACTCCATCTCAAGAAAAAAAAAAAGTACACAAACTCAATTATGAAGAAACATCAAACAAAATCAAATTGACAGACATTCTACACAATAACTGGCCTGCTTGTACTATTCAAAATGTCAAGGTCATAAAAGACAAAGAAAGATTGAGGAGATAAAGAGATATGACAACTAAAAGCAAAGTCTGATCTTGTATAGGTTCTAAACCAAAAAAAAAAAAAAAATACAAACAAACAAAAAAACAAAAACTTTTTCTTTAGCTATCAAGAACATTAGTGGGACAATTAACAAAATGTAAATGTCTACAGGTTATGTAACAGTATTCTGTCAATGCTA
The DNA here is from genome assembly GCF_000001405.40 of Homo sapiens. Classification (NCBI taxonomy): domain Eukaryota; kingdom Metazoa; phylum Chordata; class Mammalia; order Primates; family Hominidae; genus Homo; species Homo sapiens. The sequence continues at coordinate 48,684,918 of NC_000018.10, read as the reverse complement.
ATTTCCTGATATGACAATTAGATTGCATTTATGGAAAAGAATGTCCATGCTTTTAGGAAAACATGCTGAAGTATCTAGGTGTAAAGTGGCACTGTGTCTGCAACTTACTCTTCAAGGAATTAAGAAAATAATAAAATTACATAGGGAGAATGATAAAGCGAGTATGGTAAAAAGTGAACACTTGGGGAATCTGGGTGAAGGCTATATAGGAATTCTTTGTGTTATTTTTGCAACTTTCCTGTGAATCTGAATTTTTGCAAAATAAAGAAAAGGAAAGCAGGATTCGTTAATGAAGTAATCATCTGATTAAACATTTAAGTAAAATTCGGTATACCTATATTGAGAGGACAGAGTATAGGAGAACAAAATTCTTCTCTCTCATAATAAGAAAATCAGCAGGAAATCACTAGAATTGATATACTTAAAAAGAACAGTATAATAATAGTATACTAGATATTAGAAATATTAGAGATTAGATATCTGTATTCGAAATAGGGTGGTACCACTAGAAAAAAATAGTAAAAACAGTGAAGGTATGTAGTTGCTTTGAGGAATGGAACGGGTCACTTGAGGACGCAGGGGGTAGAAAGCTGCTATTTTCTGTCACAGGCCTTTCAGTATCATTTAATTTTTGTAAGTTACAGACAGGTACTATTTTGATAAAAAATGAGTAGATGGTTCAAGTGTTTGGGGCCCACCTCCCCATGAAGGCATGAGGTCGCCCCAGCCTACATTTTCCCTTTTCTGAATCCCACCTGCACCTGTGGCCCCACATTATACTACGTTGGAGATGAATGATCTAATCAGAGCCACAAAGCATGCGAGGTGCAAGTGGCTACTGAGGTCATTTGCTCCAATAGTCACCTTAGCAATGTCACCACGCCACAGCAGTGTCCATCCCACCTGACACTTTAGCACCTCACAGGTAGGGGAACCCCAGCCCAGGCCATGTTGGCCACTCAACATAGAACTAGTGGCCAGCAGCCCTGGGCCTCATGGTGCAACTGGGCCCCCATGAGAGCTTGGGAGCCTGGGCCCCAAATTTTCAGGGCTGGTGGCCACAGTGGTGCCACGCTTGTCTCAGCAGACAAGGAGCCACCATTTACCCTCCCTGGATCCCGGCCAGGCTGGCAGACCTCTGGGATCCAAAAGAGACACACTCCAGGAAACCCACAGCGAAAAGCAACACCAAAGTCCCCAGGAGTAATGAAAACACTCCTTGAGGTTTTCACTCTGGAGAGAGAGCAGGGCCTAGACCGCTAGAGGCAGAGCTTCCTCCTGAACCCTTTGGGGGTGGGGTGCCAAAAGGAACAAAGAGGGTCTTTGGAGAACACAAGACTACATCTAATGCTTTAATAATCAGAGCTCTTTCCTTCAGGAGCACCCCAAAAGTGGGCAAGGGGGGTGAAGGCTTGGATCCAGAAGGAGGGCAAGGCCAGCACTCCTATTTCACAGGAGGAGGGTGAGGCTCGGGGGCAGGAAATGATGGCCTGTCCCTTGTGCCCCCTGCTCGAAGTGAGACCACTGATGCTCGGAGGGACAGTGGTCTCACTGCAAGCAGGGGTCCAAGGGACAGGCCGTCATTTTCTGTGGGGTTCCTGGAGTCCAAAATTGTTTTCTGGACACAACCACAGTATGTAGCCTTTCCAGGGCGTGTTTAGCTAGGCCTGCTACTCCCTTGTTGTTCTTACTTATGGTCGATGTAACATCAACTTTGGATTATTCTCTTTGCAGACAGAAGTTTGTGTTTGTTGCTTTATTCCCAGGGAGGCTTCCCCCTGCCACCCAGTGTGCTTCGGTGTCAGCGCCCGCCGCTGCAGAGGTTCTGCACGCAGGGAACAAACTCCTCTCCCTGTCGGCCTCTGCCCAGCACGCTGTGGATGGTTCATCTGCCACACACACAAAGCAGTGCGCTGGAAGGAAAGATCTGGAACACTGAGCCCAGGGCTTCGCCCCATCCAGGTGGGTTGCCCCCACATCTCCACCCCAGGTGTTGGCTTTGACCACCTGGAAATACGCAGCGTCACTGAGGACTCTGCTGAGGTTTCTATCTTTGGTGCAAAGGGAATGAGCCTTCCAGAAACCCTAATCCCCAATGGCCCGCCCAGGGCTGTCGGGACCCAGGGGTCCTCTGAGGCATGACCAGTGACAGGAGCAGTTGCTGGAGTCTGGGGGACCATGTTGTCCTTGAATCACCAAACCATTTGCAAATCCATGTCCTGGGTTGTCAAACAGGGCACAATTCTTTGTCCTTCATTTGAGCAAAATAATGGTAAAAACCAACCAACCAAAAATCTCAGCAGCAGATAGAAGGGGATAGGGGAAGGTGATGTCAGTGACTCCCTGAACTATCCAGAAGTAGTGAAAAGCCAGTGGCCTGCAAGTAGGTCGTAAGGCAGTGGTTCTCCAACTGTTGCACGCATCAGTATCACAGAGGGCTTGTTAAAATGCAGACCACTGGGCCCCTCTCCCAGAGTTTCTGGTTCACTGGGGTGAAGATAGAACACAAGACTTTGCAGTTCTAGCAAGTCCCCAGGTGATATTACTGCTGCTGATCAGGGGCCACACTTTGAGGACCTGTGCAAAGAGCTGCAGAGGTGAATAAGATACGCTTTTGGCTCCCGGGATCATGTGTGTTTCAGGGAGAGATGCATGTGTGGGTGAGGCATGCATGTGTACCAGTGATGTGGAGGGGCAGCTGTGCTCTAGGAATATATTAAGTGCTGGAGGAGCCAGGTGAATCAATAAACTAACGCATTGGAAAAGTCCCTTATCAGGGAGGGCTTCACAGAGGAGGTGACCTCTAAGCAGAGTCTTTGAAGAACAGGTGTGGGGCTGGGCACGGTGGCTCACACCTGTAATCCCAGCACTTTGGGAGGCCGAGGCAGGTGGATCACCTGAGCTCAGGAGTTCAAGACCAGCCTGGCCAACATGGTGAAACCTCATCTCTACTAAAGACATAAAAATTAGCCGGGTGTGGTGGCACGCGCCTGTAATCCTAGCTACTTGGGAGGCTGAGGTAGGAGAATTGCTTGAACCTGGGAGGCGGAGGTTACAGTGAGCCAAGATCGAGCCATTGTACTCCAGCCTGGGTGACAAGAGTGAAACACCATCTCAAAAAACAAACAAACAAACAAACAAACAAAAACCAGGTGTGGGGCAGGCAGGCAGGTGGATGAGGTGGGAAGGACACTGAAGGCAACTGGTGCTGCTGGATCAGGGGCTTGGCAATCAGTCACCAAGCTGAGAGCACAGACAGACTCGGAGTCACAGGAAAGAAGCCGGGGGTGCCAGCAGGCCCTGGGCTAAAGGAAAGTCCAGGGTTTTCCATAGGCCCTGAGAATCAGTGAAGGATTTTTAAGCAAGGCAATGAGAAGTTTGCCTTTCTGGGTCTCTCAGTTTCCTCGTCTGTAATGGGGTTGTAGGTGGAAGTTCTGGGTCTTTTCCAGCCCTGGCAGGCTACGAGTCAATGGGGAAAGGAGGGAAAGAGTGGTAGCATCCAGCTGGGGGCCCCACTCTGGAGGTAGCCCCTTGCAAAGGACAGGGACCCAATGGCCACTCACTCACTTGGTTTGTTTGGCCATCGGCTGCCTCCAGATCCCTGGCCCAGCCTGGGAAGTGGAGGCAAGCAACTGACGGTGTCACACACACTGTGAATCTCTCCTGGGCCTGACCCCCCAGCCCCCCTGGCTGTATAGAACAGAGGGGCCTGGGATTGTGCAGCAGCTCACAATGGAAGGAAGAGGGTGTAGGAGGGAGGTCCCTGGGCTGACCCTGGTATTGTTCTTGGGCCAGAGGAAAGCTTCCTCCTGCCTGGCCGCTGCAATGCTGGAAAAACGCCTTCCAGCCAGTAAGAGTCAGTGTGTCCTGGGGGGGCCGCCTGCCGGCGGGTCAGCCTGGGAGCCGAGGCCCATTCACAAATGCCTGCTGGAGAGCACGTAGCCCTGTCCGTCCCCGCCCCCTCCACCACCACTGCTCCCAGTGACAGAAGCAGGGGGAAACTAAAATAACTGGGCTTCTCCGCCCCTAAACTCACCGCTGCCAGGAAGGAGAATGAGACCAGAAATGGGACATTGGCTAATAAAGGAATAATGGATGCTTCACACCCTTGGCGACACCTTCCTCTTCCCCCAAGCCCCGGCGGCTCCTTCCACAAAGGACAGAGGAGGGAAGATGCTGGACCGGCAAGCAATCTCAATCAACCAGGCCTGGCCCAAGTCATCAAGGGCATCGCCAAATTGGCTCAGGGAGTGGGAGGATTAAACCAGACCCTGGAAACTGCTGAAGGACAGGGACGGCAAGGCTGCGGGCTGTGTGGCCCCATTCATCAAAGCGGGTGGACGTGTGCAGGGTGGGTCTGCCTCTGGGCATCCGTCGACAGGGCCACTCAGGCCAGCCTGGGGCCTGCTCACTGTGTACCGGGCACCCCTGCTGGCCTCTTCTCAACCCTGAGCTCATTCCTCCAGCAGGGCTAGGCCAGCAGCTCTTTGTCTGTGTGATGGCCTTGGCCCAGCTGAGACCTTGAGGAAGGCTGTCCTCAATCTGGCCTTCTTTGAGCCTACTGTCCCAGCTCCCTGTCCCATGCTGGCCTCAAGGCCCTACTCCCTGAAGGATTAAGCCCTCTGATACTCATCAAGGGATTCTGGATATGGTCTGGCCCAAAGTAGGGCATGGACAGATGACCTCTCCACTGGGGCCAAGTCCTACTTTTAAAGGGCTCTAGCCTTTGTCCCTAACAAATAACAAAACTTCTTCCCTGGTGCCTGGAGGGAGATCCTGGGAACTCCCTCTTGGTCTCCAGGAGGAGGGCATAGGCTCAGTCAGGCCCTGTCCCACGGCTTCTGAATCCTCCTTCCATCCTGCATTTCCTTGCTGGAGAGCATTCGGCTGAGTCCCTATTTGGTCAGGTCCCAAGACGTCCAGGGCCACCCCCAACTGCTCTCCCTACATACAGTCTCCCCTCTCGAGGACTCCTGGACTCCCCCACTCTCAACAGCCTCCTTTTCTCCTGACCATAATTCTCTTTCTCCCCATAGGTCCCTCTCCCCTCCCAGGCCACCCCCCAAGGCCCAGTTCCAGGTCTACCTCCTCCAGGAGGCACAAATGCATGGAGGGGCATAAAAAAGGGGAAAACCTCAAAATTGGCCTAGAATCAAGACCCCCAAAAAACCAAGAAACCTCTGTGGGCTGATGTGGTCTGATTTATCCAGAATAGTTTCATGCAGGAGGTGAAATTGGAACAGGGCCATGAAAGAGGGGGAAGATTTGAGCAAGAAAGAGGGAAGGACATAAGAGGAAAGAGAAATGGGTGAGCAGAAGACTCCCCCAACAGTCTTTTCTGTCTAAGGTCAAGGGCAGGAAGACAGTCACCCTTTAGGTCTCAGTCTCAGGAGGAGCTGGGGAAAGCCAACAGTCCCTGCCCTCCATCTCCCACCCGCCAAGAAACCCACAGAAGGAAGCTGTTGGACCATCTCCAAGCGCAGTTCTTATCTGCCAAGCTTGCCAGTTCTCTGCCTGCTTCCAGATGTGACTACCACTTCATGAGGCCACATCACATCTGCAGAGTGTTTTTTAAGTTCAAAAATCCCTGTCATTATATGAACTGGTTTATTGTATTTTGACTCTTAGCACAGCTTTGCAACGTAAGTTGAACAGGTATATGACCCCCAACTTTACAGCAGAAGAAATGGAAGCTGGAAGAAAATTATTTTGGGTGAATTACACAATGTTCTGTGTGCAAAGCAGAAGGGCTCTTGGATGACTAGTGAGTGAGCTTTAGGATTTCTGCCACCTGTTTTAACTCTCAGAGGTTTCCTTTTTTGTTCTGTTTATATTCTAGATCAGTGTTTGGCAAACTTTTTCTGTAAAAAGCCAGAGAGTCAATATTTTAGGCTTTGCCGGCGATAGGGTCCACACAGCAAGTGGCTGTGGCACAAATGCAGTCACAGACAGGAAGCAAGTGAATGGGTGTGGCTGCGTTTTGATAAAACTTTATTTGCAAAAACAGGCTGGAGAGCTGGACTTGGTCTGTGGACCAGTTTGCCAATCCCTAAAATCCTAGCCGTGGCCTGGATCATTGAGGTGTTCCTATAGGGTGGGCAGACTTGCCCAGGCCCCTTGAAGCCTGCCCCACACAGCCCTGAAAGTACTCGCTGCCCACAGTCCCAGCTCCCTGCCTTCTGCTCCGCATGGAGTGAGCAGGAGGAGGCCCGCGTGGAAACCCCATCTAGACGCAGACAGTGGCCTCTTCCCGAGGAACTTTCCCAGTTGTCACCAACAAAAGTCTTCACCTCCAGAATAATCAGTTCTTTAAAAAAAAAAAAAAAAGACTCACAAATAACAAAAAATAAAAATAGGCTCGCCTCACAGAGCACGCTGCCCCTTCCCAGTGGACCTGCTACCTGGAGGTCTCAGACAGGAAACCACGGATTGGAGAACTTCTGGCCCCATTTATTGTATGGGCGCCTATTTTTGTCCTGAGGGAGGAAGCACTTGGGGGTGGGGAGGTGGCTGGGGAGGGAAAGGGGCTCTCGTTTGTAAGACCCCCTCCTTGATGGCTGCTACAGCGTCTTGGGCCAGCAGGGATGGGGAAGGCCACTACAAACCTGTCTGATTAAAAAAGAAGAAAAAAATATTTCTCTTTCAAAGCTGTCTGTAGAGGCTTTTCTCTTTTTTTCTTTCCATTTTTATTGCCTTCAGCAGTAGAGAGAAAAACAGAGATACCCACTTTCTTGTTCTTGCTTATTAAGGAAATGACATTCACCCCTAACTTGCTGTACGTGACTACCGTCTCCTGGAATTAGAAAATGTTTTTCCAGCACCTCTTCCTCCTCATCGTCCCTCCTTAGAAAGAGGTACCAGAGGAGTCAGGCTGCCTGGATTCCAATCCCCCTTCTCCCAGCTGTGTGATTTGAGGCAAGGTATTTGAGCTCAGTTCTCCAATCTGTGAAATAATAATAGAATAAACATTTCCCAGGGTATTTGTGAGACTTCAGAGATAGTATATGCAGCCCGCAGCTCAGACAGCACTCAAGTCATGGTAGCCTCTGTGGTGGAGGCACAAGTTCTGGACTAAGATGCTGGGTGGGAGTCCCTCTGGGGCAGGAGCAAGTCACTCAACCCATATTTAATGAGCCCCTAGATGTGCCCCAGGGGAACGTACACTCCACTGGGAGAATACAGACGCAAAAGAAATAAAGCAAACATGCGACAGGCGCTGCAGGGAAGAATCGAGTGACGATTCTTGAGTGATGAGGAGGCATATGGAGTGTTCACAAGCCCTTACTGAGAAGGTTACATCCGACCAAAGACATCGGTCTGTAAAGTGAGGTCAATAACAGTACGTGCTCCATGGGACAACGTGAGGGTAAGATTAGAAAAAGCAAGGACCTTCTCAGTTCCTGGAACACGGAAAGCACTCTGTGAATGTTCGCTAGTGTTACTGTTGGTGCATTACGCTCCTTGTTGAATTCTCACTAAGGGGACATTAGGAGAATACCATGTCCCCGTCTATGGGACAGGTACCAGCCCCTGCACTTAAACTCAGTCCATAATGGCTATAAGACAATGCCTGGGACACAGAGAGATGCCTGATCCGTAATGTTGGCCTGGGTGAATAAGGTCAGACCTCACCTCCGTGGGACCACGGGTGACATGGAGCAACAGTCGCCGGTGCACAGGGCCTGGGGAGGCGAGGTGGGGCATGGTTTTCAGGACTCTGCTCCTGGGTGTCTCGGGGCACTTTACTAATCCTCACGCCTGTGAGTTAGCATGTCCTAGAAGTTTCCAGAAGACTTGGCAACAGCTAACACAGCCCTAGGGAACAATAAAGTTACTCCTTCTCATCTGGAGGTCTGGGAACCCGGCTACAGAGGCTTCAACCCCAGTGTGGGGCAGCCCCAGCCGCGGCCCCGGCCTCCCGCCCAGGACCCCCATTACTAAATAGCAGCAGCGCCACCTGCTGGGGCTGCCAGGCCATTCCTTATCGGCCACCATTTTCACTCCTCCAGGAGTGAGGGACACCTGAGTGTCATTTCATGGAGCCATGATTTTCATTTTGAAAGCTCATTTGTCCCTCGGATTCTTTAGAGAGGTAGTGGGGAGGATCTCTCTGTTATCATCCAGGGCCAAGCAGAAGAACGAGGAAGGAACTGTCCCTTCCTTTAGCCATCTCCCGTGTGAAGGCTGGACTTGGACACAGGCTCAGGAGGCCAGAAAGCCACTTTCCGTCCCCTGAGCCTTCTGGGGACCCTCAATGGGGAATGCTTTGGGCACATCCCTAAGGCCAGAAATCCCACTTGACCGGGTGGCGTCCACTGTTGTGTGGGCACTAAGCCCCTTTCACAGCAAAGGGCTCCTGAGTCACACGCTCTGGACAAGGCCAGCAATGTGGGGGCAGGGGAGCCGGCCCTGCTAGGTCTGAGCCATCTAATGATTAACGGCCAACAGACACAGAATTTGGTTTCAAAATTTCCTAAGAGAAAGGCAAAACGAGAAGTCAGTGGGTTATGTAGTTCCTACTGTCAGACCAAAGACAGCAGACATAATGTTTGTCTGGGAGAATTCAAGGATAATGACCAAAATACGTCCTGATAGAAAGCCCTGGGCAGGACACTGGATAATTCAACAAACAACGTCTTTCAATGGGGTATTGTATATGACACAAAAGCACCAGGCCACTGTGTGATATAAGGAGGTGGCATTTCCGCAGGGCGCCGAGGGCCCTGTGCCCGGGAACCTGAGGAAATCTAATGCTCACCTAGGGGCCATCTAGGGCACAGGGACAACATGCCCGTTAGACCGTCTTTCTCACACTGGTCGCGCCGACTTCACACACATGGAGAAATTGCTCCCCAAGTCACACCTCAGAGTAAAGGGGTCCTGGGGGAGGGGGTGCCGGGGGGTGGTCTCAGACCAGAGATGAGGTGAAGGATATGCAATTCGGATTTCATCCCTTGCCTTCACATGGAACTTGGTCAAGTTAACTTGGAACTTAGTCAAGTTAATTCAGAACTTAGTAAATTAACTCGGCTTAGACTATGGATTACAGATTATGCGGCTCCATCTCCCCACTTAGCCAGCCCCCATCCTTCCAAGGGCGGAAGCCAACACTTTGTAACTCCCCCAGCCCCACCCCAGTGGGTGTTCCCCTGCAGCCCCGTGCTGCTGCCCTCCTGGAAGCAGTGTGTTCCCAGGGGTCCCAGGGAGGGGCGGGCCCTCTGGAGGAGTGTCATGCCTTGGCCTAGCAGGGGACATGTGGCCCAACAGGAGCTTCCCTACACCTTAGTGTGGCTGCCTCTTGCACCTCGCCATCCTCCCACTTGCTGCAGGGAGGAAGGGCCTGGGCATTGAGTGGGGTCATTTTCAGGACAGTGTGCATGTGCAGCGCTGACCAGGAGGCATGGCCGGTGAAGACGCCTTTGGCTGCTGGCGCTGGGACCAGGGGACTTCCCACAGCAAGCACCAGGCTGGAGCCTGCAGAGTGGTGCGCTGGTGCCCTCTAGTGGGAGCACACCACCATACAGCCACCGATCCTGGCGAGGCCTCCACTCCAGCAGTCCTCAACACTGGGGCCACACTCAGAGCAGGACTGTTAATGATGGGCCTGGGCTGCCCACAACACTGACAGAGTGGTAGCCTGGCCAACCCCTCCACTCCTGTGATAGAGATGCCAAAAATGCTACCAGGACACCAGCCTTGTGGATGGAATTTGGGGGTCCCCTAGAACTGCAGTCTGAGCCCAAGTGTGTGTCTCAGTGTCTGCCTGCCCTATGGCTTCAACACTGAGAACCATGATTGAACCCTGAATCCATGGCCCTGTACTCAGAGCCTTCTGCTGCCCCCCATCTCCCACCCACTCCACCCCCGCCGACCCCCCACCACCCCATCAGTGTTCTTAGAGAGCAATGTCAGTCTCAACTGGCCTGAGGCTGCCATTGTATGGCATGTCATGCCTCGGTGTGGATGCCATAAAACCTGGCTATTGGCTAGCTCCTATCCCAGCGTACCTGCTCCTTTCCCTCCAGCCACCAGTGTGGGAAGGAAGACCTTGGGGACAGTTAACACCACCAACAGACCCTTTACTTAACTAGCTCACTAAATGCCTTTTCAGAGTGCAGAACTATTCCTGGCAGCAGGGGTTCACAGAGGTATAGGGTGAGCCCTGGACACAGACACCTACTGTCTACCCTGTTGCCCCACATCCTTGTGGGGGCTCCAAGAGCCTGAGTCCAGCAGCTCCAGAGATGAAGTTCCTGAGGTCAGCACTGCAGTGAGACTCACCCCTGGATTCATTGCCAGTTGTGGAAACACAGCCAGATGGAGTCACCAGGAATAGGGGCCTTGGCTTTGGCTGGAGAGGAGCTTGGCCAGACGCCTAGGTGTCAGCATCTGACCCCCAGTGGAGGCATCACCTCCTAAAACCACTCATTGTGGCATGCGCTCTGTGTGTAACCCACTGAGAGATAAGCTAGGGCTCCCAGGAGATCAACAGGCATTCAGTGTGGGGGCCCATGGCGCCCTCTGCTTTGTACTCAGCCACACATTCACGCCCCAGACTGCAGGAGCTGCAGCAGCACAGGGGAGGAAGGTGGGGTGTACTGGGAGAGGACCCAGACTTTGCCCTTCAGGGACTGTGACCTGGGCAAGGCACCAGCACTTGCTCGGGCATTTGCAGCTTTGAATGCATGTGGTAATCTGTGCATGTCTCATTTCCTCTACTAGGCTGTGCCTCTCGTGGGGAACTGTATCTTATGTGATCAATTCTCTCTCTCTAAAAGGCTAGGGCAGAGCACTTGTCCATGAAGATGAGTTAAGTGAGCAAGTGAAGGAAAGAGGAAGATTTGGCAGAGGCACTTGAGGCTTACAGAACAGCCATGTGCTCCCCTTCTTCCCGCTCCCCTGCAGAAGTGTCAGCCCTTGCAGTTGGGGCGGGGGCATGTGACTAGTTCTGTCCAATGGGCTCTGAGTGGAGCTGATATTTCTGGGCCAAAGCATTTAAGACATACAGCAGGGGTGTCCAATCTTTTGGCTTCCCTGGGCCACACCGAAACAACTGTCTTGGGCCACACATAAAATACACTAATGATAGCTGATGAGCTAAAACAAAAAATTGTAAAATACCTCATAATGTTTTAAGAAAGTTTAAAAATTTGTTTTGGGCCATATTCAAAGCCATCCTGGGCCACAGGTTGGCCAAGCTTGACCTAGAACACGACCCTCCAGCTCTCTTTGCCTGTGCCAGGGCCACTTGGATACCATGGATTGAGATGGCAGGGCCACAGAACGCAATCCACCTGGACCCTGGAGTCCCCAAGGAGCTACCCTGGAGACCAGCTGGACCCTCAGCAGAATTTCAGAAAGTTAGAAATAAAATTCTGTGTGTGATTCCACTGAGATGTGGGGTTTGTTTAGTATTATGCCATGGCCTATAGTGTCCTAATACAGGAGACGATGGAAAAATCCTGTTTTCTTTAACAACAACAACAACAAATGTGTCTCAGAAATCACACCGAGAAGAGCATAACCAGGTTCATGCTGAATTTCTGCTGGGAAGTGGTGGGAGAAACTCAGAGACAGAGGGACGACTGAGTGTCAAGACAGACACAAATCCTGCCTTTCTTGTACACTCTAGACAACACAACAGCACATCTAGAAAGGAGGTTCTTCAGCAGCACTCACTCTAGAGCACCTGGTGCTGGGGTTATGAGGCTGAAGGAAATGGCCCAGCCCTCAGGCAGCCCAGAGTCCAGGAAGGGAGTCTGGCAGTTATGTAAGCAGGTGCGACGTGGTGGGAGCCATGCCACAGAGATGGGGGCAGGGGCTCTGGGGAAATGGCAGGTGGATGCTGGACTCCATCCTGTGCATCTGAGAGGGATCAGGGGAGGTATCCTGAGCCAGAAAAAGGACAGGCAGAGAAGGGCTGAGTGAGATTTTAGGCAGAGGGAACCGCCTGCTGGTGAGAAAGCAAGGAGAGATGGAAGATCAGAACAGATCAGGGGAGGGACTGACAGGGCCACAGGATGGCAGGGGGAGCCCAGGACAGAGGCTGGGCAAGGGTGCTGAGAACATCACAAAGCCTCCTGCCTGCTAAGGAGTCCGAACAGGGACAGAAGGGGCCGGAGATGGGGGTCTGGGCCTCTGTGGGTTGAGAACATGCTGGGGACACAGCTGGTAGGATCTTTATGCCCCTCTTCTTCTGGGGTGCAGAAGTGGAGGGCAGGTAGGCAATGGGCTTGAGGCCAACCTCCCTTTGTCACCCTCTTTCCTTCTTGCCTCCAGGTAGGGAGGGGAGGCCAGCCCTGATTTTTGTCTAAGAAAGTCTCTAGGAAGCCCGCTTATCTATGTACAGGCTCAAGACTCCCATAGGAGGGCTGGAGGTCCTCAGGCTAGAGGTGGGCTTTCCCTCCCATTTGGGGGCCTTCAGCTGGATGCACAATATCTCCTAGGTGAATCTGGAAGTAGGAGGATGTTTTTGGTGGTCACTATGCCTGCCCCTCTCCAGTGACGGCCATTCAGTGGCAGAGGCCAGGAGTCCTAAATATCCCACATTGCATTGGACACGTCCATACTATTAAGAGTTGTCCCCACCACATATGCTAATAGCTAGGCCAGCTGACCCTCAGGACCCAAGGCCAGACGAGTGAACCAGCCAGCCCTATTTATGAGGGGCTTTGAAGAACACTAGGAAAACTCAGATAAGTCATCCCATTGTGCTCTCACAGGACCGCAAATTCCTCAAACACCAAAAGTCTGTGTTTGGGGATCAAGAAGCCTGTCTACCTTGTCCTAAGGGTACCCATGTGAATTGTAGATACTCCAAGGAGCAGTCAAGCCAGGAGCATTATCAGCCAGGACTTTAAGTTTTCAACTCTTGCTGATAATCAGAATTTCCTACAATGCTTTAAAAATGCAGATTCTAGCTGGACACAGTGGCTTATTAAAAAAGCCCACAATGACCTTCGAGAGATAAAAACTACAATGTCTGAAATGAAAAATATACTGAATGGGATTAACAGTAGATTTGACACTGGAATAAAATATTAGTGAACTTGAAGAAATAGCAATAAAAGCTATCCAAAATGAAACACAGAGAGTAAAGAAAGACTTTAAAAAATCAGGCAGAGCTTTGGTGAGCCATGGGAAAAGATGAAGAAGCATAGAATACATACAATTGGAACCCCAGGGTTGAGGGAAAGTAGGAGGAATCGTGGCTGAAAATTTTCCAAATTTGATGAAACTATAAACCTACAGATCCAAGAAACTCAATAAATCCCAAGTGGGAGAAACATGAAGAAAACCACCACACCAAGGCACATCATAATCAAATAGATGAGGTCTTAACTGTATGCTCTATTGTCTCTCATTGATAGGCCCAAGGCATGAACAGAGAAGAAACAAAATGGCAAAGGCACCAGGAAGAGATGAATGGATATAGATAAAATAGCAGGAGAAGAATCAGGAGAGAAGGGAAGGGTGGCACAGTGGAGTGTGGTGGTAGGTCATGGTCACTGGCAGCGGCAGACTCAGTCACTGTGGAAGGTCCACTGCTTTTACACCCCTGCAGCAGGCCCAGTCACACTCCTGAGAGCAGCTAGACTCCTGCTGTTTCCACCAAAAGTCCAGCACTATAAGTATCTAGAGACCTGGATTCACTGAGTGAATCCTCTTTGTCCTGGAACCTGGCCTGATTCCAGGAAAGAGGCCCAATCAATAAAAAAAAGAGCAAGCATAGCAGACACCTGGAGGCCAGCAGGGCAAGTCCACTGTTCAAAAGCCTAAAGACAGCCCCAGCCACATTAGAATCTCTTCCAGGCCTGCCAGTCCCACCTGAACACACCACAGGACACTTCACCTGCAGAGAGGTTTCAGGCCAAGGGACAAAAACTTCCAAGTTCACTGAGTTGCCAGGGCATGGTCTATTTCATCTCTAGGGCACATCAGGCCTGCCAGCAGGGCCTGCAGCATCACCGAGTAGGCTGTCACACACACGATCACAATGGGACACCCTGGAGAATGGCAGGTAGCCAGCCCTGCCTATTACTACCATACAGGCGGTTACACTCCTTGCTGGAACAAGCAGCCAGAAGGAGTGCTTTGGTTAGGTCCTGTCCAGGAAGAGGATCAGGACTCCAGGGGTGGGGGTGGGCTGTTAGAGAGCCTGCCCCTGCACCTACCTGCCAGGCTGGAAGGACCTTCTCGATGTCATTCAGGTTGATGCCATCCCCATCTTCCAGCTTCCCTTTGCCACACCTGGACCAGAAAAGACAGAAAGGCATTGGAAAGATGGCTCATTCATGCCTCCTGTCCCATCCGGCCAGCAGGAGAGGAGGGACAGTCAGCAGATACCTGGTGCTGCCCACCCTCAAGCCCTGCAGGGGCTGTCCCACCTAGAGGAAACAGCCCTAGAGAAGCTGTGTGTGTGTGGGGGGGGGGTCCTCCCGTAATGCAACAGCCAACCTGGAGGGAGGTGGGAGAGGAACCAGAGTTCCCCTTGCTCCTTCCAGGCAGAGAAGCTAAGCTCCTTACTCATCACAACTCCTGTCAAAGCCCATCCACCTTGCCCCATTACACTGAACAGAAGATCAGTGGACAGAGACACCAAGCAACTTTCTCAAGGTCACATAGGCTGGCAGGGGCTAGCAGAAAACCCAATAGGGCTTCCTTCCTTTTTGGCTTGACTCTGGGTCAGTCCAGCAAGCCCACTCAGATAGTCTATGCTTTGTCTTCATGTCCTCTGTGAGTGGGCGTGCCCTCGGGCCAGAGAGGCTGGCCCCAACTCCCTGGCCAGAGGTCTGAATCTTTGGCATATTTAAGGGTGCAGATTCCGAAACCAGACTCCCAGGGTTTGAATCCCCGCTGCATCCCTTACCAACTGGGGACCCTGTACAAGTTGTTTAACCTCTCTGTACTCATTTCATCAAATGAGTTTCCTCATTTGTTAAATGAGGATAATAGTGTCTAACATCTTAAGGTGGCTGGAGGATTAAATTAATGAATGTATCTGGAGTGCTTAGATGCTTAGAACTGTGACAGCCCACAGTAAACGGTACATATATACACACATATATAGTCTAGCTTATATATATATATATATATATATATATATATATATATATATATATATAAATGTTTAGCTTGTTTGTTTATAAATGTGTGTGTGTATATTTCTTGTGTATGTATTATTATCTGTATTTACCATTAAATATATCTTAAACATACACACATATGTTTAATGGTAAATACTGGTAATAATAACAAAATTAAAATAAATAATGAAGTAAATATATTGCTACTACTATGACTACTTTCATTACCACTAATATTGTTGCTGTTGTTTAGGCAAAGAGGCAGGAGGGTGATTAATTAAGGACACAGATTCTGGAGCCAACCCAGCCTCATGCAAATTACTCAATTTCTGGGTCTCCTAGTTGCTTCATCTATTGAAGAGAAGATGGTAACAGTTCCTCCCTCTCTGGGTGGTGGCGAGTTTTAAATAAATGAGGCAAACACTTAGAACAGAGGCTGGAGCATGGCCGGTGCATAGTAAGTATTGTCAGTTACTATTATTACTGGTATTGACTGAGGAATGGTGAGAGATGTCCCATGAGTTGGGTCATTTTCCAGCTGCAGAGTTCATACGAATCTCACCTTTCAGAGTAACTAGTTCATTGTTTAAACATTTACCAAGCATCTCTTCTGTTTTGGGCCTTGTGAACCAAAAAAAAAATCAGTTTTGGTTCCTGCCCTCAGACAGTGGATGGCCCTTAGAACAAATCCTAAACTCCTCTAACAGGGCTGGGTGCCGGAGCACCACTGGGGGCAGCACGAGATCGGTGTCATAAAAGTCCTATGGCCAGAGGCGCCCTGGAACCCAGAGGAGGAGAAACTAGCTGCAAACACCAGCAAAGGCCTGGGTGGAAGAGAACAGGGGGCTAACCCAAGCCCCATTTGATGGCTCATTTCTCCATTCACCAAACACTTCTGTGCCCGGCTCTGGACAGGGTCTGGGACCCAGGTGTAAACAGTGCACACAACTGCCCCTCTCGGTGTCTGGCGGGATAATCACCCCCCACAGTAGAGCAGCAAGTGCCCCGCTGGGGACAAGGGATCGTTGCAGGAACCCCAAGGAGCAGCGTCTAGAACTGTCTTGGGCGAGGGGCAGGAGGAAGGTGAGAGGTGAGCTGGCCAAGCACAGGGAATTTGGGAGGATGTCCCAGGCTGACACGGCGCAGGCAAAGGCCTAGAGTTAGGAGCATGTGTGGTGCCAGTTTGCTGTGGCTAGAGCATGTTAGGGGTCAGGGTGCAAGGGGTAGGCAAGGGGCATGGTGGAGCTGGGGTGGGGAATGGTGTGCAAGGTATAACAGGCATGAAGGAAAAGAAAAAGTTTCCCCCGGCCCCCGGCTGTCCCCACAACTGTGATGTGCTGGGGCTACAGGTGAGCAGGTGGAGAAAGGCCCGGAACATCCAAACATCTCTTAACTCATCAATCTGCCTGGTGCAGACAGGCTGGCCTGTGAAAGCACCAACTGCGTGTAGTCTTCTGTGTTCTGCACCCGCCTGGGCCATAGGGGAGGAGGGCACTGGGGACTTGGCTTGACTAGAATGGCTGATACCACCTCCCCAGTGTCTCCTGTGGGTAAAACACACCTCAGGACTCTCTCGCATGCACTGAGCTCCAAGCACACGCTGGGCACCAGCCTAGCACACTCCAAACACAGCTTTCTGTTCTCGCCTCAGCGCCCCTGGGGGTGGGCAGGTGGAGGCCTGCAGGGAGGGCTGCTGTCCCACGAGGCCTGCCCTCGTCAGGGCTCAGATCTCCCCAGAGGCCTGCAGGTTTGGAGGGCTGAAGGTGGCTACAGACCAGCTGAGTCACTGCTGCCAACAGGGTTTCCAAGGCAACAGCCTTCTCTGATTTCTGTCCCTCCATGGAAACACAGGCTGCAGGGAGCCTTGGCAACTGAGTGGTACCTGCATCCCAGGAAGGCTGCAGTGGCTGGCGCATGGAGTGTGTCCCCACTACAGCAGGACTCTAAGGGGGTCACAGTTCCTGGTCTGGCCATGAGGTGGCCACAGACACTGCACTCAGACTCCCTGGGAACCTGGGAGTGACAGGCTTTGGCTAGTGAGCCAGATATCCATGGGAGACCCCAGGTGACTCTCAGCAAATCTGGAGGCTCCTGGTGAGAAAGTGAGACTGGCCGAGGAATTTAGGCCCACAGCTGGTGACACAGGTGTGGCTGGTTACTCTGGCTTCAGAAGGGACAAAGTCCCTCGGCATAAGGGGAATTCCTCTCCTTCATAGTTATTCATCGCTTTTTTGCTAGGAAGTTAGTTCATCTCTGGGGACTGGTGAGACACTTTGGCAAGCTTGCCTTCAACATGCAGGCCCCATTGGGCACCTGTAGTCAATAAGGCAGCACCATCGCTTCGATCTCCCCAGGCCTCAGTGTCCCCACTGACGTCACCAGCTATGTGCTCCCGGGGCACACAGGAGAGACTGGAGCTGCCCAGGGAAGTCTCCCTCCTGAAGCCTTTCCCAGATGGTTCAACCTGTAAAGTGCTCTCCTTTCTAACCCCTTTTGCATTGACTTTATTTAACCCTGCACCAGGCATCACACTTTATACCTGTCTATATATGTCTTTATGGTGTCTATATGTCTACACTGCATAGTCTAGTCTGTATGTCTACACCGCATAGTCTAGTCTTTCTTCCCCTACACAGTCTCCATCATGAATAGGTTCATATTTCCTTTTCCCAGTAGAATAAACAGTCCTTCTGGGCAGGGACTGTATTGTATACTCGTGTGTGTGTGTGTGTGTGTGTGTGTGTGTGTGTCTACTTTCCTGGTACCCAGCACCATGCAGGGACCCAGCAGGTCTAGTGACAGACTGGCTACACTGAACTTGAGAAAAGCAAAATCCTGCTCCTATTCCTGTGGCATACCCAAGCTCCGCTACACTGTTGCAACAGGACACTGGGCAAGCATCACCTTTGCTCACAACCCCTTCCTGAAGCTGACCCACTGAGAAAGGTAGGTAAGGCCATCCTTCCTAAGCACAGAAGTGTGGAGGCCCAGCCCTGTGCAGCTCAGCAGTCTGGAAGGAGCATGGCCTCCCTGCAACTGAATGAGTGGGCTGAGCAGGCAGTGAGCAGGGTGGATGGGGTAAGGTAGGGTCGGGAGCCTTGCAGCTGTGTCTCTCCTATGCTCCATCTTAACCAGTGCCTCCATGCGCAAAGCCATCTCTCCCTCTTCACCCAAAGAGAAATGGAACCCACAACAGGGAGGGCAATGAAAAAGAGGCGTGTGAGAGGCTGGTGTCTCCTGGGAGAGTCGGATGCAAGTGATGGGCCTCTCCCCAGCAACACACACGTGTGCATGCACACATACAAATTTGCAGAAAATTTTAAGGAGGTTAAGAATACCCTGATGTGGTGAACTAGGGGTTGGATGGTGTCAGAAGGCCTGGCCTTAAATGATGGCTCTGTTATTCAGGCAAGTTACTTTGCTTCTCTGAGTGTTATTTTCCTCATCTCTAAAGTAGGAATGAGCCCATTTCTTTCCACGGGTTGTTGCTCATTACACTATGATGGGACCAATGTTGCCAAGAGGAGAGGTTGAGTGGGACAAATATAGCAGCAGGAAGACATGTGAGATGTAGGATAGTGTCCAGTAAAGTCACTAATACTTAGACCTGAAGTGAAAGGGAGACAAGAGTGAGCAGGGGAGGGCTGGAAGGAAAAGTAAGGGTCATCAGTATCATAATAAAACACAAACAAACAAAAACCAAGAAAGAAAAAAAAACACAAGTGCTGGTGGGGATGTGGAGAAATTGGAATCTCATACATTGCTGGTATGAATGCAGAATATTCAGCTGCTATGGAACACAGTTTGACAGCTCCTCAAAGAGTTCAACAGAATTACCATACAACCCAGCAATTCCACCCCAGGTATACACCCAAGTAATTACAAGCAAGGACTCAAAAAGATACAGCAGTATTTTTGACAATAGCCAAAAGGTGGAGATGACTCAAGTAAGGATTGATAGATGCATGGGTAAACAAATTGTGGTATATCCATACAATGGACTAGTATTCAGCCATGAAAAGGAATAAAGTTCTGCTACATGCTATAATGAATGAACCTCAAAAACATTATGCCAAGGGAAAGAAGCCAGGCCCAAGAGGTCACATATGACTGTTTCTGTAAGTATGCAAAATAGATTAATTAATAGAAACAGAAAGCAGATTGGTGGTTGCCAGGGACTGGGGGTGGTGATGGGATGGGGAATGATTGCCTAGTGGGTATGGGGTTTTATATTGGGATGATGAGAATGTTTCAGAACTAGATAGACATGGTAGTTGCACAACAGGTCTAGCATACTAAATGCCAGTGGACTGAACACTTTATAATGGTTAATTTTATGGTATGGGAATTCTGCCTCATTAAAAATTATATAAAACTATAAAAGAAGGAGCAGCCATTTGTCCCACACCTCTGTGTCTCGCTGGAGTCACATTCCCGTCCTGAGGTCTGCCCAGGCTGTGACACCACTTTTGAAAAGGGAAGGCAACCCTGCCACACAAAGTCATAGAGGGTGAGAAAAGCCAGTGTAAAATCAGGCATGACACCAGCTGCTCCCCAAGTGTGGTCCCTGGACCAGCATCAGCACCCGCTGGGGAACTTGTTAGAAACACACAGCCTCAGGCCGGGCGCGGTGGCTCATGCCTGTAATCCCAGCACTTTGGGAGGCCGAGGCGGGTGGATCATGAGGTCAGGAGATCGAGACCATCCTGGCTAACAAGGTGAAACCCCGTCTCTACTAAAAATACAAAAAATTAGCCGGGCGCGGTGGCGGGCGCCTGTAGTCCCAGCTACTCGGGAGGCTGAGGCAGGAGAATGGCGTGAACCCGGGAAGCGGAGCTTGCAGTGAGCCGAGATTGCGCCACTGCAGTCCGCAGTCCGGCCTGGGCGACAGAGCGAGACTCCGTCTCAAAAAAAAAAAAAAAAGAAAGAAACACACAGCCTCAGTCCACACCTACGGAATCACAGACTCTGGGGTGGGCCTGTCCTCTGTGCCACCGCCCAGGTGATTCTGCTGCGCTGGCGTGGATTACTGACAAGCAGGGCCACTGTGGGTCATCAGGAGCAGGTGGGGATGGCATGGCTAGAGGGGGCTGGGCAGAGGGAAATGGAGGGATTCCAGGAGAAGCCAGTGAGCCTGCAGCTCTGGGACGCATAAGAAGAGCATCCCGGGGCATCAGCCACCTGAGTCCCCTGTGCAGCAGAGCAGCCTCCCTGTGGAGGCAAAGGCCACTCCCGTCCCCTGCCCCACCCCACCCTGGGTAAGAGCCCCAGCACCCCTTACCCTTCGCGGTCGATGTGTGGCAGGGGCTGCTTGGGCGTGTGTCGGACTTTGCGGTGGAACTGGGTGAAGTCCAGCTTTTCCGGCTGCAGGTCCCAGGTGGCACCACTAGAGGGCGAGGGAGGGTGAGAAACGGAGGCAAGAGGGCAACAGCCCAGTTACTGACGGAACCAGGGGGCCAGGCTGAACCTGGCAGAGCAGATCCGCAGAAAGGAGCCGCCAGGGGCCAGGCGGGGAGCCCCACTCAGAATGGAGCCCCAGGTGCCACCCCTCACCTTCCTCACCCTGCCGTGGGAAAGTGCATGCTTATGAAACAAGTGTGGGCCTGATGCCCATTGCACAGCGGCCTCTGCAACACCTGAGTTTGTTTTCGTGCCCACATTTGAGGAAGGCCAGGGAGAGCAAGGGGCCAAATGCCAGTCTCCAGCCTCTGACAAGCAGCTCAAAGTGACGACCCGGCCACCCTGAGGTAGATGAGGCAGGCTAGTGGGAAGCGGGGCCCAGCCTCTGCAGCCCCATCCCGGGGGCCCTCCCCATGCCTCCACTGTCTCCCGTTGACACTCACCGCCTCCTCTCTCCGGCCTTCTTTCCACCCCATCCTTCCTACATCCCCTACTCTGCTTCTCTCTGCCTCTTGCTCATGAACCATCAGCGTTCATTCCGTCCCCAAGGAAGCCAGTTTCCCCGGCTGGACCTCACACCACAGGGAAGGAGGGAGGAGGAGGTTACCTGAAGGAATCGAAGGTGTTGGCCGCCCAGATGTCCGTGCCCAGCATGTCCAGAGAGTTGTCTTTGCTGCCATTCTGGAAGAGATGGGGGTGAAAGGGCTGACATTAATTGCTCGGCCAGGATGCTGAGAACACGGGGCCAGGGCCTGAGGGGCTGGGGGGCTGGAGTGAGCCCCCAAGTGAGTATGGTGGCTGGTGCACCCAGTCAGAGTCAGGGGACTGCCTGGGGGTCTCCTGGCCTCCCCCCAGGCATAGGCCCTCGTTTCACTGAGGTTTTATAGATGTATACAGAAGGGTCCAGGCCCCTGCTGCCCCAGGCCCATGGCTCTCTCCTCAAAGCCTCCACACCCAGCAAGGGCTCTGTACCACCCAGAGCCACCATCACCACTGCCAGCCTGATGGCTGAGGCTTCTCCCCAGGGAGGGGCTCTGCAGAGCCAGGCCCACTGGGGAGCCCATGGAGGCTGCCTTCCTTCACAGTTCAGTCCTACTCCCCAGAAGCCCCCACCGACCAAGGCTACACCAGCAACTGGATTTCTCTGAGTCGAGCCGATCCTCCAGTGTTCCCTATGTGACCCACCCCAGAGACAGAAACCTCTTTACTCAATGCAGCTTCTATGATTTGGTTTCTCTGCTCTCTGGCTGGTGAGCTCCCTGGCAAATTCTCCAACCCCTGACCGCACCTGATGCCCTCCAGCCCTTCTTACCCCTGCAATCTGGTTTCCATCGTCACACTCTTTAAAACAATACTTCCACATCCACCTGAGCTGAACGTGTGCACGCCGTATGACCCAGAAATTCACTCCCAGGTATAAACACACAGAAATGTGCCCGATGCTCACCAAAAGACATGTACAGAAAGCGTATACAGCAGCATCCGCCATTACAGCTCCAAACTGGAGACCACCCACATGCCTGTCATCAGCTGATTCGATAAATAAACCGTGGTATGTTCACATATTGGAGTATCACACCGCAGTGAGCACAAACAAAGTAAAATAACATGCAGCAATATGAATAAATATCACAAGCATACAGGGAACAAAAGAACCCAGATGCAAAAGAGAACCAATTATGTTCAGGAACAGGCAAACTAACGAATGTATAGTGAAAGAACTCAGATAGTAACTGGAAGAGGAAACCAATCTCTCTTCCAGAGAGAGACAGAGAGAGCGAGCAGCTTTGATTAACTAGAAGGAGAGGGCACAAAAACCGGGAAGGCTGGACAGTCCAGCCTCCAAGCAGAAGGGGCCAGGCACTCCAGCCGCCACAGACAGGAGGCAGGAGGTAATGAGAGCCTGGAGGAGAGGTGGAGGGCTTATGGAGTCGAAGGGACAAGAGGACTGTCTGGGGAGAACCACCTGGGCTGTCTGACTCTGGGCAAGTCCCTCAGCCTTCCTGGGTCTCATTGATAACATGAACACTGGTCCCTCTCTCTGGGCACCAACAGCCTGCAGGTCTAAGTAACTTGAAACTTCCTCATTCCAGGCTGCCCTGAGAGCTTGCACAATCCTTTCTAGCAGATCAGCCACATTTATTCAGGGCCGCCATGGCCCTGGGTGCTTCTCCCCATGCCTTTCCTGTCCCATCCCCGTAATCCCCTTTGCTCCTGACCATGGCCTGTCAACTGGGCCTTGCTCCCCTCTTGCCCTCTCCGAATGTGCCCCATCTGTCAAAGATTGGCTCAGCCAGGAAGCACCTCTGGCCTCCCAAACTGCAGTCACCTCGCTCTGCCCTGAACTTGCTATCTGTGTGGGTGACTTACAGTAGCAGAGCCGGCCTCTTGCAGTTCTCACTTCTATTTCCTGTAGTGACCTCTCTCCCACAGGAGATAGCGGGCCCTTGATGGCAGGGACCCCCTGGGTCCCCCAGAGCTGGAAGCTCAGTGCTCCTGACATATACTGCAAGAGATTTTCACCATCTTCTTTAAACATGCGTTTTCTTTTTGCGTCAATAAACTGTGTGACCTCGGCAAAGTCACTTCACCAGTCTGGACTTCAGATTCTTCATATTTAAATAAAGAGATCCCAGAATGAAATACCATGCCCTGTAGATGGGCTCCTTCTGACTGGCATGCGTGCTGCTACCATCCCCTCTCCTGCCAGCGGCAGATATCACTAATCAATTACAGCATGGTTGCCAGTCCTCCAAGCAGGTGGCCCCTAATGTTCTAGGATCGTCCTCTCTCCCTTTTCTTCGAGTTGCCTCACATCCTCCCCATTCCAACTCCTGGGGCCCTGCTTGCTCCAAGTGCAACTCTGAAACTCCAGGTCAGCTAGAGAGACTCACCTTCTATCACACAACCCCCAAGGGGACAGCCCCTGCCTCCCGAGATGTTGACCGGCTTGTTCACACCCCCCTCCTGGGCCTCGAATGTAATTATCATTGGGGATAGCAGCCAAAAATAACATAGAAAGCAAAGATAAAAAAAAATCATACATGCAAACAAAACTCTTGCTTCCAAAGCATCTATTGCAGACCTCACTCAGCATGCAGTTCATTTTCCTCCTTCAGCCCAGTGACCTGAAGCCTCTCCTCCACACGTGTCTTCCCTAATCCCTGATCTGTTAAATACCCAATGTTCTCTGGCGCCTATAAATTCAGCTTCAGTGGATCACCTCTTGGTCACTGCTCTCTTACATGAATGTTAGACCTTCCCCAAGTAGACTGTAATCTTTTCCACTGGACTGCCTCTTTCTCTTTGTGCCCCCACAGTGGCCAAGCCAGGCACACAGGAGGGCCAGCTTGGATTCCTGCCAACTGATTGAGGAGATGCCACTTTGTAACAGGAGGAAGCACGACCCTACTGCCTCTGTGGCTGAAAGACTGAATCAAGATTAGGATGTCAAGAATGATTTACCGTCCTAGGATCCGAGGCCCGTAAGGCCCTTAGAGAGTAAGAAACATGGATGGAGAGATAGAAAGAGAGAGCAACTATGTAGAGAAGGTCATGGCCAAACCTAGAAGTGCAAAGCATCTTCCAGGAAGATGGTGATTCACCTTGAAGGCAGTTGAAGGGCAGTGCAGATGGGCACATAAATCTCCCTCCTGGCCTGCAGGTTGGCATCTTGGCTACTACTCCTCAACTGGCAGGGAGCGAGGACAGGTCACAGTAACAGTCACTGGCAGCAGCTGTGAGGGGGCCAATGCCCCTGTGCAGAGAGCTGGTGGAACCTCTCTGCCTGGAGGAGGGGGCACTACCCTTGGGCTAAGGGAGGTGACTGGGCAGGGCAAACTTGGGCATTTCCAAAGCAGTATCCCTGGCGGGGGACCCACCAATCTCTGGACTTCCAGATTCTTGGGGTCAGGGAAATGTGCTCCCAGCTGATGGGAGGGAAAGAGCCAGGGCAGAAGCTGTGCCTGCATGTATGTGTTTATTCTTTACAGAGGAAGCCCACCCTTCCGTGCATCTGCAGAACAGCCCTGTGATCAGCTGCTGCCATCTCCATGTTGGGGGTGAAAAACAGAAGCCTGGGGAGAGGGACCATGGCCCAGCTGGGGAGCAGGTGGTGGAGTCACGGTGGCAACCAGTGCTCCTCCAAGAGCCATGGCAGTCACGCAACCAACACACGTCACAGGTGACAGACTCTCACATTTTCCTCATTGAATCCCCACAGCTCCTTACAACAACTCAGGGAACATATCCCTGAACGATATCAAGAGCCTACATCCATATTTAAATGCCAAGAAACCTAGCGATATCCCTGCCATTCCCAGAGGAGCCTGGGGAGAGAGGCCATGGCCCAGCTGGGGAGCAGGTGGTGGAGTCACGGTGGCAACCAGTGCTCCTCCAAGAGCCATGGCAGTCACACAATCGACACACGTCACAGGTGACAGACTCACACATTTTCCTCATTGAATCCCCACAACTCCTTACAACAACTCAGGGAACATATCCCTGAACGACATCAAGAGCCTACATCCATATTTAAATGACAAGAAACCCAGCGATATCCCTGCCATTCCCAGTACACACCGTATTTCTTTAGCCACCCCCGCCCTGTGGCTCAGCCTCCTGACTCCTGTGTCTCCCTCCCCAGGCTGGAAAACTCGGCACCAGGCTGCTTCTCCTTCCTCTCTCGCTCTGCCCCACAGGTCTCTGCCCCAAGCCCACCTTGGGCCTTTGGGCCGGGTCTCACCTCTCCTTTGCCACAAGGCTTGAGTCTTGTTAACTCTCACACTGACCGGCCTCCTGCCTCATTCCCTCCCCCGTGATGACTGCAACTCTGATTCTCAGAGCTGAGGAACAAAAGTGCCAGCAAGGTGAGCCCTTTACAAACCAAGGAGCCGGACCCCATCTTTGCACAGCTCCAGGGAGCCCTGGGGGTGCAGCTCCAGGAACGAATATCATATGGACAGCACCCCCGGAGCTGTGAAGCTCAGCAGCCCTGGAGGAGGCAGCAGGTGGAGGTGACAGCACTGAGAAGAATGAGGACCCCAGCCGCTGAGCTGGACACATGGAGGAGAGCAGTGGGCAAGGCATCGGGCCTCTCTGTCTGAATATCAGGAAGGAGATCGCCATGAAGACTCGGGGCCTGGCAGACGAGAAGCTGAGTCTCTGGAGAAGTAGGTATAGGGCAACACCTTGGACACAGGGGCCGCACTCCTTATTGCCACTCTACTTGATATAAGAACTGCAGTGCATATCAAGAATCTGGACACCTCCTTGGGGTTTGTTTCAATGGCACAAGACAGGCATATAACCACTAAAGGCAAACTTTCATCAACAGGGGCTGGAGAAATAGCCTAGCACGTGGAGAAGACATCCATCTCCTTCCAGCCTTAGCCCAGAGCAGGAAGAGTCTCACCTGCAGAGCTTTCCTTTGCTGTCCCTTGATGCTGAGGTGGTGGCCCAGGCAGTGCCCAGGGGGCCAGGCCTCACGCAACAGAGTTATTAACTGCCAAGCTAAACTGGACAACCAGGAGCCCAACGTTTTCACATGTCCTTCCCCAGGGCCCACTTGCCCTGGGCTGAGCACCCAAGTGGCCACTCTGTCACCCAGCCCTGCCACGTGGCTCTGGAGCCAGACAAATGCTTACAGCCATACAAGTGCCACATATGCATACATGTACACATGCCACAGGGCCGCATATGCATACATGTACATATGCCACAGACACATATATACACAATACTACACACATGCATATACTAGACAGACACATCCACACACATCCACATAATACACACCATACATGCATATACATACCAGACACACATACATACACACACATGCATGGTATGCATACACACATCCACACAATGTGTGCCACACGTACATATACACACGTACACACCACACACATACATGTATATACTACACACATACATGCATATATATACCACACTTATACAATATACACATCCATCCACACACATCCACACCACACCCATATACACACCAAACACACATATGTGCACACACCACATATATACATGTGGTATACATGTATACTACAACTATATGTGCACATCACATGCTACATGCATATTATATACACCACACATACAGGCACATGCCACACACAACATGCATGTAGACCACACACATATACATACAAGACACATATACACACCATGCACACAGGCATATACACACACACACATATCCACACCCACATACACACCATGCACACACATATACACCTCACACATACACACACATCACACACAAACATACATGTACCACACACACATACACATACATGTGTCAGCTGTTCTACAAACCCTCGAATGTCCAAAGAAGCCAGAGAAGTCAGAGAAGCAGGAAGGCAGGTGCCTGCAGGCAGACCCCTCACAGGCAGACTGTACCTGAGTTCTGGAACTTCTCACCAGGAAACAGACCCACCTCTCTCTCCCACCACCCTCACCTCTGGCTCACACTGAGGACCCATACAGAGAGGTGGCTGTCAAGCTGAGGACAGAGAAGAAGGGGACCCAAGCTCGGCTCATCCCAGGCAAGCGTTGGACTTGCCTCTCAAGGGCACACGAAGCAGCAGCATGTATGGAGTTATATTTCACTTTAGGCTACTATACTCTTCCTGGACTCAGTGAAAACAAAAGAATGTTCTCTCCACACCCTCCCACTCCCATGAGTCTTCCTTCCTGCTAGGATCTAGTTGAGGACTCTTCCTCTCTGC
Source organism: Homo sapiens (assembly GCF_000001405.40). Lineage (NCBI taxonomy): Eukaryota > Metazoa > Chordata > Mammalia > Primates > Hominidae > Homo > Homo sapiens. The sequence goes on along the minus strand of NC_000018.10, from coordinate 48,657,686 downwards.
AGCTCTGCAGCCTCCTCAGCAGCCCACACCCTGTGAACCTCATAGCACATGCCGTTCACAGCACGTACCCTGCACACTCCCGTGCAGAGCTGATTCCTCTCGTCATTGTTGTACTGCAGAGCTCCCCGGGGTGCTCTGGAAGCACCAATCCCCTGGCTCTAAATGTCAGTGTGCATCAGAATCACTGAGAGAAGGGAGGGTTGGTGGTTTAAATTTAGTGTAGCTGGGATGGTTCACAGACGATGCTTTCAGAAAGCCTCATTCCTCTAAATGGTCCTCATTCCTCAAAATGTTCAAGTTTTAACAGGGAAAAAAATCAAAAAGATTATATAGTCAAATGTTTGGTATATACTGAATGATAAGACTGCTAATACATTATTAAAATGTAGAAAATTGTTACGATGTTGAAATTTTTATTGCAGAACTTCTTCAGTGGATGTTAACTCTTCACATATGTGGAAGTGGAGTATGCAATATTTCTTTCCCAAGGTTTTTGGCTAGAAATCTACCTCACTCTTCCTTTTCATTCCACAGAGAATTTTGCAGGACTAGGGTTCCATGGAACCCCCTTTGGGAAATACTCAGCTAACACACTTTCTGTTAACTCTCTCCCCTTTCGATGGTGGGAACCGTGGCTCCACTTCCTTGTTGTATCTTCCTGCCCATTCACCCCTCGTCCTAGCCTTGGGACCCAGAGTCATTCATTAAATATTTCTTCGCACAGACTCAGTGGCTGGGCACTGTCAGCTACCCATCAAAACCTCAGTGGCCTCTTAAAGAACATTCTGCAGTTGGCAATTCCATGGTTGGCCCTGGTAACCACAGCTTCCCTCTGAGCACAGCATCCTCTCCAGCCCTGACAGCATCCAGGCCCTGCCCCCCCGGTTGCTGAAATGCCAAGGTTCTGAGAAGCCTTATCAAAAACAATCATCCTTTTCAGTGGGTTGTTCTTAGCACTTAAACACTGCTGAATCCTTCGTGACAGCCCCTTTTATTGGCAATTAGGGGGCCCCATACCAGGGTGCACCATACTGCTGGCAGAACAGATCACAGAGGGATAATGAGCACTTTAAGCCATGTGGAAAATCAAATGGAAACAGCTTGCTTGTGGGAAGGGAAACTGAAGTTGTCTCTGGGAAGGCCTCAGAGACATCCCCAGCTCAGGGGAGGTCAGACTCCTAAAAGGGCCAAGAATAAAGATGATGACAATAGGAGATATTGACCCAGCATGCAGTATGTGCCAGCACTGCCCAAGCGTGGCACTGTTACTACAACCCTAAGAAGCAGATAGTATGATCACCATCCCCATTTTACTGATGGGGAGACTGAGGCACAGAGCACCTGCCAATGTTCATGGAGCCAGTTACCAGGATGGGAGCACAGACAGTGTGGCCCAGAGGCCATGCTCTAACCACTGTACACTATGCATGCAGTTATTCTATTCAGTCAAGTAAACTGAACCCACTGCAGAGATTTCCATAAAGCAGGAACGTATCCCTCCCCTGCAAGCATCTGTATTCTCCACACCTATCTTTGTTAATGATTGGGAAGGCAGTGCTGGTGGAGGAAGTGCATCATCTGCAGTGAAGAGAGAGGGATTGTGGAATGTGAGTGGGTATGCGATGAGGCTGCGGTCTCCACACATGCATGAATGCAACAAGGTGAGAGTGAGTTGCTGTATGATAGAAAAACATACAAAGTCAGATGCAGTGAAAACAACAAATCTTCTAGCTGCTGGCTTTTCTTTATGAATACACAACTGTGCAGTGATTTTTGCTGTGCAAGTGCATATGTGGGGGCATGTGTGTAATGACAATTCCAGGCTGTGAGTGTTTAGAAACTAGGCTGAATGGGATAGGACAGCGGGAGGATGCTCTCTATTGTTGGGACAGTCATGGGGGAAGTTTCCCCTAGAGAATTCTAGGGCAGGCTGGTGTGGATTTCCCTAGCAGGCCTGCTACATCAGGTGACACTGGGGCAGAGGTGGCCAGCCCTCAGCCCCGGCCTCCTGAATGGAAACCCCCTGATACAGTGCACCCTCAGTCACTGAGCAGCTGGGCTGTGCAGGACCCAGCTCTGGGCATGAGAGAGATAAAGGTGGTGCAGTCTCCACTCCCCAAAGGACTCCCAGTCCCAGTCCACACCCTTCTCAGTGCAGGATGTCCTTCCAGATTCCATGAGGGCAAGAGGCAAGCCCGACCCTAATACGGTTCTCTCACTTCATGGACACGGGGTTCCCTGGGGAGCTAGCTGTGGGACAGGGGGTCTGGTTTGAGCTGAGAGTGGAGAAAACAGGATTCTCAGCCTGCAACCTGCTTTCTGCTTCCTGCGGCCTCATTCAGTCACTCCGGCTTTTTTTATTCTTCTTTTTTTTTTTTTTTTTTTTTTTAGTCTTGCTCTATGGCCCAGGCTGGAGTGCAGTGGTGTGATCTCAGCTTACTGCAACCTCGGCCTCCCAGGTTCAAGCGATTCTCTTGCCTCAACCTCCCGAGTTGCTGGGACTACAGGTGCAAGCCACCATACCCAGCAAATTTTTGTATTTTTATTATTATTATTATTTTTAAATTATACTTTAAGTTCTAGGGTACATGTGCACAATGCGCAGGTTTGTTATATAGGTATACATGTGCCATGTTGGTTTGCTGCACCCATTAACTCGTCATTTACGTTAGGTATTTATCCTAATGCTATCTCTCCCCCTGCCCCCCACCCCACACAGGCCCTGGGGTGTGATGTTCCCCGCCCTGTGTCCAAGTGTTCTCATTGTTCAGTTCCCACCTATGAGTGAGAACGTGTGGTGTTTGGTTTTCTGTCCTTGTGATAGTTTGCTCAGAATGATGGTTTCCAGCTGAATCCATGTCCCTGCAAAGGACATGAACTCATCCTTTTTTATGGTTGCATAGTATTCCATGGTATACATGTGCCACATTTTCTTAATCCAGTCTATCACTGGTAGACATTTGGGTTGGTTCCAAGTCTTTGCTATTGTGAATAGTGCCGCAACAAACATACGTGTGCATGTGTCTTTATAGTAGCATGATTTATAATCCTTTGGGTATATACCCAGTAATGGGATGGCTGGGTCAAATGGTATTTCTAGTTCTAGATCCTTGAGGAATCACCACACTGTCTTCCACAATGGTTGAACTAGTTTATGCTCCCACCAACAGTGTAAAAGTGTTCCTATTTCTCCACATCCTCTCCAGCATCTGTTATTTCCTGACTTTTTAATGATTGTCATTCTAACTGGTGTGAGATGGTATCTCATTGTGGTTTTGATCTGCATTTCTCTGATGGCCAGTGATGATGAGCATTTTTTCATGTGTCTTTTGGCTGCATAAATATCTTCTTTTGAGAAGCGTCTGTTCATATCCTTTGCCCATTTTTTGATGGGGTTGTTTTTTTTCTTGTAAATTTGTTTAAGTTCTTTGTAGATTCTGAATATTAGCCCTTTGTCAGATGGGTAGATTGTAAAAATTTTCTCCCATTCTGTAGGTTGCCTATTCACTCTTATGGTAGTTTCTTTTGCTGTGCAGAAGCTCTTTAGTTTAGTTAGATCCCATTTGTCTATTTTAGCTTTTGTTGCCATCACTTTTGGTGTTTTAGTCATGAAGTCCTTGCCCATGCCTATGTCCTGAATGGTATTGCCTAGGTTTTCTTCTAGGGTTTTTATGGTTTTAGGTCTAACATTTAAGTCTTTAATCCATCTTGAATTAATTTTTGTATAAGGTGTAAGGAAGGGATCCAGTTTCAGCTTTCTCCATATGGCTAGCCAGTTTTCCCAGCACCATTTATTAAATAGGGAATCCTTTCCCCATTTCCTGTTTTTGTCAGGTTTGTCAAAGATCAGATGGTTGTAGATGTGTGGTGTTATTTCTGAGGCCTCTGTTATGTTCCATTGGTCTAGCTCTCTGTTTTGGTACCAGTGCAATGCTGTTTTGGTTACTGTAGCCTTGCAGCATAGTTTGAAGTCAGGTCGCGTGATGCCTCCAGCTTTGTTCTTTTTGCTTAGGATTGTCTTGGCAATGCGGGCTCTTTTTTGGTTCCATATGAACTTTAAAGTAGTTTTTTCCAATTCTGTGAAGAAAGTCATTGGTAGCTTGATGGGGATGGCATTGAATCTATAAATTACCTTGGGCAGTATGGCTATTTTCATGATATTGATTCTTCCTATCCATGAGCATAGAATGTTCTTCCATTTGTTTGTGTCCTCTTTTATTTCATTGAGTAGTGGTTTGTAGTTCTCCTTGAAGAGGTCCTTCACATTCCTTATAAGTTGGATTCCTAGGTATTTTATTCTCTTTGTAGCAATTGTGAATGGGAGTTCACTCACGATTTGGCTCTCTGTTTGTTATTGGTGTATAGGAATGCTTGTGATTTTTGCACATTGATTTTGTATCCTGAGACTTTGCTGAAGTTCCTTATCAGCTTAAGGAGATTTTGGGCTGAGACGATGGGGTTTTCTAAGTATACAATCATGTCATCTGCAAACAGGGATAATTTGATTTCCTCTTTTCCTCATTGAATACCCTTTATTTCTTTCTCTTGCCTGAGTGCCCTGGCCAGAACTTCCAATACTACGTTGAATAGGAGTGGTGAGAGAGGGCATCCCTGTCTTGTGCCAGTTTTCAAAGGGAATGCTTCCAGTTTTTGCCCATTCAGTATGATATTGGCTGTGGGTTTGTCATAGATAGCTCTAATTATTTTGAGATACATCCCATCAATACCTAGTTTATTGAGAATTTTTAGCATGAAGGGCTGTTGAATTTTGTCAAAGGCCTTTTCTGCATCTATTGAGATAATCATGTGGTTTTTGTCGTTGGTTTTGTTTATGTGATGGATTACATTTATTGATTTGCATATGTTGAACCAGCCTTGCATCCCAGGGATGAAGCCCACTTGATCATGGTGGATAAGCTTTTTGATATGCTGCTGGATTCAGTTTGCCAGTATTTTATTGAGGATTTTCACATCGATGTTCATCAGGGATATTGGTCTAAAATTCTTTTTTTGTCGTGTCTCTGCCGGGCTTTGGTATCAGGATAATGCTGGCCTTATAAAATGAGTTAGAGAGGATTCCCTGTTTTTCGATTGGAATAGTTTCAGAAGGAATGGTACCAGCTCCTCTTTGTACCTCTGGTAGAATTCAGCTGTGAATCTGTCTGGCCCTGGACTTTTTTTGGTTGGTAGGCTATTCATTATTGCCTCAATTTGAGAGCCTGTTATTGGTCTATTCAGAGATTCAGCTTCTTCCTGGTTTAGTCTTGGGAGGGTGTATGTGTCCAGGAATTTATCCATTTCTTCTAGATTTTCTAGTTTATTTGTGTAGAGGTGTTTATGGTATTCTCTGATGGTAGTTTGTATTTCTGTGGGATCAGTGGTGATATCCCCTTTATCATTTTTTATTGCATCTATTTGATTCTTCTCTCTTTTCTTCTTTATTAGTCTTGCTAGCAGTCTATCAATTTTGTTGATCTTTTCAAAAAACCAGCTCCTGGATTCATTGATTTTTTGAAGGGTTTTTTGCGTCTCTATCTCCTTCAGTTCTGCTCTGATCTTAGTTATTTCTTGCCTTCTGCTAGCTTTTGAATGTGTTTGCTCTTGCTTCTCTAGTTCTTTTAATTGTGATGTTAGGGTGTCGATTTTAGATCTTTGTCAATTTTAGATCTTTCCTGCTTTCTCTTGTGGGCATTTAGTGCTATAAATTTCCCTCTACACACTGCTTTAAATGTGTCCGAGGGATTCTGGTACGTTGTGTCTTTGTTCTCACTGGTTTCAAAGAACATCTTTATTTCTGCCTTCATTTTGTTATTTACCCAGTAGTCATTCAGGAGCAGGTTGTTCAGTTTCTGTGTAGTTGTGTGGTTTTGAGTGAGTTTCTTAATCCTGAGTGCTAATTTGATTGCACTGTGGTCTGAGAGACAGTTTGTTGTGATTTCTGTTCTTTCACATTTGCTGAGGAGTGCTTTACTTCCAACTAAGTGGTCAATTTTGGAATAAGTGCGATGTGGTGCTGAGAAGAATGTATATTCTGTTGACTTGGGGTGGCGAGTTCTGTAGATGTCTATTAGGTCTGCTTGGTGCAGAGCTAAGCTCAAGTCCTGGATATCCTTGTTAACCTTCTGTCTCGTTGATCTGTCTAATATTGACAGTGCGGTGTTAAAGTCTCCCGTTATTATTGTGTGGGAGTCTAAGTGGGAGTCTACTGTGTGCTCCTGTATTAGGGCCATACATGTTTAGGTTAGCTAGCTCTTCTTGAATTGATCTCTTTACCGTTATGTAATGGCCTTCTTTGTCTCTTTTGATCTTTGTTGGTTTAAAGTCTGTTTTATCAGAGACTAGGATTGCAACCCCTGCCTTTTTTTGTTTTCCATTTGCTTGATAGATCTTCCTCCATCCCTTTATTTTGAGCATATGTGTGTCTCTGCACGTGAGATGGGTCTCCTGAATACAGCACACTGATGGGTTTTGACTCTTTATCCAATTTGCCAGTCTGTGTCTTTTAATTGGGGCATTTAGCTCATTTACATTCAAGGTTAATATTGTTATGTGTGAATTTGATCCTGTCATTATGATGTTAGCTGGTTATTTTGCCCGTTAATTGATGCAGTTTCTTCCTAGCCTCGATGGTCTTTAGAATTTGGCATGTTTTTGCAGTGGCTGGTACTGGGTGTTCCTTTCCACGTTTAGTGCTTCCTTCAGGAGCTCCTGTAAGGCAGGCCTGGTGGTGACAAAATCTCTCAGCATTTGCTTGTCTGTGAAGGGTTTTATTTCTCCTTCTCTTGTGAAGCTTAGTTTGGCTGGATGTGAAATTCTCGGTTGAAAATTCTCTTTTTTTTTTGAAAATTCTTTTCTTTAAGAATGTTGAATATTGGCCTCCACTCTCTTCTGGCTTGTAGAGTTTCTGCCAAGAGATCTGCTGTTAGTCTGATGGGCTTTCTTTCGTGGGTAACCCGACCTTTCTCTATGGCTGCCCTTAACATTTTTTCCTTCGTTTCAACCTTGGTGAATCTGACAATTTTGTGTCTTAGGGTTGCTCTTCTCAAGGAGTATCTTTATGGTGTTCTCTGTATTTCCTGAATTTGAATGTTGGCCTGCCTTGCTAGGTTGGGGAAGTTCTCCTGGATAATATCCTGAAGAGTGTTTTCCAACTTGGTTCTCCCTTTTGCTTTCAGGTACACCAATCAAACATAGATTTGGTCTTTTCACATAGTCCTATATTTCTTGGAGGCTTTGTTTGTTTCTTTTTATTCTTTTTTCTCTAAACTTCTCTTCTCACTTTATTTCATTGATTTGATCTTCAATCACTGATATCCTTTGTTACACTTGATCAAATTGACTATTAAAGCTTGTGCATGCGTCACGAGTTCTCATGCCATGGTTTTCAGCTCCATCAGGTCATTTAAGGTCTTCTCCACACTCTTTATTCTAGTTAGCCATTTGTCTAATCTTTTTTCAAGGGTTTTAGCTTCCTTATGATGGGTTCAAACATCCTCCTTTAGCTAGGAGAAGTTTGTTATTACCGACCTTCTGAAGCCTACTTCTGTCAGCTCATCAAAGTCATTCTCCATCCAGCTTTGTTCCATTGCTGGCGAGGAGCTGCAATCCTTTGGAGGAGAAGAGGCGCTCTTGTTTTTAGAATTTTCAGCTTTTCTGCTCTGGTTTCTCCCTATCTTTGTGGTTTTATCTAACTTTGGTCTTTGACGTTGGTGACCTACAGATGGGGCTTTGGTGTGGATGTCCTTTTTGTTGATGTTGATGCTATTCCTTTCTGTGTGTTAGTTTTCCTTCTAACAGTCAGGTCCCTCAGGTGCAGGTCTGTTGGAGTTTGCTGGACGTCCACTCCAGACCCTGTTTGCCTGGGTATCACTAGTGGACACTGCAGAACAGCAAATATTGCAGAACAGCAAATACTGCTGCCTGATCATTCCTCTGGAAGCTTTGTCCCAGAGGTGCACCTGCCTGTATGAGGTGTCAGTCGGCCCCTACTGGGAGGTGTTTCCCAGTTAGGCTATACAAGGGTCAGGGACCCACTTGAGGAGGCAGTCTGTCCATTCTCCGAGCTCAAACACCATGCTGGGAGAACCACTGCTCTCTTCAGAGCTGTCAGACAGGGATGTTTAAGTCTGCAGAAGTTTCTGCTGCCTTTTGTTCAGCTATGCGCTGCCCCCAGAGGTGGAGTCTACAGAGGCAACAGGCCTTGCTGAGCTATGGTTGGCTCTGCCCAGTTCGAGCTTCCCCAGCTGCTCTGTTTACCTACTCAAGCGTCAGCAATGGCAGACGCCCCTCCCCCTCCAGGCTGCTGCCTCACAGGTCAATGTTAGACTGCTGCGCTAGCAGTGAGTAAGGCTCTATGGGCATGGGACCCGCTGAGCCAGCTGCAGGATATAATCTGGTGTGCCATTTGCTAAGACTATTGGAAAAGTGCAGTATTTGGGTGGGAGTGTCCCATTTTTCCAGGTACCATCTGTCATGGCTTCCCTTAGCTAGGAAAGGGAAATCCCCTGACCCCTTGTGCTTCTCGGGTGACGCAATGCCCCACCCAGCTTCAGCTTGCCTTCTGTGGGCTGCGTCCACTGTCCAACCAGTCCCAGTGAGATGAACCAGGTGCCTCAGTTGGAAATGCAGAAGTCACCTGTCTTCTGCATCAATCATGCTGGGAGCTGCAGACCAGAGCTGTTCCTATTTGGCCATCTTGGAATGGGTCCATGAGCAATTTTTGTATTTTTAGTAGAGACAGGGTTTCACCATGTTGGCCAGGCTGGTCTTGAACTCCTGACCTCAGGTGATCCACCCGCCTCAGCCTCCCAAAGTGCTGGGATCACAGGCGTGAGCCACCACGCCCAGCCTCACTCTGGCTTTTTGGACCTGTGTTTCCTCACTGGTCCCACGACTACATGGACTACATTGGTGACTCTATATTGGAATATATGAGAGACACTATGAGGGCTTTTACATTACATGAAATGTTCTGGACCAGAGGACCCCAGACTCATCTCCTGGGCCAAAACAGAGGCTTCCTATGGGCCAGATCTGAAACTCCTCTCAGGCCCAAACTAAAGCAGACTTTGAGAATGGTTGAATCTTCTCAGAGAGCAACTGAGGGGGAAAGCACAGGGGGAGGTGTCAGGGGGCAGAACCCAAAGAGAAACAGGCCTATCATGGCAACACCATGTGTGTGTTTGTGTGTGTGTGTGCGTGTGTGTGTGTGTGTGTGTTCAGAACGAAGGACGGCACCCCAGACACAGCTGGGAAAGGGGGAAATAGACCCCCAAGGGGCCTTTGAAGCAGGAGAACAGCAGGGCAGAGCCCAGCAGAGACAGCTTTCTGGGTGGCACTAAAGCTGAGTCTGGGAGAGGGAAAGGCCATTCCTTTCATGCTGGGACATCTGTGTCTGTCTGTCCATCCTGTCTTTTCCCCCATGCTCCCTTTTTCTTTGAATTAAGACCCAAAGGCCAGAGAGAGATAGGAGACAATGATAATGCCTGTGGCCAAGTATATTTCTCCTAGGCCAACCCTCTGCCCACTCTCAGCTAATTAAGGTTGTGATTTAGGTTTTAAATGGACCATGCTATTTGAGCCTGTCCTGGACAGGGCCACACCAGAGGCCATTTCTGTCTGGCTGCCTGTCCAAAACCTGCTGAAATAATGGGATCCTCCTCAACTGTCCCCAGCTCCTGCCAGGGAAAGGCTTCCAGGAGATGGGGAAAATCAACACCCCCCATTCCAACACCATCCCATCCTCCAAGGTTGCCTCACAGGGAGGCCTTCTTTGAACTCCCCAGGCCCCAAAGTTCTGTCCTTTTCTGCCAGTACCAGACTCAGAACTACAGAAGGTCATGACAGGAGAGGCTGAGAGCTCATCTGGTCTGGGGGGTGACCTAGGAGTCCTGCAGAGATGTTCTAAGAGCCATGAGGTGGGCGGGTGGGGGAGAAAGCAGGCAGGGCTCCTCCCCTTGCCCCCTAAAAACAGTTCTATCCCTTTCCTGTTTCTATGTGGAATCTCCATGTAAGGTTCTGAGGAAATAGAAATACTTTTTACAAATTACTTTTTGTATTTTGTAAATTACACTTTTTATACTTTTTACAAATTACACTTTTTATTTTTAGGTGGTTGTAGATTCATACATACTTGTAAAAAATAATACAAAGAGACCTCTTGTGCCCTATACGCAGTTTCCCTCCATGGGGAAAGTATAGTTCAATGCCACAATGTAACTTGTCTCTTCATCCTCTTAATACGATCCTTCCCAGAGCAAAAGTTTAATTATGATGAAGTCCAACTCAGCATCTCCGGGTATCAACATTGATACAGTGGAGACACAGAACACTCCCACCATCACAAGGCTGCCCCTTATAGCCACATCCACTTTCCTCCTGCCCCTACCCCTTCCCTCATCCTGGCAACCACAAACCTCTTCCCCGTTTCTATTACTTTGCCCTCTCAAGAATGTTATATAAATGGAATTGCAGAGTATGCGACTTTGGAGGACTGGCTTTTTGAAAATCACTCAGCATGATTTCCAGAGACTCCTCCAGGCTGCTGCATCATCAGGCATTCATTCCTTCTCATTGCTGAGTGTTTAACCATTCATCTGCTGAAGATCACCTGAGCTGCTTCCAGGTTTCTGTGTATTGTGAACAAAGCTGCTACAAACAGTTGAGTACAAGTTTTTGTGTGAACATAAGTTTTCATTGCTCTGGGATAAACACCCAGGAGTGCAATTGCTCAATCAAATCATATGGTACTTGCAGGTTTCGTTTTTTTTTTTTTTTTTTTTTTTTGAAACTGCCAAACTGTTTTCCAGAATGGCTATACCATTCTACATCCCTACTCCTACTGCAGGAGTGATCCAGTTTCTCTGCATTCTCACCAGCATTGGACGCTGTCATTTAGTTTTTCTTTCCTTTTTGTTTTTATTTTATTTTCTTTTTTTTTTTTGAGACAGGGTCTCGCTGTTACCCAGGCTGAAGTACAGTGGTTTGATCACAGCTCACCGCAACCTCCACCTCCCAGGCTCAAGTGATCCTCCTACCTCAGCCTTCCGAGCAGCTGGAACCACAGGTATGTGCCACTATGCCCAGCTAATGCTTGTATTTTTTGTTGAGACGGTGTTTCACCATGTTGCCCAGGCTGGTCTCGAACTCCTGGCCTTAGGCAATCCACCCGCCTCGGCCTCCCAGAGTGTTAAGATTACAGGCATGAGCCACCGCTCTTGGCCGTCACTTTTTTTTTTTTAATGCTGCCAAGTTGAAGTGGACATTGTCACTTTAAAAAAAATTATTTTAACCATTCTGATTGGAGTATAGTGATGTCTTGTTGGGGTTTTATTTGCGTCTCCGTCATGGCTAATGATGTTGCATATTTTTTGTGTGCTTATCTGCCATCTGTACATCACCTTCAGGGAAAAACGTCTTCAGTGAAAAATGTCACTTTATTTTGTCCATTTTCTAATTGGATTGTTTTTTAATGATGAGTTTTGAGAGTTCTTTATATATTCTAAATACGAGCCGTTTGTCAGATATGTTTTGCAAATATTTTCTCCCTCTCTGTAACTTGTCTCTTCATCCTCTTAATAGGGTCCTTCCCAGAGCAAAAATTTAATGATGATAAAGTCCAATTTAGCATCTCAGTGTTAACATCCATTGATTATTTCAGTTTGTTTGTGATATGACAAACAATTTTTAATTGAAACCAGGACATTTTCATGTTAGCTCATGAGAGAGTCATATTTAAACCTCCTGCTTTAACTCGTGTTTCATGGTACCACTCTGGCAGGGGAAAAGGGCAGGGGACAGCCTCATTATTGCCAGGTGGAAGTGGAAGTCCAGGTTGCCCACTCAACCTCCTCCGACGCCGCAGGGGTGCTTGCTGTCACCGCTGGGTGGAGGTGGGAGTTCCGGATCCCCATGTGGTCCCCTCTGACATGCAGTGGGGCTGGCCTCATCATCCCTGGGAGTCTATGAAGTCTGACTCACTATTTCTGACACCACCCCAGCAGGAAGGAGAGGGACACCTCGATACTGCCCAGTGGGGGTGCAAGTCAGGTTCCTGCTGTCTCCAGTGACACCATGGGGCGTGGGTAGGAGCCTTCTCACCAGTTGGCGGGGACGAAAGTCACAGCTCCCCACTGGCCTTCTCTGACACTACTCTGGTAGGGGGTTGGAGCCCCTCTGATAGCCCAGCAGGGGTGGGATCTGAGCTCCCACTTGGTCTTGGCTGGGATGGATGGGGGTGGGGATGTGTTCTGTGGTGTTTGGCTGGGGTACAGCAGTGACAGTCGAAAAGTTTTTTGTTTTGCTAGATCTTTTCCTATCATTTTCCTTCTTCTCTATCCTATCTTTTTCTCTTTTCTTAGTCCGTTTCCTGTAGAGAGCAGCTTTTTATTGGGATTTTTTTTTTTTTTTGCCTGTGTCCATTAGCATTTCCTAGTGCCAAGTATGGGACACATGAGGCAAAAAGAAAACAAGCTCCTCGCTGTGTCGTTCCTCAGGTTCTGGGCACCCTAGCAGGTCTGCCTTCTTCCCTCCACCTCTCCGAGTCTTCTTACGTTCATTTTATACAGAATGTCTTGGGTTTTTAGTTGTATTTAGCAGGAGAAATATAGATAAGAACATCTATTGCATTTTCCAGAAGCAGAAGTTTAGGTCTATATTTTCAACAAGACATTTTGATGGCCTTACATCTAGTTCACCTCCTCATTTTATAGAGCAGAAACTGAGGCTGCAGTGAGATAATGTATCTTATCCACGATCCAATAGTAAGTTTGGATCCAATAGTAAGTTGGAAGCACAGCCCAGGCTGAAAGCACATCTCCTAAACCCAGGTGCAATGCTGCTTCCGCGACATCATGGCGGCTCCCACTTTGCCTGTATGTCTCACCTCTCCTGCTACAATGCAAGGCCCTGTGCGGACACCAGCCTACTCCTCCCCATACTCACATGCTGCCATCTCCTCCAGAATAGCTTATTTCCCTAAGCAGATTCCAGCTTCCCTGAGTGCAGAGACCAGGCCATGTGGCTCAGAATGTATACAGCAAGCACCCAATGCATGGCTGCTGATGGTTCTCCCTATAGGAGCTAGTTGTCAGCATTGTTTAGTAAGTGTGGCATCCTGTTCCTCCAAGTGAGCTGGAGCCAGAAGGCACTTTGAGGATGAGGACAGATGGCATTTTCTGAAAGACAGACATACACGCTGGTGAGCACAGAGGTTGTGCCATGTTTGTTTCTGGGAGGAATGTTAAGGGGAATCACAGCGCACACTTCTAGTGCTCCTGGGCATGTGACCCAGGCCCGAAGGACCACTGTGTCATGTCCCAGACATCTTCTCACTGCAGCTTCAGCATCTGTTCTCTCCACTCTACCCTCCATGCAAACAGCCACCATGGCTATGTTCCTCACCATCCCAGTGCCCAGTGCCCAACCTGGAGTACAGCAGCCCTCAGTGATGACTGGCTGATTGGAGCCGATCAATAGGTGAAAGAACAAATAAATAAACAAAGGAATGACCCAACCACAGCAAAGGCAATTCCTCATGCAGGAAAGAGGATATTTAGCTTAAAAAGACTTGCCGTGCTCGGCTGCTGAGGAAAGTAAGTAGGCAAAAGACACAAGCAAAAGAGTTAAATAAAAACCGTCAGCTGGAGCAATGAGAAGGGGGCTTGCGGCTGAATCAAAGAAAGAACTTTTTTATTAATGGAGCTGCCTAACAATATGCTGAGATGCCTTCTGAAGCAGTGAGCTCCCTGCTGCTGGAAATGCTCCCTGCTACTGGAAATCAACCTTTGCTAACATGGTGGGGACTTGGATCAGGTGACCTCTGAGCTTCCTGCCATCTGAGAGCCCATGATGTTTCAGAATTCACTGGAGGCCTTAAACTCCAGTGCATGGGAGTTTGTTGGGGCTCAGAAAACAATATCCCAAAATGAAGGCCTCAGCAGCAGCCTCAGAAGCAAAAGTCTTTCTCTGACTTTCTGCCCTCCTGCCTGTCAGTCTCACTCTCCCCTGAAGCTAGCCATAGAAGTTAGACTCCCTCTTCCCCACCACGAGAAACCACAGCCTCTTTCTCCCAAAGCCAGCCATGAAACCTAAAGATAGAGCTCTAATTCTCCCTCTGCCTTTCTTTTTAAAAACTGGCCATAAATAAATTATCTGATCTGCTTTGTTTGATTATAGGTCATGACACCCCCATTCCAGAGAGGGTCCTGCCCCAACTCAGAAGGAAGGAATGCTGCACAGACAGGCCAGGGAGAGTCTAGACAGACAGGCCTTGCTGTGTTTCCCCATTTTGTCTATTAGCATTAGATCATGCCCTTTTGGTCCAATCCCATTTCTACAACTGTCCATACTTTGTTGAACTTAACCATAAAAATAGATAATTTTCCCTGTATCTTTGGGTCTTCATTCTGCAGCCTCCCATGTATACATGTTAAATAAATGTGTATGCCTTTTCTCTTATTAATCTGCCTTTTACAAGTTGATTTTTCAGCAAATCTTCAGAGAGCTAAGCGTTACCCTAGGCCCCCACAAGTTTAATCCTTGAGTTCCATCAAGGATTTGAGGTGGTGAAGAAGAAGAGGGAAAGAAAAGTTCAGCCCCAGCCTCCGGGAAGCTGCTACTAGAGATAGGGCATGTGACAGTCATTCCAGCCAGTCACCAAATAATTCTGGTTCCCCTCATTCCAGGCACAGAGTAGCGTTGTACTTCTTAATGTGCTTATGGTTGGATGAGGCCACATGACCCGTTCTGGGTAACAAGCTCAGAGCGGAAGTGACAAGTGTTGTATCTAGGCTGGAGCACTGAACTGCCAATGCATGATCCTCCAGAGCTCCTTTTTCTCTGTCATGGCAACTGGTTAAAACGGAACTGCCCCACCAAGCTGTGCCCTGGTTGTTTAATGTTACTAAGATTTGGATTGTTTGGTTGTTGGTTGTTTAATGTTAATGTTACTGAGATTTGGGCTTGTTTGTTACTGCAGCATTATCTAGGCTATCCTGACTGATACAGGGGAACAGACTTTGCCTGTATGGAACACCAGAGAAAGATACAAGAAAAAAGTTCAAGGCACACAACAGGGGCTGGGTTGGACAGAGGTTCCAACATCTGAGCCCACACACAGACCCCTCTGCATTCACCATTCTCAGCCCCCCACTTGAGTAACACCCAATATGATCCTCCTCTAGCTGTGCTGCCTCCTAACTATTACTCTAACATCCCAACACTGTGCCCTACTCAACCTTTGCTAACATCATGTCTTCTCTCTTCATCTTCTTCTCTCTTCCCTTCCATCTAGTCAAACATCCTACCCATTCCCAAAGGCATAGGTCAGGCCTCATGTCCTGCAAGACACCTCCCTACCCACAGAGACCAACTGAACCACTCTTTGGAATCACCACAGTTCTTGTGGCCAGGATGACATCTCTTTGGGGATCTTACGTGTATGTTGTCATCTTGTTCTGTGTAAACTAGTTTTTACCCTACAAACTGGCAGTGATCCAGAAGCTCCCACTCAGACGCATCTGCTGGGCTCACAGCAGGGACTCAATAAATACGAACTAAACAGAGAGCAGCACTATGAACATATACCTGGTATTTCTTACGTATCCAAGGAAGTGCTAAAAAATGTAGGCACTTTTACTAAGATATCATTTGCACTAATTATTTTTTAAATTAGCACAGAACCAAATCCTATAATTACTGAAGGGTAGCAAGTTGACTTGCAGAAAACTCCTTCCATCTTTTTCTGGGGCCAGAGGTAATTAGTGTATTTGAGGGTCTCCTCCACCTACCATCTGTTATCCCCTGGGTCGGAGTCAATGTTGGTGCCCATATAGCTGGCCTGAAGGTTGGCAAAGGTATCAGGGGATGGGGAACAGTAGAGAAATTAGGAAGACCCAGACCTGCTGTGGCAGTGATTTGGATCCAGTTGGGTGTTTCACGGAGTTACAGAATGCAAACAGAGATTTCTGGAGAGACTCTAAGGAGTCTGTGTAGTTGTTTTTCTGAATAGGTGCTTGGAGCCAGTGTCACTCCTGGGTCAACATCTGGTTCTCCTGGAGCTTGGGACAAGGCTCTTTGACTCTCTTTATGCTTCTGTTTGCTACAGGGCGTCAGGATGAAACAAGAGAGTGCCCTTCACTTATTCCAGGGAATGTTGGGATCATAGGCCCTCAGTCAAAACTCAAAGTCATCATTTGTGACACACCCCCATCTTTCCCAGGGCTTCAGGTGAACCTGCCTGATAGGCAGTCGTGCTCATCAGGTTCCTAGCAAAGATTTCATCACCTTGCTTAACAGCCAACACGGTGGGCCAACAAGTCCTTCCGTCAAGGGAAGTCCTTCCCAAGTCTAATCAGAGGCTGTGCTGTTGTGGTGCATATTAATTTCCTGTTCTTGGCACACCTGTGCAGATGGAAAACAGCTGCTCACTCCTGACCCCATACAACCTTTCCCATGCATTTGGTTTCTTTCCTGAATTCTAAATCCCATGCCAACACCTTGAAAAGCTTTCTGAATGTACTGCTGCTGCAGTCTCTCATTTCAACAATCCCTATACATTTCCCCCATTACAATAAAAAGCTGGAAACGTCTGACGTCCTAACTAAATGACTAGGTGATGGGTGAGTCTTTTGGGAAGAGGATGCCAGGATGTCAGGCAATCCCAAATACAGCTGAATCCCAGTTGCCGGCAGCTGGTCAGCCTCTTCTGAACTATCTGTAGCCCTTTTTATGCTCTACACTCTCTGGGCTCTCTTCCTCCTCTCTCGTGGGACCCAATCTCTTCTAGGTTGCCCCCACTTTCTGCCTCTGAAAGGGTTCAGAAAAAGCAAGGTTTTCTTTTTGACATTAGCTAAAATAACAAACAGGATGAGGCTGGAAGCCTGCTGGGGATGAATCAATCATCCCAGTGTATGACTAATCTGCAAATGGGGCCACATCTGGGCCCTGGGCCCTGGTGCAGGGCATGGTCTGTGACCCACCACCCAGAGGTTGCTTGGCAGAATGCAGGACCTCTGCATCTTCCTGCCAACTCTACCTTCCTGGACATGTGCAGCCAACGTGGGCAGTCAAGAGGAGCACCAGAGCAGCCAGCCACCGCATCTCCATGTAGCCTCAGTTTCTCCCTGAAACTAATTGTCCCCACGGGTGAAAATGGGTTAGCAGTGTTCTCCCATCATCCTGATGGCCCCAGAAAGCTCATCAAAGTTGGTGTGGCAGGAGGAAAAGGGCCCACTAGGGAATGACTGCACAGACTGAGCCTGGGCCAACTCAGTGCAGTCTCAGGCATCACTATTGAGTGCCTACTGAGTACAAGGCCCTAGGCCAGAAGTGGTTGAGGAAGTAGAGCCCGCCCTGACTCCCGTCTTAGGGTTGACCAGCTGGCTGAGGCACAGGCAGGTGTGCGCGGAACAGCTTGGCAACAGCATGAGTCAGTGTGAGGGTGTCTGCCTGGGCGCGTGAGTGCAGCAAGGAGCCAGCCGGGGTGCTCATGGGTGGTGTCCCCGAGAGCTGGTCCTGTGCTCTTGCCTCTGGTGGGCCAGGCTGAAGGGAGCCTTGAAGGATGAAGGGAACAGCAGCATCCCATCAGAGTGGCACTCAGCAAAGGCACCCTTCAGTGGGCAGCTGCCTGGGTCCTCCTCCATCAGAGAGCCCCTGCATGACAGGGGTGACAAGGACACTGCCACAGGCCAGCTACATGGGGCTTTCCTTGGGGTGCCGTCACTCAAAGGAAGCCGCCCAGCTTTGATCCCTCCAGTAGGGGGCAACAGGAGATGGCTGCTTCGTGGGCAGAAATCAGAGTTTCCTGGGAAGGAAACCCAGGTGGGTGTCCCCACGGGCAGATGCATGGACGTGGGTATGAGCCACCATGGGCCACGTGGCCAAGGGCAACACTCTAGAGAGGGTAGAGCAGTGAGAAGCAAGGATCCGGCCCCCACACTGTTGGGCTACCACACCAGCCCCAAACGCCCATCCAGGCTGGTGGCAAGAGAAAAATAAAGATTCCTCTTGTTTATGCCACCCTGTTGTTTGTACCTAATAAATTCAGTCTCTGATGTCTAAAAATAAAGCCTGTCATCACTGAACCAAGGTGCTGCCAACCACAGGAGACCTCGTGTAAATTCAGGCCCACAGATGCTCCTGCCTCCCCCTGCAGCACCCAGGTCTGAACCTTGGCCATCCATCCAGGAGGTGCAACTCCCCCTCACCTCCTCTGTGCACCTGCCCAGGTTTCTGAACTCCAGGCTGCCCCCTGGGCCCCATCTCATGCCGTGCAGGGTGCATTTTTTTACACCTGTGTCTTGTCCTTCCCACTTAGCAGTGACGCCCTTGAAGGCAGGTCCCTGGCTTCAAGCCCACCGGGAGCTCAGCACCAGGTCCCTGCAAACACTCCTGGTTGACAAACCTCTAAGAAATCGCTCCTGAAAGACCCTCTCCAACCTTCAGAGGTTTCCGTGGCTGTAAGCAATTTCATACAGCACAGGTGGTGCATCCCACGCCAGACTCAGGCAAACCCAGCATTCTGACTGAGCCTTCCCTTCCGTCCCAGCCGGCTCTCCAGGCATGGGCGTCGCAGACTCTGCACCCAAGACCAACACGGCACCAGGCACACATGTCTGTGGCAGGGGGTGTCCCTCAGTGGCCCAGCCCCTCTTCCACTTCTCGGAAGTAGACATCTCTCCCTCTTCCCTCTGAGAT
The DNA here is from genome assembly GCF_000001405.40 of Homo sapiens. Taxonomy (NCBI): domain Eukaryota; kingdom Metazoa; phylum Chordata; class Mammalia; order Primates; family Hominidae; genus Homo; species Homo sapiens. The sequence continues at coordinate 48,638,990 of NC_000018.10, read as the reverse complement.
GATCAGTCGGCCACCGCAGGTCAGGGGTGATGGGAATGCCAGTGCCCCTAAGGCCTGTAGGAGGTCCCTCCCACAAAACCTTGCCTCTGGGCATGTCAGGTGATTAGGTGGGGTTCTATGCAGAGACCCTGTCCTCCACCCTCCTTGGGCTCCTCCCCTGTAATGAAGCTACGTCTCAGTTCCACCTGTCAAGAAAGGATTTAATATGAGCTTTTCACAACTTCACTTTTAAGTTGAGTTATATTTCGTTTTGTCAAACACTGCGTACCCCGAGTCAACTGCTCAGCTGCTTCTTGAAGGTGAGATTGGGGTGAGCTGCTCCTTGCGGTGTTAGGGTGCCTGGAGCAGGGACAAGCCCATACCTAACCCCACTCCACAAGCCCCCAGCCCTGCTCCATGGGCCCATATTATCTGGCGAACCCCTACATGACCTCCTGCAGGTGGGGAAGGCAGACCCGAGAGGACAGCTGGGTGCGGGAGGTGAGGCAGATGAGGGGAGAAAGGGGGTAGAACACTTCCTGAACCCCTGGAGACCCTATCAGGAGTGATGTGGAGAAGGGGACCAGAGGGGAAAGACAGCAGACAAGCCCCCAGAAAGATGGTAAAGAGGAGAGGAAAAAGGACTCTTCATTGGAACATTCCAGAACCAGACACCTGCTGACCAAACAGCAGAGAGCTCTCAGTGACAAACCTCTTATTTCCCATCCAAGAGCTTCAAGCACTTCCTGAAAGCCTCTCTCTGGTGCTTGAGTCCCCAAATCCAAGTTCACCATTGCTGCTGAAGAGTGAGGGGAATCTCCTTTTAGGAGACCCCAGAATAACTGGCAGGAGCTAGAGACAGTGCCCCTGAGGAGCAGGGCCTAGACCAAAAGCTAGGGGGTCAGGGAGCATAACATGGGGTCCCAGGCAGGGAGGCAGCAGAGACAGAGGCACCCCCTAGAAGGCCACCTCCTGCAGTTGGGCAAGGTAGCAGTGCCGTATGGGGAGGAGGGCAGACAAGTGGCACCTCCGTGGGACTCAGTTTCCTCATCTGCAAATGGCACGGAGATGTTAGAAGGACCCTCAGAGGCCGTCGAGGCTCCTTCTGGGTTTTATGTGAGGAAGCTGAGACCCAAGAAGGAAGAGTTTGCCACCAAGTTTGCGGCAGAACAAAAACGAGACTCCAGGTCTCCCATCACCCCCCACCCCCGGGGCTCTTATTATGGCCTCCTTCTTAAGAAACAAGACGTACAAGCACATTTTGTCACGTGAAAGAACCATCCTGGGCAGCCGTCCCTCCACACCATGGGGCAGCCACGCCCTACAGCCTAAGAAAGATCTAGAACCAAGGCCACTGACCAGCTTCTCTCGGGACAGAATAGAGGAGTTGGGTGAATCTGCCAGGAGACCGAAGCTGAACATGATTAAGTGGACTGAAGCTGAACATGAGCAAGCAGGCCCAGGGCAACCCATGACTGCAGCGGCTCTGAAACCAGGCATGGCCCCTCGCAGGAGCCTGCAGGGGCTCCCTCCGCTTTCCAGACAGGCATAGTCGGAGGCTGGACTCGGGATGGGGACACATGTTTTTTTCAGCCTCTAATCCCACAGGCTCCTGCAGGCAGGGATGAGGTATCAGTGAGAACAGCTGGACCACCATAGGGTTTGGTGGAGGGCCAGGGGGTCACCAGGGCAGCTCTCAAAGAGCAGCAGCTGCCTCCCTTCCCTCCCAGCCATGCAACCCACCCACAAGCCTCTCAGGACCTCACCGCAAGCAGCAGGGAGAAAGGTGGCAGGCTCTGGCGGGGTCCCAGGACTGTTGGTTGGCTGGGGGGATGGACAGGTCTCTGACAGCTCCCCCACAGGCTGCCCCTCCCAGGCCTTCTGCAGATCTGGAGCAGAAGTGATATCCAAAGCACCCACCAGCATCAAAATGCCGAGTCCCATTGTTTGTGGGGCTGCAATGTCGGTACCTGAACCCTCAGTGCAGTCATTTGAGAGCCGTGTAATATTCCACTGTAAGGATGGATCCCAAGGCACCTCTCCATTCCCCTCAGTGAACATCTGGGCTGCTTCCAGATATGTGTTAATATATAGAACGCAGCTACTAAAAAGAAATCTCATCAATCGATGAGTTTGGGGGAGTGGGAGCTTCCCTGTGGGCAGGGAGTTAGGGAGGGCTTTCCAGGGAACAGATGCCCCCTCCCCTCTCCCACCTCTCTGCACTCTCCATGTCACCACTCCTCAGGAGCCACTGTGGGCCGGCCCAGGAACCCAGGCAGACAAGACATAGGACACCCCCAGACAGAGCGCAGAGCTGGTTCCCTACCTGCTGTGGGGGGGCTCGCCCTCGGGAGAAGGAACAGCTGCTGTCCAGCGGTTCGCTGCAGTCCGCTGTCCACTGCAGAACAGAAAGGAGCGATCAGTGACGGCAGGACAGCCAGGCCCATGCTCACTCTGCCAGGCTGCAGGAGTTGTGCCCTGGCCTTCCCCATTAGCATGACTGTGGAATCCTATTTGGCCATTTCAATGCAAATCTTTCTCAACCATCAGACCCAATTTGGCATCATCAAGCTCCACATCAAGATGAAGCTTTGGTGTCCGCTTGGGGGAGGCAAACTCACTTCCCTTCACCTGAGCCCAGCACAGTGACAAAGACTGGCTATATCCCAAAGTCAGCCAGATATGACAAAACTTATTCTGAGTTTGGTACAACCAGCACCATGTTTGACCGCCTGACCTGGCTTCAGCCACACTAACCCTCTATTACATCACGGGTGTGGCCAGAGATGGCAGTGAGGCAGGTATGTATTGGTCTTCCTAGAAGCCTAGCTCCAAAAGATGATGGGTTTGGCACCAGGAAAGAGCCCAACCTGGCTATTAGAAGCATGGCTCAGACAAGCCCTGCCACTCACATCCCCTGAGAACTCAGAGGGCTGCTGTGTCCCAAAGTGTGGTCTGACAACCATCTGCACGAGAGTCCCCAGAGTCTGCAACATGGAGGTCCCTGGGCCCCAGGCTTTACCCACTGAATTAGACTCTGTGAGGCCAGGGCCAGAGGATCAGCATTTTGACGAGCTCCCCAAGGGATGCATTGGGAGTCTGGGAGCCACAGAAATCCATGTGATCTCTCAGGCTTCATTCTGTCATCTATAAAATGAGGAGAGCCATGCTGGGTGACTGGCTGGGAGGCTGGGATGAAAGACCTTTGTGAGCTATAAAAACACTGTATAGATACAATGCAGTAGCAGTCATATAGCCCTTCCTGTCAAATGCTATCCAGGTATATGATAGTGTTTTTACTATTGTATTAAACATTAGGTAGCCTCCGGAGCTGAAGTTGTTGAATATTGACCTTAACCTACACCCTGCATGATACATAAAGAGCAGAGGAGGGCCAGGCAGCTCACACCTATAATCCAGCACTTTGGGAGGCCAAGACAGGAGATCACTTGAACCCAGGAGTCTGAGACCAGCCTGGGCAACATAGAGACACCTTGTCCCTACTAAAACAAAAGCAAAAACTAGCCAGCTATGGTGGCATGCACCTGCTGTCCTAGCTACTTGGGAGGCTGAGGCTGGAGGATTGCTTAAGCCCAGGAATTTAAGGTTGCAGTGAGCTGTGGTCGTGCCAATGCACAATGCTCTTGGGTGACAGAGTGAGCCTCAAAAAAAAAAAAAAAAAAAGAAAGAAAAAGAAAAAGAAAAAGAAAAAAAAGAAAAAGCAGAGGGAAGCCCAGTCTCTGTATGTTTGATGACATGGTCAGAGCTGTGAGTGTGTGCCAGTGCAGTCCTGGCTTTCTAAAACCTTGGCTGGACATGCCCTCCTGAGCATGGCTCAAGGGTATGACCTTTGTCCAGGATGGATGTTATTCTTACAATGTTGTTGACATAGGCTGGGTAGAAGTGTACCCTAGAGCAGCACTATCCAACTGAAACAAAATGAGAGCCACACACAGAAACCACAGGCGGAATTTTAAATTTTCTAGTAGCCAAATTTTTAAAAGAAACAGGTAAAATTAAATGAAATAATATATTATATTTAATCTAATACATCAAAATATTATCACTTCAACAGGTAATCAATATGAAAAGTTGTTAATGAGATATTTTACATTCTTCTTTCCATTCCGTGTTAGAAATCCACTTAGAGCACACCTCAGTTTGGATGAGCCACATTTCAAGAGCCATGCGTGGCCTGTGGCTACCATAAGGGTCAGTGGAGCCCTAGAGAAGTGGCAACGGTGTCAGAGGCACTCCTTGCCCATCCCCACTATACTGCAGAGGGGCTGACCCCTGCGGACCACAATTCCCAGGCTCCCACGTCAGCTGGCTTCTGGCTGGGCTTGGCCAATGGGAGACAGGAAGAGGGCATTTCTCCCATCTCTCTATGCCTCAGGCAGCATTACCAGCAGTGCCTGGGTCTCCTTCCTGGCTCCAGCCTCACCAGACAGGCTTCTATGCATGACCGGGAACCCTGGACTCTGGCAACACCTTCTTTCTTTGAGCCTCAGGTCAAGAGTTGGTACTAGCTACCTGAGGTTGCCATTTTCTGGGCTGTGGAGCTTCTCAGGTAGGAGTAATCAATTCTTTGTATTAAATTCCCTCTGCTTGGATCATTGCAGTCTCAAAGTATTTCCCCCAAGATATTTATTAATTGTGGCTGTCAGTGGGGAGAGAAAAATGAGAAACCATCAGATGCCACTTTAGCCAAGTGATCAAGGTTAATATCACCAGTAACAAAACATATCTGCATCATGGACTCCCCAGTGTGGTGCATCGAGACGGGCACATCACTTCTGGGGTATTCTTGACAAAATGCACCCTCTCGACATAATCATGAGAAAACATCACGCCACCCAAATTAATGAGCTTTCTACAGAAGCATTGACCAGAACTCTTCAAAAGTGTCAAGGTTGTAAAAGAAAAGAGAAGACAAAATATCAGATTGGAAGGGAAAGAGGAGATGTGGCAATTACATGCAAATTTGGATCCTGGAACAGGAAAAGGACGTTCGTGGAACAACTGGTGAAATCTGAATAAAGCCTCTAGTTAAGAGCATTGTACCAATGTTAATTTCCTGCTTCTGATAATGGTTCTATAGTTATGTAAGGTGTTCATATTACGGCAAGGTGAGTGACAAGTGTTTGGGAACACCCTGTTCCATTCTGCACCTTGGCTATAAGTCTAAAATAATTCCAAAACAAAAACTAATATGTATGTATTCATACATACGTAAAATACATGCATACATAACTATAAGTATATATGTACATTTATTTATTTATTTATTTATTTATTTATTTATTTATTGAGATGGAGGCTCATTCTGTCGCCCAGGCTGGAGTGCAGTGGCGCAATCTTGGTTCCCTGCAACCTCCACCTCCCAGGTTCAAGCGATTCTCTTGCCTCAGCCTCCTGAGTAGCTGGGATTACAGGTGCCCGCCACCACGCCCAACTAATTGTTGTATTTTTAGTAGAGATGGGGTTTCACCATGTTGGCCAGCCTGGTTTCAAACTCCTGACCTCAGGTGATCCACCCACCTTGGCTTCCCACAGTGCTGGGATACAGGCATAAGCCACCATGTCCAGTCCACATTTTTAGAATAATGTATACAGATACACATAAACATATGTATATGTATATACATACGTATGTATAATGTTTAAAGTACTGTAACTATAATCCCTCTGCTTTATATATTGGAGTAGTTTCTGCTTCCCTGGTTGGAGCCTGGCTGACAGGTGGGAGACATCCAAGGCACACAGTGCCCACTGGCTGGAGGGAACATGAGGCCATGCTTGCACTCCTCATCCCATCCTAGGTGACCTCTCAGAAAAAGGCTTCTCCCCTTCCAGGCATCCTGAACATTTTAACCCCAGCTGCGTAGTGCTGGTGTGATATTCCACGGCACGGTGACTCACGGGGGACACACCTTCTCCAGGGTCAGCACGGGCCTTGGCAGGATGGGGCCTCCTGATGGGCACGCACAAATCAGACCCTGAGGCTTCGTGCACATCCGTATGCAACCCTACCCTCCTTGGTGAGCTTTCCAAGCTCCAACGAGACTGCTCTGCCTTGTCCAAGGCCATCCATAACTGTACATTTGCCAACCAAAAGTCACTTCCTGAGTGCCTTCTGTGTGGGGCCCTCAACAAAGAGTGTCCCCACACAGGAGAGGTCAGATGACATGTCAAATAACAGCAATGAGAGGGGGGTGGGGACGGCACGGCTGAGATGAAGAAGAGTGTGCTCTCGGCAGGGGCTGTAAGGGAGGAAAAGCAGGCAACCCAGGGTTCCCAGAGAAGAGTGAGGTGCCCAAGAGGGGCAACAGGCTCAGTAGAACGTGGCCAGCTTAGGGCAGATGGCGGCTGTCAGGCTAAAGAACTCAGAGACACTTCCTCCATATGCAGGGGTTGAAGGCTTCTGTTAGGGGAGGCTGAACTGGCCCAGGGGGGAAGTGGGGAAGGAGGGTCCCACATTGGGGTTCATTAGCAGTGGTGGTAGAGATGGAAATGAAGCAGTGGATCTCAGAGTGTGGAACAGATGAGCAGCAGGCAAAGCGGGTGATCTGTGCACAAGAAAGCCAGCAAGATGGTGGAGTCCACAGAGCCTCATTCCAGAGACCCAACAAAGCCGGAGGCGGGCACAACCCCCAGCAGGAGGAGGGACTGTGGCCCTGCGTGTGACTGTGTAAATGGGGAGGAGTGAAGTGTGAATGATCACACTTAGCACAGCAAGCTCTACCCACTGGGCTTGTGGGGCTCCATCTCAAACCCCAGCCCAGCAGTAGCCCCAGAGGCAACCTGTCCAGGGCTACTGCCTGAATCCCCTCCATCAGAGACACGCTTCTTCCCTGGCCCTAAAGGCCCTCTGGTAGCCCTCCCTTCCCTATTCCGAAGTTCCTCCCCATCCCTGCTGGGATTCTGCTCTCAACACCAGCTTCTTGTGGCACAGGCACCACCACCTCCTGCCTCCCGTTTGCCTTCTCTGAGACACCGCCTAGAAAATCTCCAGAAATGGACCTCCCCAGAACCTGTCCTGATCTATAGGAGATGAGTCAAGAATGAAGAAGGGTCCACCTCTCCAGACCCGCTCCTCAGTCCGGGCCAGGGCTTGAAATCCCACACATTTCCCTTTCAAGGCAAACAGGCTTACAGCTTTGAGCCTCCTGAACCTTTAAGTTCTCTTGGGGGTAAAGGTGGTGTCTTACTTGAAAAGGTCATCAAACAGAAAGGCGGGAAACGTGGGAAGTTTGTTAGATATGGGAACGATGAGCATCAAATTCACAAGAGTGGTTTAAAGGCCTCAACCACAGCTATTAAAATTCGTGTCTTAATTTAAAAACCTGGAACAAACATGACACAGGGTTAAGACTTAATAAACATGAGAGTACAGGTGTTTGTTCTCCACTCAAAATAGATGTGCATTTTATTATTCTCTGTTATCAGTCCATCTTAAGTATTTCACAATAAAAAACAATGAAAATAAGCTATTTGTCTTTACATCCCAGGATGAAGAGTGTTTTATTGTTTGTTTGTCTTGTTTTTGAGACGGAGTCTCACTCTGGCCCAAGCTGGAGTGCAGTGGCACAATCTTGGCTCACTGCAACCTTCCCCTCTGGGGCTCAAGCAATTCTCCTGCCTCAGCCTCCCAAGTAGCTGGGACTACAGGCGTTCTCCACCACACCCGGTTAATTTTTTTGTATTTTTAGTAGAGACAGGGTTTCACCATGTTGCCCTGGATGGTCTCAAACTCCTGAGCTCAGGTGATCCACCTGCCTTGGCCTCCCAAGTGCTAGGATTACAGGTGGGAGCCACCACACCCGGCCAGTGTTTTATGAGCAGAGATTGGGAAAGATTGGGGAGACCCCAGGGTACTGAGCATTGGAGGAGGAGGAGAGAGAAGCAAGAAGCTCAGAGTGTGGGAGGCTGGAGGTGCTAAAGCTAGACCAGGCCCCCATTTCAGTGGTGCCTAAAACTCCTCCAAGAGACCAGCCCTACCAGATATCAAAGTATCTCATAAAGCTAGAGCCCGGGCTGGGTGCGGTGGCTCATGCCTGTAATCCCAGCACTTTGGGAGGCTGAGGAGGGTGGATCACGAGTTCAGGAGATCAAGACCATCCTGGCTAACACGGTGAAACCCCGTCTCTACTAAAAAATACAAAAAAATTAGCCAGGCGTGGTTGCAGGCACCTGTAGTCCCAGCTACTTGGGAGGCTGAGGCAGGAGAATGGCATGAACTCGGGAGGCAGAGCTTGCAGTAAGCAGAGATCGCGCCACCGCACTCCAGCCTGGGCAACAGAGCGAGACTCCAACTCAAAATAAATAAATTAATTAAAAAAAAAAAAAAAGCTAGAGACAAAAAAGCTGTTGAACCAGTACAGGAATAAAAGAGCAGATCAACTGATAAAACTGCACCCACAAGCAAATTAATGTACAAATGGGAACCTCATATAGGTAAGGATTGTGTTTTGAATTGAGGGAGAGACTCATCAATAAATACATGGTATTGAGACAACCACCCAGCCATTGAAAAATTGACCTTAGATATCTGCCTTGCACTATTCTTGGAAAACACATTCCAAGGTGATTGAAATCTGAGATGCAAATTTTAAACTACATCAAAATTTCAAACTTCTAAGCGACAAAAGAAATCATGAACAAATAAAGACAAGTGAGAAGCTACTTGCAACATGCACAGTCGCCCACCCCCCCAACCCTGAGGGATCCATTCCAAGATTCCCTAGTGGATGCCTGAAACCGTGGGTGGTAAAAAGCCCTACATCTGTTTGTGATCCTGTAACAGAGATGTCTGCTCAGTGACTCTGGGCTGGGCAGTGACGCGCAGGTAGAGGATACAGCCTAGAAACGCTGGACAAAGGGATGATTCATGTCCCGGGAGAGACAGCATGAGATTTCATCATACTGCTTGGAATGCCATACAATTTAAAATGTATAAATTGTTTATTTCTGGAATTTTTCATTTGACATTTTTGGACTGTAGTTGACCGTGGGTAACTAAAACCATGGAAAGCAAAACAGTGGATAAGGGGAGCCTGCTGTGTAGCAAAGAATTAATCACCAGACTATATAAAGACTTCTCTTAAATCTAGGCACTGTTCTAAGTCCATTGCACTTACTAACATTTACTCTTCATGGCTGCTGAGGCACTCTTACCTTCTCTAATTAGCAAACATGGAGACTGAAGCACAGTGTGGTTAAGTAACTCACCCAGGAATACACAGCCAAAAAGTGGCAGCATGAGCAAAGGACAGAAATAGGGATCATTCAAAGACCCAGGAAAAATGACTGATATTAAACACAATATGTCATCTTGGATTAGACAAAGATCACAGCCAATTTTTTTTTTTTTTTGCTCTAAACAATATTACTGGGAAAATTGCTGAAAGAGCTGTAGGTTTAATCACAGCATTCTATCAATGTTCATTTCCTATACTGTATCATGTCCTTGTTCTGAGGAAATACACACTGGAGTGTCAAGGGATACAGGGGCATCATGTCTGGAACTAACTCTCAAATGATTTAGAAAGAAGTTTTACATACAATTATATGTATAAATTATATATATCATAAGATATATTTAGAGAGAGAGTGTGGGTACAAATGTAGTAAGATGTTAATCGGATATGCAAGAATTGTTTGCACTATTATTGTAATTTCTATGTATATTTGAAATTATTTCAAAATGCATAGTTATTTTAAAGGTCATCTTACCCAGGGCTTCTTAACCGAGGGTGGCGTCAGACACCCAGGGGGGATTTTGGGGGTCCACAGGCCAGGTCTTCCCCAGTGTCTGAATGCATAGGTGGTGGTGGAATGTGACCTCTGTGTGTAAAACCTGTGCCAGGTGGGGGCTGCACAATGCAACCAGGGCTCTCACCAATGCCTTCATTTCCCTGAAGGGAGACTTGAGGCTGAAGGGAAATGGCTTCCTCCCAGTCTCACAGACCCCAGTCAGAATCCTGCTAGCCTGAAGACCCAACTTCTCAAAGACAGGAGTGTGCATGACATCTTCCTTTCTCCTGGGCACATGGGCTTACTGACATGGGGAGGAGAACCAAGACCCTGATGTGGGACCCAAGGCTGGCTGGCAGCTCATTCTCTATCCAGTGATATTTTAGAAAAGACCTGTGCTAAGAGGGACAGGATGCTGCTGATGGCTGAGATTTGAGAGAGAGAGAGGGAGGCTTTTGCTCCCATCTTTTAAGGAACAAACAACTTTCCTGTTGTAGAGAATGCTTGCGTGATTAGGAGCTTGAGTTCTTGAAGCAGAGAGTCCTGAATTCAGATCTCAGCTCCGCCACTTACTCTATGACCTTGGGCAAATCGCTTCATCCCCAGGACGAAGTTTCCCCCATCTGTAATAATAATAGGTCTACCAATAGCAGAGAGGATAAGTGGATGGTACGTGGAGACAGGCTGCCTGTTTCAAACCCCAGTCTTGCCATGTACTTGCTGTGTGGCCTCAGGAAGCTTAAGTCAACCTCTCTGTGCTTCAGTTTCCTCCCTTGTAAGATGGTAATAATAACAACATCTTCAAGACTAAATGAGTTAACATGTGAGAAACAATGCAAACAGTCTCCTTTGTTACTTCCTCCTCATCTCCCCAACTTCTTAAGTCAAGGCTCAATCTTTGATCCTCTCCTGTAAACTTCCTCACCCCCTGGGCTTAAAGCAGCACCCAGCTCATTATCCTCCTCTGAACACCACCAATGTGCATCGAACTGGTGGACCAACATCTCCTCTAAGGTGACTAATACTATCTTAAACCTTTCATGCCCAAACGGGACTCTTGACCTTTGCCCCCCAGAGCTGCTCTTCCAGGGTCTTGCATAGCTCATTTCTGCAAAGTCTATCCTATTTGCTCAGGCTAAAATCTTCAGGGTCAATCACAGTGTCAGCACTTTCCAAGCATACCTAGACTCTGAAGGCATCTCATCACCTCCAGTGACCACACGGCCCCAGTCTCCATTGCCTCTCCCCTGCAGCAAGGAGACGGCTTCCTGGTCTCTGCTTCCTCTCTTGCTGACCCCCTACCATAGCCTATTCTCTACATAGCATTCAGAGGGATCCCGTTTGACTGTGTGGTATGCCCCACACCAGAGTTTTGCCCTGGCCACTCCCTCTGCCTGGATACCCTTTCCCAGGTGGCCTCACTCTCACCTCCTTCAAATCCTCACTCCCTCCCTCCCTCCCTTCCTTCCTCCCCACCCTCCCCCCCAACCCTGTCTTCTTTCTTTTTCTTTCTTTCTGTTTTTTGTTTGTTTGTTTTGAGACAGGGTCTCACTCTCTTGCCCAGGCTGGAGTGAAGGGGTGTGATCTCAGCTCACTGCAACCTCTGGGTCCTGGGCTCAGGTGATCCTCCCACCTCAGCCTCCCCAGTAGCTGGGATCACAGGCATGCACCATCATGCCCAGCTAATTTTTGTATTTATAGTAGAGACTGAGTTTCACCATGTTGCCCAGGCTGGCCTCGAACTCCTGGGCTCAAGTGATCCACCTGTCTCAGATTTCTAAAGTGCTGGGATTACAGGCGTGAGTCACCTTGCCCAAATCCTCACTCCTAAGCGAGCCTTCCCCACTCACTTCCTGCCTCCCTCATGCATTCATCACCTTCTAACATCCCATTTCCTTCTCCCTCTATTGTCTGTCTTTCCCTGTGAGAAACTGAGACAGAGATCATGGTTGTTTTGTTCTTGACTTTGCCCCCTGAGCCTACAAAAGAGCCTGAATGAATAAATGTTAGCTTTCATTCTATTATATTTTACCACCTAGCAGAAAAAGAGCAAATTTAAATAGTTACACTTTATGCTAAAAACCACCACCAAACAATGTCTAGGAGATCATTAAAACCTACAGATCATAAAACTTACATGTATGCTAGAAGTACAACTTTGTAAAAGATGTTTAAAAAATGATGCACAAAAATTATATTAGTTGCCATAAAATGATTTTTTTCCATTTTTCACTTGCCTCTGTTTTTCCAATTGTTACTTTGAGAAAATAAAATTTTATCCTATTAAAAAGTAATTGGTGGCCAGGCACAGTGGCTCACGCCTGTAATCCCAACACTTTGGGAGGCCGAGCAGGGTGGATCACCTGAGGTCAGGAGTTCAAGACAAGTCTGGCCAAAATGGTGAAACCCTGTCTTTACTAAAAATACAAAAAATTAGCCAGGCATGGTGGCAGGCACCTGTAATCACAGCTACTCGGGAGGCTGAGGCAGGAGAATCGCTTGAACCCGGGAGGCAGAGGTTGCAGTGAGTCAAGATCACACCATTGCACTCCAGCCTCGACAACAAGAGCAAAACTTTGTCTCAAAAAAAAAAAAAAAACAAAAAAAAAACGGCCAGGTGCGGTGGCTCATGACTGTAATCCCAGCACTTTGGGAGGCCATGGGAGGGGATCACAAGTCAGGCATTCGACACCAGCCTGGCCAACATAGTGAAACTCCGTCTCTACTAAAAATACAAAAAATTAGCCAGGCGTGGTAGCACACGCCTGTAATCCCAGCTATTTGGGAGGCTGAGGCAGGAGAATCACTTGAACCTGGGAGGCAGAGGTTGCAGTGAGCCGAGAGCATGCCATGGCAATCTAGCCCGGGCGATAGTGCAAGACTCATCTCAAAAAAAAAGAAAAAAAGAAAATAAAAAGATTGGTAATTCAATTTCATTAGAAATAAAGACAATGTGGCCGGGCGCGGTGGCTCACGCCTGTAATCCCAGCACTTTAGGAGCCCGAGGCAGGTGGATCACCTGGGTCAGGAGTTCAAGACCAACCTGATCAATATGGTGAAACCCCATCTTTACTAAAAATACGAAAATTAGCCAGGTGTGGTGACATGTGCCTGTAGTCCCAGCTACTCGGGAGGCTGACAGGAGAGTTGCTTGAACCTGCGGTGGGGGGAGGTTGCAGTGAGCTGAGATCGCGCCACTACACTACAGCCTTGGTGACAGAGTGAGACTCCATCTCAAAAAAAAAAAAAAAAAAAGAAAGAAAAAGAAATAAGACAATGTGAATTAAAATGACAAGATGTCCCAATACACTGGTGGCAGTATGGATAATGGAAGATCTTTGGAGAGCACTTTAACAACAGCTATTAAAATTAATTTTACTTCTCAGCATCTAACTAAAGAAACTCCATTATTTGTGCAGAAGGAGGCATGTTCAACAGTATGTGTTGAAGTATCACGTATTTCCAGGGGAAAATTTAGAAGTAACCTGAGTGCCTACCATTAAGCAAATGGTTAAATAAATCCATGCTATGGACAACTGGGCAGCCACTAAACGGAACACAGCAGATGTGCAAGCCCAGAAGAATCTCTGGGGCATGTGGGCAGGTGAAAAATGCAAGTTATTGAACAATATATCCACTGGCTATGATATATGATTTGACAATATTGTATTTCTTCAAGTCATACCTATGTCAGGAAAGGCATTAAAAAAGGCAAGGAAATGAACTCACTCATCTGATGGGAGGTAGGAGTAAGGGAGCAGAATGAGGTGGTAGCACAGAAGATTTTATTGTTAATATTTGAATTCTTATGTACCATGATAATGTATGCATAAAGGACTTGTATAATTTAAAATAATTTTAGCTCAGGAGAATTTAATTATTAATATCTGAATTCTTGTGCACTATGGGAATGTATGCATAAAGTACTTGTATAATTTAGAATACATTTTTTAAATAAGGGGAAAATATATAATAAATCCCCCATGCTGAACCACCCCGCAGTCCTCCTATAAACTCACTTCTTCTGTTAAGCCTTTCATGGGTGGTCCACCATTGAGTACTTCCTCCTGTGAGCAAAGACATCAGGAAAAATGAATTTAAGGGCAGAAGGAAATGAAGAGATGGGATTTTAGAAAAAGGGCGAGGGAACAGTGAACAGGGAAGGCAGAATGAAAGGAGAGACGTAAAGAGAAAGAGGAGAAACTTGTTAGGAAAAGCCATTGAGCCGATCTGAACACTCTCACCCTATCCTATTCATTGCCACTGCTGCACCCCTTTGTAAAGATCACTGCATTTTAGATGAAACCCAGGGTTTCCAAGTGCCGGAAAGCATCAAAATAGGGCTATAGGAAGTGATCTTCACTCTCACTGGCTCTTAATTTGACCCCTTAACAAGAATTTACTGGAAACTATGCTGTCATTAAATGTATCTTCATAGGGTTCCTACATGTTATCTTTCCAAGAGACTGGATCGGGGCAGCAGGCCATGGAGGGGGAGAAAGGAGACAGCCCTGCTCCCACTGTGGCAATCAGAGTCATGCACAGGCTTATGAATAGTTCAGGCCCAGGCCCCTCACCTTTGCCTGCATCTCTAGCAGTGGGGCCTGTACATCAGTATTTCTCACAGCTCCCTAAGTGAGTTCATGCTCGCTCAGAGTTGCATACTGCTTCCAAGCTTTCTGGTGATCCACTAGATCATCCACGAACATCACATGTGCCAAAATTTTCCCCACTTACAACATCCTAATCTCTTCCCCAAAAGATTAGTGGTCAATGAGATTTGGAGACCTAATTTTCTTTCTATAGGAAAGAAATCTATATTAACCACCCAACACCCAATCAGTCATGGCCTGTACGGAGCAGGAAACCAGAAGTAGGTGGGGTGGGGATGGGGCTCCAGAGCCCAGCTCAGCCACCACCCAGCAGTGGGGTTTGGCCATGCTCCATTTCTGTGCCTCAGTTTCCCTCCTTTAGAATAGGGCTAAAATCCCTCCTCCTCCCAAGGATAGAGTGACTGTGGGGACTTCCAATCTATTGGACAGCAGGTGCTCCTGAAACATGGGGGAGGGGTACGATGTAAAATACGGGGGAGGGGCGTGGTGTCAAGCATGGGGAGGGGCGTGGTGTCAAGCATGGGGAGGGGTGTGGTGTCAAGCATGGGGAGGGGCGTGGTGTCAAACATGGGGAGGGGCGTGGTGTCAAGCATGGGGAGAGGTATGATGTTAAACATGGCATCCAGAAAATGTTGGCAAACTTAAAACACACATTGTCTTGGTTATTCATCTAAGAGACAGGAAAACTGATCTATCTATCTATCTTATCTATCTATTATCTATGTATTATCTATCTGTCTGTCTATCCATCCATCCAGCCAGCCAGCCATCCATCCATCCATCCATCCATCCATCCTTCATTTCTTTCTAGTTGTTACTGGGAAGGACGAGAGGAACACAAGTGTACAAACATCATGAGATATTTTCTCCCTGAGTGTCAACTGTCACTTCTCAGATCCTAAAAAATGACCTCACCAGCTGAAGAGCAACATTCCTCTCCACTCCCTCAGGTCTTCTCAAGGTTTCCAAGCTTCTTAACAAATTTCCTCCCCAGAAACATCAAAATACCACACAGGCAGACAGGAACATTCCCTGAGTGTTTGCTGTTTTTTTTTTTCTTTTTGGCTTCCATTTAAACTAGTCATCAGATTAAAAAAAAAAACAAGCCAAAGTGCTTTAGCAGAAATATTTCCCATAAAGCTGTGTTAATAGAGAATTTTTTTAAAAAGTATCTTATGTAGACACAGCTAACCCTGGCCTTCCTGAGAGTGGGCCACAGCCGTCCCTCTTCCAGAGTCGGTACCCCAGGTGTGTGTGTGACTGTGGGGATCGGGGAGGCAGGGGCGCGGTAGGGGCAGGATTGAAACATCCTCCCTTTCCGGCAGCAGCAGGCAGGCCTGCAGGCCCCAGCATCCTGCCAGGTGTCTGCATTCTTCGAGGGAATTCCAGAGCATGAAGAAAGTTTAGAGAATGCATCCAAATGTCACACCACACAGGTGTTCTCCACACCACACTTCACAGCAGACGTCAGTCTGAAAGCCCCTCCACAGCCTTGCCTTGCCCGCCACACAGATGGGGGCATCCAAGCGTGAGTCAGGCCCCACTGATCCCTGGAGCTGGTGCCAGAAGCACAGAGCCCAGACTGAAAGCGCTGGGAGGGCACCTCCTTTCAAAACTATGTCCCCGCTGGCTGCTCTGGGCACAGAAATTCTACCATCAGCCACGCATACCTCTGGGGTGAAGCTTTGAGGCTTCCTTGGCTCCTCCAGGTAGAGCAAATTTCAGCTGGAGGAACCTTTGGAGGATGCCCTGCTGCAGGCCTGGATGCCACACAGCTGAAAAGGCAGGCAGCCCACAACAGGGGGTACCCAGCCAGCCCATATGCCCATCCACAGGCCCTGCTCCTGGGGAAGTCAGCTCTAGGGGCTTCCAGGGGACTGCAAAAGTTGGTTCACTTAGTTCCTGCCCTAGACAATCTAAAGAGGTTAATTTCCCTTACAATTTTCCAATCTATCCTAATCCTCCTCCTCCTTCCACTTCAGATCATGGTACTATTAGCTGTGCAATAAGCATAGTTTGTATATTAAAAAAAGGATTATGCAAATAAGTTAATGCACCACCAGACAAGACCCTCCATGCGGTCAGCTGTAGACCGCCAGGCCACCCAGCCACCACCTTGCTCCCACATTCCTCAAGGACTTTTCTCCTGTATCACAGCCACCCTTTCCCACATCCTTTTGTCCTTTCTTGGTGATTTCAAGATCCATGAAGATGGATCTGAGTTTCACGACCCGCTCTCCTCCTGGCCTCTCCCTCTCCCCCACACACTCCCATGCTCACACCCAGCCCTCTCCTGACCCATGACTGCATTCCTCCACCTCTGATTTCAAACACCCCACTCCTGGACACACGCCACACCCCCACCATCTTTCTAGCTCAGTCTCTTTGCTACCAGGATTACAATTCTTTGGGTGGCCTCCAATCCACTGACCCTACCACCTGTCAGCCTCCACAACCACCTCAGGTACCCACTCCCGTCCTGGCCTGGCTCAGCATCCAGGTGACTCACCATCATCACTCCTGTGCCTCCCTCACCCCTCTCTCCTCCACTGTATTCCCTGGAGAAACCTCCACCCTGGTTAAAGTCATCTTTGTAACTCTGCCTCTGCACCTTCGTGGCCGCAAGCCGCTGGAGAGAAACCACAGCTGTGCTGCAGGAGCCATTTTAGATGCGCGGCCCCACACCTGCCACTCCCTCCTGTCATTGTGGATGAACCGCTGGGGGCTGGGGATAGGCCAGGGCTCCAGCAACCCCTGACTTGCCCCTGGATTGAACACACAGGTCAATGCTCCTATTTTGACCTTATTTCCCCCAAATACCACCACATGTCTCTCCCCTTTACAGCTAAACTCCTCAAAACAGTTGTACTATTCTCCTAGTCTCCAGGCCATCTCCTTCTGTTCCTTGAGCTGGCCACAGGCAGGCTTCTGCCTTCACCGCTCAGTGGAAACTTCCCCGTCACGGCCCCCTGCTCAGTCAGCCATTCTCAGCCCCTCTTACCTGGCCTGGCAGTGGCCCGCAAGGCAGTCTCCCCATCCCACTCCCTCGACTCCCCTCCTGGGCTCCAGGAGCAGCCTGGTTCCCTCCTGCCTCACTGGTCTCTAGGCTCACTTCTCCTCACATTCTTTCTTCCTCATGTGGGGCCACTCCAGGGCTCAGGACTCGCACCTCCTGACGACACAGTCCTCATCATCCCTCTGACTCATCTCCGCAGCTCTCCCTCCCTCATCCTCTGCTCCAGCACCCTGGCCTCCTGGCTGGGCCCGGACTCTTCTTCCAGCCCAGCCCTGGCACAGGCTGGTCCTTCTGCCCAGATGTTCCTATCCGGATATCTCCACTACCCACCCCTCCCTCCCCTCCATGCCAGCTTCCCTGACTACGCTACTTAAAACTGCAAGCCCCTCCTGCTCCTCCTCACTCCCCGTTCCATTTTCCGCTTTACTTTTCTCCATCGCAATGATCATCCACGAGTAGAATACACAGTCCATGAGGGCAGGGCTTTTTTGCTCAATCCTAGATACGAGTCCTAGAATAGTGCCTGGCACAGAATAGAAGCTTGTTAAACACTCATGGATTGAATAACAAACAAATTATAAGCTTGCATTACTTGTGATTTTAGAACCTCAAGGACACTAAAGAAAGCATCACATCTATTTTTTTTTTTCTCCCTCAGGACTATTTTCTGTCCCCTGCTTCCCAGTGGGGACAGGGCATGGGATTACTGTGGCTTCAGCATTTCCCAGAGTGACTCCTGGTCTGAGTTCCAGCAAAGCCAAAAGTTTGTTCTGGCTTCTAAAAAGCTAGGGGTCCCACCCAAAAAGTGAGCCAGGTGGTTGGACTCAGCCTTTTCCCAAAGCAGGGTGCACCCAGGTAGCTCACCTTCTGATTGTCCCAGGAGTCCCAGGCTTGGAGATGGGATAACACGCACGAGAGGCGGATCCCCAGAACCCTGACTCCAGATAAGACAGGGGACTCTCCTGTACATGCTTGTGCAGGCAGCACTGATTCTCTGCAGCTTTTGTACTTCTTACTGTCTTTGACCTTCCAACATTCCCGAGGCAACAGCATAATTCCCATTTGCCAGATAAGAAAACACAGCCCCACAGACATTGAAGGTTCTGCCCAAGGTCACACTGGCAGCTAGAAGCCAATCTGGAAGCAGCTCTTGAACAAAAATCTGCTGAGGATTTGTGGTGTTAGGCAAAGATATGCTTGATAGGGTCCCTATCCTTAATGCATTCATACTTTATGAGGGAGAAGCCAAGACTTTCAAATCTCAGCTCACAATCTTTCAGATGAGTCCATCTCCCCTCCAAGGTCAGGGATGCCACAGACTGAGGCAGGAGGGTGCAGGACCAAACATGACGCTGGTTGGATTGCCTCATATGTCTAAGTATGTCTGACATACAGAGCCCTGGGTGAGAATCCCACGAGACTTTGGCTACTAACAATCATTCCTTTGGCTACCAACAACTACTTGTATTTGAAATCACAGAAAATATTCACAAGTTATAGTTCTTTGATGGTATGCATTATGGAGAAGCGAAACCTCCAGATCTCTCCTAGAACATAAGCTTATTGAGGACAGGGAACAGCGTTCAGCACATAGTCAGTACTCAAGAGACGTATGTTCAAAGACATGTGGGCCTGGCTGGGCCTCAAAGCCTCATTGGATAGGGAGGAGTGGAGGTGGGTTAGAGGGACGGGGTGCACAGCCAGGGCACTTCCTGCCTGGATCCCAAAGCCCACCTGCCAGATTCTGGGTGCTCTGCTGGGTGGGACCATTCATGCCTTGGCGGTCTAGTGTCAGGCAACTGGATGCTGCCCAGAATTAGGGGCTCCTGCATCACCCCCTCTGAATTTCCCAAGCTGCCCCAACCCCGGGCCCGCGCTCACCTGGGAGATGTGGGACTGGGTCCTCTCGCTCTCGCCATCACCCTCCGTCTTGTCAGCCAGCAGCCCCTGCACCTGGTACTCCAGCACGTAGCTGTCGATGAAGCGCTCCAGCTCCTCGATCTCCTGGGAGCGGCTGCTCCCTGCCTCCGAGGAGGCTGATGCTGCAGAGGAGTTTTCCATCCCTCCAGCTCAGGGGCCTGGGCCGGGACTGGTGGGAAAGAGGACAGAGAACTCCGTGAGACGCTGCTGGAGGAGACGACGATGCCCACACCTGAGAAACACCCTCTGCTCCTGGAAGCATCTTCTTATCCATCATGGCGTTCTGTTCTTCCAACAACCCTGAGAAGTCAGCGAGGGGCTGGCTTGCCCTCAGCATAAACTATGTGCTGTAATTCCCACTGTGTAGGGCAGGAGACTGAGGCCCAGGGAATGCAGGCCACTTGTCTGATTGGCCAGCACAGGCACTGTGCAGTGTCAGAGTTAGTGTCTACCTAGGCCTTAATCGCTGGGAAAGGCAGAAGATGAGCTCAGCCTACAGGCCAAGCCTCACTTCCTGACTCAGATTTAACAGAATCTACCACAAAGCAGGATGAAATAAACAACAGAACCAAGATTGAGGGTGCACAATGGGGCCCGAGACACAAACCTCTGAGGGGCTCAGGTCCTCCAAGAAAATGACTACTTAAGAGGAGACTTTTTCTTTTCAGTCACCAGACTGTCCCCTAAATTAGTTGAAGCCTATGGGCCGTAACTTATAAGCAGGATTTTGCAGCCTTGCTCTGGTGCAGCTACTGGAACACACCTATGGTGAGTCTGCAGGAACGTGACTGGATTTCACTGGCAGAACGAGAAAGGCTTGCTGCATTGTCTATGCTGATATGGCCTAGCCACAGACACTGCCTGGTCACCTTTACAGGGGCATGACTAACCCATTAGCCCTCGCACCCTCTCTCTGGGGCAGCGCGGCATAGATGACCAGCTATGGCTGGAACACTAGTTAAAGTCCACCAACAGAACTGCAATCTCTGGAGCTGATGTGCTCAACCCAGCCCTGCAGGGGCCCAGGTCTGCTGGGACCTCACCGCCACCGCCCTCTCTGCTCCCCGCTCCCTTGCTTATCCCCCGAAGCTCCCACCTGACCCACCTGGGAGTGAGGAAAGCTAGAACCTTTCTCACCTCCAGGCCAGGGACCCTCCCCTTCCTCTGATGGGCTCCAGGCTAGATGGGAAGGGGATTTAAAGCTTGCCTTGTGCCTCTTTTATTATCTGGAGACCTGTGATTTCCATGGAAGATCCTGATCTGCCAGAGAAAACAGAGTCTGCACATGCTTTTAGTATCACAACTAGTAGAACAGACTTCTACCAAACCACTACCACAAGAAAGCACAGAGAAGACATGAATCCTGCACACACAGGGCTCTGAAGCCATATAGAGCAGCGTGAATGCTGCTGCCAGTAATAAAGGCGAGGTCCTAGCAGGTTTAATGGAGCATTTGAATTTCAAAACTTTGAACCTCAGAACCTTAACCCTGAGAACTTCTTTGGAACACAGTTATTTGCCAATAATCTAGGGTTTGTTGAGTGTTTTCACTGCAGCGAGTCCAAAGCAGGGCAAGGAATGGTGTGCTGGGTTCCAGAAATGCTGCTGAGAGCATGAATGTTGACTCTCCCACACCCTCACTGCCTTCTCCGAGGGTGAGGGAATGGAGAGGAAGAACTGCCCGGGGGAAGGAGAACCGCCCTGCTGTGCACACATCTTCCTCTGCTTTCCCAGCTCATTTTTAGGCTTTTGGCCGCTGCAAGGGGCCCAGCCTCCCTCGGACCCCAGGCCTGCTGCAGGGAGCTCTGAGGTGCTGCAGGGCCTCGCTCTGGGCCCCCTGAGCTCAGCAACCTTGGAGCTGTGGGTCTGTTCACCCATCCTAGAGGGAGGAATCAGCGGACTGGAGGTTTCAGGCCAAGGCGGTGCCCTTTTCAGAATGAGGGAACCAGATGTGGAGGCAAGGGTGGCAGCAGGTCCTCAGGGAGTCAGCTGGGATTGGGCTATGCACATCTGGTGGCAAGGGCCACAGGCAGGGGCATGGGAGGTACTGTCCATTGCCTCTTCCTGCACCTGCCACTCAAAGCCTACAGGACCTTATACCTCCCCACACCACCAGCACCCACCTTACTCCTCCTGCTCCACAGCTGCCCACACCTAAGTCATCCCCTGCTTCAGCCCCTGGCTACTCTGCTCCTCATCCTGGGCACATGCTAGGTGTGGCAGACAGAATTCTAAGACAGTCATGGGTATACACCCTCTCCCAGTTACTCTCCAGGAGTCTAGATACCCTTGGGAAGGGATTTTGCAGACAAAATTAAATCCCAAATTAGTCGACTTTAAGATAGAGAGACTATTCAGGAGGGCCTGACCCAAGCACTTGAGCCCATTAAATCTGGGACTAGAGCTCAGCACAGCAGAAGAAGCCAGAGATCCAAAGCATGAGAAAGACTCAATGCACTGTTGCTGGCTTGAAGGAAAAGAGACACATGGTAAGGCATGTGGGCAGCCTCTAGTAGTTGAGAGCAATCCCTGGTCAACAACTGGCAAGGAAGTGGGCACCTCATCCTACATCTGCAATGAAGTAAATTCATCTGAGAACCAATGAGCCTGGAAGCAGACTTTTCCCCCAGAGCCTCCAGCTAAGAATTCAACTTGGCTAACAACTTGACTTCAGTCTCATGAGACGCTGTGCCAGACTTCTGACTTACAGAACTGTGAGATAATGAATGCTATTGTTTTATGCTGCTGTTTGTAGTAAACTTTTAGGAAGCAATAGAAAATGAACACAGGACGCTCTTTCCTGCCTCTGTGCTTTTGCTCACACTGAACCTGTCACCTGGAAGCATTTTCTCCTTCCCTCCACCTGCCAAATCTAGAGGTCCTTATATGCACAGAAGGCCAGAGCATTGCCTTGGTTTCATGGCAGGCTACTAAGCAAAAGATTCACCCAGGGTTGGCTATGGGTATGAATGCTGCAATTTCTGCTAATAGTAGGAATGACGAGTGTCTGCTGTGCCTTTGTCATGTCCCAGACACGTCAGCACTTGATCTGCCTCCACTCACTTCACCTTCGCAGCAACCCTATGGAATCGGCATAATTATGCTACTTAGAAGAGAAAACGGAGGTTCAGAGAGATTAAGTAACTTGCCCAAGTTCACACAGGAGAGTTCCAGGTCTGCACGACTATGCCTATACCCCAACTGCCTTCTCTCCATCCCCACTCCTGGTGGCCTGCTCAGTCCCTCAGGCCACCTCCAAGTTCCCCAATTCCATACTGACTCGCCAGTGAGCAGTGAATTCTTCAAGTGCTGAGCATGTGCTTATTCCCCAGCTGGGCACAGGTTCCGGAGAGCTGGCCCCAAGCAGGCTCCGTGCCTGGCCCCGGGAAGCTGGCCTCCGCTGGATGGGAATAAAACCGCCGATGTCCAGAGAGGGCTGAAAAGGAGCCACCTGCAGGAGAAGTCAATACACAAGGCCACGCCCATTATTCCTGGAAGACGTCAGATCTTATCAAGGGCTCCCTGGCACACCTAACAGGTGCAGTCGGAGAACCGGGTTTTGCAGGAACTCTACACGGAGCCGTTTCCAGGAGGATTGAGTGCCAGGCTCTGCCTGCAGCAGCAGCCTCTGGCCGGCTCTGCGGGGCTCTCCCAAACATGCCCGAGTGTCTCAGGGCTGTGTCAGGGTCCCATGAGGGAGCCTGGGCATGGTCATCACCCCAAACCCATAATAGTTGCCGAGAAAGGGGACAGAATTGAGACCCATCCCAAACCTGCAGCCTTTTGGTGCCCCGAGGAAGGAAGAGGACTCGCTCTGCGGGTGCCTCTTGTGTCCTCACGTCCTCTCGGCCATTCCTTCTACTCTAGTGTTTGCTGCCCAGCCAGATTCACATGGGGTAGCCCAGCGGCGCCTCACCTCAGCTGCCCCGGGGTCTCCTGTCCAGGCTTCCTCTGCAGTCAGGAGATGCCTGCAGGAAGCCCCCGGCCCCTGGCACCTGCAACCCGGAGTATGAGGAGCTAGCGCCCCATGCGGCTGCCCTCAATGGGACAAATACTCCCCTTTTCAGTGTCTCAGACAATTCCAGGCATGCTCCACGTGGTCCCTCAGCAACTCCGAGTGGGGTGAGCCCCGTGGCCCACAGTGGCCGCCAGATCCCTAGCCCCCCTCACTTGTCGGTCCTCCCCTCCTTTTCACTCTCTCCCAGGGATTTCAGCTCCTCCAGGAACTCTCGTTTTCCAGGGGGAACAGGAGAATACATCACTTCCCTGTTCCGCAGCGGGGCCCAGAGAGGGAGTGGGGAGGCCCCAGCTTCAGAAAAGCGGGGAACATGCAAAGCAGAAAAGCCCCAAGCTTCATCTCAGTCACAAGAGAAGAAGGAGCAGAGAGAGGGAGAGAGCATGGCCCTCCTCTGCCCGTCCACCTCCACAGCTCTCAGCCTGGAAGTACAGCCCGGCACTTAGGCCCCCAATTTTTTATTATGGTCAAATATACACAACATAAAACAGCATTCAGCTGGGTGCAGTGGCTCATGCCTGTAATCCCAGCCCTTTGGGAGGCTGAGGCAGGAGGATCACTTGAAGCCAGGAATTTGATACCAGCCTAGGCAACATAGCAAGACCTCGTCTTTCCAAAAATTTTTTTAAAAATTAGCTGAGCATGGTCGCACATGCTCAGCTACTCAGGAGGCTGAGGCAGGAGGATTGCTTGAGCCCAGGAGTTTGAGGTTACAGTGAGCTATGATCGTGTTGCTGCACTCCAGTCTGGGTGACAGAGTGAGTTTCTGTCTGAAAGCAAAAACAAAACAAAACAAAACAACAACAACAAAAAAAACAACCAACCAACCAAACCAAACAAAACAAACAAATCAAAACCTTATAATCTTAACCATTTTTGAACACATAATTCAGTGGCTTTAAGTACATTCATAGTGTTTTGAGCCATCATCACTATCTATTTCCAGAACTTTTTTATCAACCCAAACAGAAACTCTGTGCCCACTAAACAATGAACTCTTCCTCACCCTTCTCTCTATGAATTTGCCTATTCCAGGTACCTCCTATAAGAGGAATCATGCAATATTTGTCCTTTTACAACCGATTTATTTCACTTAGCATAATGCTTTCAAGGTTTATCTACATTGTAACATGTATCAGAATTTCATGCCCCTTTATGGCTGAATAAGACATCGTATCACAATAGTACACTGCATATCTAGACCATATTTTATTTATCCATTCATCCACTGATGGGCATTTGGGTTGTTTGCACCTTTTGCTGTTGTGAATAATGCTGCTTTGAATATGAGTGTACAACGATCCCTCTGAGTCCCTGTTTATTCTTTGGGGTATCCACCTAGAAAAGTTCCAACACATTTTTAAGGCAAGACGAGTGTGGAGGAAAAGGGTAGAGCTTTCTCTGGCTGGTGGAGACACAGGGCAAGGGATGGTCTCCTCCAGGCTTGTTTTGCTGCCTTCCTGCCTGAGCTTTGGGGGTTTCAGCCTGGCTCAGTGTCTCATTCCCAGTAGGATCCTGATGGGAAGTCCCCAAACAGCTGGGCTGCTGGCTAAGCTGAGAGAGCCAGCCAGGAATTTATGTTTTAATGATCAGTGAAAGTCAAGAAAGGATGGAACCAGAGGCAGAAGGAAAAGGAAAAGAGGGAAGGTAGAAGAACACAAAAGACACGCCTCTCCCCTCCTCTCCCGGCTCTGCTCCGATTCCCTGCCAGGTGATGGATGAGGAGGAACTAAAAGGCAAGCAGCAGGAGTAGGAAAAATGCTGAGGTTGCACTTTGCTGTAAAGGGCACCACAGGGGCGGGCAGCCCTGAGTCTACAGCTGGAGGGGAGGGCCGGTGTGGGCACGGCTTTCTGGAGGACACAGAGGGCCCGGGCTGCAGCAGGACCTGCCCCAGAGCTCCTTCGCCTGTGCTTCCCAGAGAGGACCCAGGGCCGCCAAGCTTGGCCACATCTGTGTCTGTCTGGGGAAAGGGATGCATGCAGGCTCTCTTCCTGGGTCTGCATCTCTGTTAAACAACCTCATCCAGACTCGGCCGCCAGCCCAGGGACTCCCCACCTCCTGCTGCAGCCAATCACAGTCCGTGCTTGTCACAACGGCCCAGTTAGCCTGGCTATTTTTAAGGACAAAAATGAAAATCACCCATGTTCTTTGACAAAAAGGTGCCTCTCTCCACACTAGCGTCCCCTCCCCACCCTAGACGCAAACAAACTCCCCTTCGCCTTCCTCCCCTTCCTCCCCATCCCTTGCTGCTCTCAGCCCAGCACTCTGTAGCTTCCTTAGGAAACTAGTGTTCTGGAAGGGGTTTCTGTGAACACCGTGGGGCAGCCTGAGATGGTCGGTTGCCAGTCTCTCCCTCTAACCCCTGGCCAAGTCTGACTTTGAGTCTGACCTTCAGAGGCAGGAGGTCTGGAGGAAAAGGTAAGGCTGACATTGGAGAGCACCCACAGGCTAGAGACAATCAGTGGAGCCATCCCAGCCTTCTCAGTATCCTTTCCTGCCCACCCAGTGACAAACGGCATGAGGAGCTATCAATTTAGCCAATCCTTTTAAGAACTGCGAGGCATTAGGGGCATTACCTCCTCCTCCAATCCTCAGGGATGAGTTCAGTGACCTGCAAACCAGATGAAATGCATCTGCTCCAGGGCCTACCAGCACTTCTCAGGGAATCCATCATTCGAGGCCCGCACAGAGGCAGCACTGCACCCCACACTTCTTCAGGCTCTTTCCTCTCCACCCCCAGCACCCAACTCACTCCAGCAGCACACCCTTCTGACACCCCACTGAGGAAACCCAGGAAGACCCCAATTTCTGCTTCCTGGCTCATCTTTTGGCTTGTGGCTGCAGCAAGGGGTCCAGCCTCCTGTGGAACCCAGGCCCGCTGCAGGGGGCCCAGGTGGGGCTGCAGGGGGCTTGCTTGGTGACCGTAAGATCAGCAGCCTTGGGGCTCACAGGTCTGTCCACTCGTCCCAGCAGAACAGCAAGTCTGCAGTGGAGGTGGCATCGGAGCTGTGGTGGGCAATGGGGCCCAGAGTGTTGTCCCTGCTCTCCTGCTGCTAAATCCACTCATCACAGCCACTGGCGTCTTCACCCCACCTTCCTGTGGCCGCTTCCCATGTCACCTGGTGCTGCAAAGCACTGTGCTCCCAGGTTGCTCTCCAGCAAGCAGCTCCTGGTGACTATTATAGGCAGAGCTGGCTGCTGGCTTTCGGGCCCTGGTCCCCTCCATCCCCTCTCTCCTTCCCATCCCCACAGAGTGGGAGCAACACCTTCACCCAGAATGCACAATTGGGGCTAGAATTCTCCCTTGCAGGCTGTCAGGTGGCCCCCAGGGCAGGGCCAGTCCAGAGGCCATGCTGCCTGCTGGAGTGGGGAGGAGAGAGGCCAGGGTGCCCAGGCTCTCCCCGAGGAAGCCATGGGAGCCTGCTCACTGCCAACCGCGTCCCTCCAGCCCCAGTCCAGCCCACACTCCCCTTCAAGACTCCAGCGAGAATGTACTTCCCCGACAGTCTGCGGCCCTCAAGCTCTGGCCTGATAATTCAACCATGTTGGTGTTTGCCAAAGAAAAGCAGGAGGAAGCAGAGGCCTCCATGTGCAGGAGCCCCAGGTCCCCAACCCCTGGGAAATGGGAAAGTTCAGAAATGCATGAAGTCGAAGGCATGTGACCTTGGAAATTGGCAACATTTTCTGTCACAGGAGTCAAGGACATCTGACGTCCTCTAAACGTCTGATCCCCTGTCACCCCACCAAATTAACCCTTTTGTCACTCAAACATCCAACAGGGTGTTAGCTAGCATGGTGGTGTTCAAACTGCAGGTCTCAGCAATTTCATGAGCTGCAAAACAAATTTCCTGGGTCACGATCTCAGCATTAAAAAATGTATAACTAAATTGAAAATATCAGCATGTAGCACACATTGTAACTATCAATTTGTGGGACTTTTGTTTCACCTACCCATGAAAAACATATTGGCCGGGAGCACTGCTTCCGAAACTTTAATGAGTACGACAATCACAGGGCATCTTGTTACAATGCAGATTCTGGTTCAAGGATGGGAGTTGGGGCCTGAGACTCAGCATTCCTAACACGCTCCCAGGTGAGGCTGCTGCTGCCAGTCAGAGAACTACACTTGAAATAGACAAGATCTAGAAAATCTTGCACGTCTTCTTTATCCATTATTCAGATACTCTTGCTCTGGCCAGAGGGCTAGAAATGGGTGGAGTCCCCAGGCCAAACTTCTGGCCAGCTGGTCAGCTATCTGGTGAAGGGGCGGCTCCTCTTATGGCCCACGCAGGGCCCAGGGCGGAGCTCAGAACCAGGCATGACCTCCACAGGTTATTATGATCAGTGGACACTGGGGCCACCACCTCCACACTGGACTCTCAGGGCCAGGCGCATGACATGACAGCACCTGCTTACAGTCCTGCAACACCCAGCATGGAGCTCAGGCACATCTGCCAGGTCTGAACAAGTTGGAGGTAGTTCCTGATATCTATGCTGCCTGCCCTCAACAGCTCTTCAGCTGCTGCCACGCAGGTGAGGACACTGGGACCTTGGGGGCTGAAGGGGGAATGACGTACTGGGAGCCACTCAGGTATCTATGGGTAGAGCCAGGCTGCAATGCAGGATCCAAGCCTTTACATCCCTCAACAGCCTGCCTTCTCCAGGGACCCCTGCTGAGAGTCACCTTCCTTCCCTTAGTGACTCCTAAGCTCTGTGGACCCCAAGCGCAGTTCTGGGTTACAATCATCAACATCAGGCAGTTAGTGACATGACAGATACTCCTAAATAACAGATGACACCAAAATCATCCCATTGTCCTCATACCCTCCTGAGCCCCCACCCTGTGCAAAGCCCTGGACCAAGCCCTGTGGTCTCATCAGAACTTCATGGAAACAGAGCTGGGGCTTGGCACTTACTCCTCTGTCCCCAAGAGTAGCCTCCATGAGTCACTGAGGAGCTGGACCAGTTTTCATGAGGTGGGCAGGGCATGGCTGGCCGGAAGGCAAGGGAGATGCCATGGATTCTTTCCTGCTCAGCAGGCCTGCAGTGCTGGCACCCAGAATGGGGGCTGAGATCGGAGGCCCTGGAGAGGGAGGAAGGGAGAGCAGCCCGCAGGAGTGTGGAAGGTACAGGCCTCAGTCCCCGGGGGGTGCCTCATTAGATTCCTGGCTCCTGATGAGCACTTCCTCTCGGAGGAAGAACACTGAAACAGCAACCCACCCGGGCAGGTAGGCCTAGCCCAATAGGCGGGAGGGCATCCAGGTGGGCATCCAGGTGGGCATCCAGGTGGGCATCCAGGTGGGCATCCAGGTGGGCTCTGTGACGTGCAGGTCCTGCTTTATCCCTGGGTGCCCCTGTTTCCAGGTCTGCCCCCAAAGCCCATAGAAGCCTCCACTGGGCTCCAGCACTGACCACCCACCTGCTCCCTTGGCACCAAACCCAGGCTGCCTGGTGACACCTTCTCCTCCGCCTCTGGGCTGCTACCCAACTCTTGCCCTGCTCTTGAATTTTTTTTATAGGTTTTTGCCTGGTATTGATAAGACTGCGTAATCCTTGAGGGCCCTGCTCCATCCTACACCTGCTTCCATTGCAGGCCCAGAATGGGTAGACGGGCCTGTGGCTCCCCCAGCCCGCCCACGCCCTCTCCAGCACCGTCCTTCCCTCAGAGTGGGCCTCCTCAGCTCTTCCGCCCACTGCCAATGGGCCCGGGCTTTCCTCCAGCCCCACTCCCAGCTCCTAGAATGTTAAAGCCAATGGATGCTGGGAGTTGACTTGCTCCAGCCCCCCACACCCTCAAGGTCACCCAGTCCCAGAACCAGGACTCCAAACCTCTTCCCATGACATTCAAGAGCCTCCTCGAGACAACTCTTCCCAACTAAGACATACTGAGCATCTGCTGTATACACCCTAGAGGCACCAGGGACAGGGAAGTCATAGCTGAAACAAACCAAAACTGTGCAGGGCCACCAGACAGCTGGACAGCCATATCCCTGGCTGGAGTCAGGTGGCTTCCTCACTGCCCCCACTCGTAAAATAGGGTGACATCATGCTTATGGGTCCCGAGTCTGGGTTCCAGTGCTGGCTAAATCACCTTTTCTCTGCGTGCTGTTGGGCGGACTCTGGGCCTGCTTCCTCATGTTTAAAGTAGGCTGATGGTGAAAGTGCCACCTCATGAGGTGCTGTGAGAATCATGTGAAAGAATGAATGAGAAAAGTGCTCAACACCGCTAGGCATACATCAAGCACTCAATTATCAGTTGCAATTGTCACTCGACTTCACAACTGCTATACCTCACTCTGTCTTCTGCATTCTCTCCTACCTCTGCCTCTCCAAATCTCCCCTTTTCCCTCAAGGCCCACCTCTGGGCACACCTCCTCCCTGAAGCCCTCCTTGACTACTCTGGATATCAATGACGACTGCTATCTCTGAACCCCAGATCTCTGCAGATCTCACCACTCCCTAATGCCTCCCAACTCTGAACACCCTGAGTCCTCCTTGGGCCTCAGTCTGGCTCTCTCCTGTATTCCAATCCCTGGGTTGACCTGTTTTGCCAACCTGCAGGAACTCACAGAGATCCATTCTCTCTTCTGTGGACTCTGAAGGTAGATGGGTGAGCCCCACCACCAGCTGTCAAAAGCTTCTGGGTTTATTGGCCAAGAATGAAAATTAACTTGGAGCATGCTAGGAAGGGAAACCAATAGTGCCCTGCTCTGAACCCAGCAATGTGTCCACAAGCACCTGGGGTAAGGCTAGAAAGGGCATCCAAGTGTGGTGGCAGCAGCGCTCCAGGCCTTCCTTCTCAGGCAACGTTCTCTCTGGCATCTGTCTTGGGGTTTCCAGGGTCCCCAGTCAGCTTTCTCCCTCTTGGCAACAGCTCCCTGAACTACAGACCAGCTGGAGCAGAGAGAGTACCGAGCTGTTTCCAGAGCCTGGTGGGAGTGTCCACAGCCCAGAACAGGCTGTGCACAGGCTAGATCTCAGCAGGCTGTGGCCTTGCAGGCCTGTCCAGGTGGTCTTGTGCTATGGTTGCAAGGCAGAACTGGCTCACGTTCGAGAACAGCAACCCTTTCTCTCTACTCATCCTCAAGAACAGCTCAAGCCCACCTCTTAGATGCCACCCTGACCGGCCCAGGTCACAGAGACCCCTCAGAATGCTCATAGCAGCCACTCACTGGGCCCTTGGGCTTCTGCCTGCCCCCACCCCCCCACCACTTTCGATGACCGCCTTGTCCTGCAAGGAGCACAGTCACAAAGCAGAGATTGCTACCGCCTGTGCTGGGGCCACGTCTGGACCATGGTGTGTTCTGGTTAGCCAGTTAGATATTTTAAAAATATTTGAGCTAACGTTTATAAATCAAAATATTTCACATAAAAAGCCACAATTTCTGACTTTTCTTGAAAAAACTGGATGATCGAGCAACACTGGCCCACCTTCTTGCGCTGTAACCATCAGCTAGAGCTAAGAAGTGCTGTCCCCTTCAGACCAGGCAATCAACCCCAGTTCTCTGCAGACCCATACACTCTCTAATGCCTCCCCGCTGCTCACAGCCTCACTCTCACCTGGCTCCCTCACTCACACATGTTACCTGCCTGGCCCCTGTAAGGCATCCGAGTTCGAAAGTCCCCTGCGAAAGAGCAACTAACTGGAAGTGGTCTATGCCTACAAAAATGAGGGCTCCCCCTCAGAACTTGGAAATAAATCAGGACGAAGGATTGCCCTTGGGAGTTACACTGTGAAATAATACATGATAGTCCAGGTCCAAAACAGAAATATGCAAGGTCATTGCAAGCAGAAAGAAAAAAAGGCTCCAGACCAGCAGTACTCAACCATAACCTGGCTGAAGATAGCCACAGCTATTATAGAAGATGGTGTCACTCAGCAGAAACTCGGCTGTGCATACCCAAGCTCCTCCTAGGGACAGGGTGCTCCTGCTCAGTGTCTCAAGGGAGGAAAGGACAGCCCAGGGATGTCCCACTGCTCCTGTAATGCCCCCACCACCCTCCAGCTCAGCCTTAATGTGAGCTGAGTGGCTGCCTCCTTCCCCAGCTAAACTATGAGCTCCTGGAGGCTGAGGACCTGTCTGCTCCTTTCCTTGGACCCTGGGAGCCTGAGCTGACCTCACCATAGACATTCAGTTCCTCTTTTTGACAGTTTCATGATGGATTCCCAGAAAGTAGAAAATGGTCAGCAGCAGGTAACAAATGCTCTGCCCACCTTGGTATTAGCAGACGGCTGCTGATGGGCACAGATGGGTGGCACATTACAAGTGGACCCAGCAGACACAGCTTGGGTGTCAGAGGGCAGGCCCCTCTTCTGCCAGGGAGCCCTCATGTATCCCACACAATGCCTGAAGCATGCTGGACAGCAACCACAGGAATCTCAGACTTGATCCGGTGCCCAGCGCTCTTACAGCTCTCCCTGAATTCTCTACGAACCACAGGGAGGCAAAGAAATCGGCAGCAAAAGCCCAGGGCCCCTGATTCCTGGAGTGGCCTCCAGGCCCAGAGACAACACAGCACAGCTGCCTCTGCCTTTGCTTGGAGGACCCGAGGGAGGGAAACTCCTGCTCAAAGGCAGCTGCCCTTTGACCTTTCCTAAAGCAGGAAAGCAAATCATCAATATTGTATTCCCCACAGATTGTTGGTTTCCAAACTATTTTCCTCTAATATCATACTTGTTTTTCAAATGAAATTATAAACGACTCCCCCCAAATATATAAAAGATAATAAATACCTGTGTTTATTGAGAATTTAGTATGTGCCGGCCCCTGTGCTAAATGCTTGTCATATATTAATTTAATCCTCAAGATCATCCTATAATGTAGGCATTATTTTTGTCCCCCTTGTACAAATTAGGAAACTGAGGACACGAAGGGTTGCTCAAGGTCACCTGGCTAGGAAGAGGCTGGCTCAGAACTGAAACCTGGACAGAATGGCTCCAAGACATGGATACTCTGACCAAAGAGAGTGAGGGTCCCAGAGCTCCACTCCCTCAATGTGCCAGCCCTTGCCCAACATCCCCCATAAGCTGCTAGACCCTGTCGTCCCTCCTGGAGTGGGCATTGGAAACTGCTCCAGATCAAGCCTTTGGGTCCTGTCCAGGGTGCCAGAAGTTATGTACTCTCCAGGGAGTCCGAAGTCATTTAGGGAGGTCTGGAGGGTGGCACTGGGCCTCATGCCCCTGGAGTCTGCACAGCTCAGCATTGTCCTTCCTGCCAGTCAGCTCTTAATAACCCTGCGGCTGCAGTTAGGCAGAGCATGCATCACCACCCCCTGTTACCCTCCCATATGGGGACCCTGGAACAGTATGCCAGTGGCCCAGTGACAGGGCAGGATGATGACCCAGGCATCTGACTCCAATCCTGAGCATTTGCCCTGGACTAGCAATATCTCAGATTCCCACTCCTTGTGGCATGAACCAATGAGTCACTGAACGTTGCCCCCAGGTTGAGCTGAGATAGGGTAGGAGCTCTGAGGAAGGGGGAAAGGGACGGATGAGACAGGTGCAGTCCTTTTGAGCTGCAAAGGCTTCTTCTGGTTAGAGGGTATGAGAAAGCCAAGCTCTGCAGGCCACACATATTTGCAAGCCATATCCACTACCTTGTAGAACATAAAGCCCGATTACAGAGGCCTCCCACAACAGATTGCCAAGCCAGAGACAAGACCTCTTGGCCAAGGCCACATAGAAGGTTCAGGTATGGTTTCCTAGGGTTGGTTTCCCCAGTTACTTCTCTCTGGAACATGATCAAGTAATTGGGAAAACAGGCAGCCAGAAAAATCTAAGTTCCAGTTAATTCCATCAGGAACCCACTCTAGTGTGCGTGCTTGAGAACAGGGACCTTTTCGTTTTTCCCATCATTGTATTTCCAGGACCTGGTATGAAGTGGGCAATCAACAGAAGCCGGAAGGGAGGACTGTGGGCTCCCTCCGAGAGGCCCATGGTGGGCCTCTGTGACCTAAGAGCTCCTCCCACAGGCTAGTCTGGGACAGCTGCAGTGAGGAAGGACTCCCAGGTGCAGCCAGATGCCTTGCAGCAGAGAGCCCACAGGGGGCAGCTCCTGATGGCTGTTCTAATTAGTCCATCAGAGTCTTTGGTCTCTACTTCCCATTATTTCTGTGGTTAATTTCACCCACTAGAGCATGGTAGCAGCAGATAACCTCTTCACACACACAGCAGGAGAAGTCTGTAGCCAGATACAACCGCAGGGAGCAGGCTGAGTGGTTAACTGGCAGATAATTAACTGAGAAATCCCCCACAGCCATCTGCAAACTACACTGAGACATGGAGAAGGAGGGGATATAAGGCCAGAAAGGAGCCTCCCATAGCCTCAACTGTCACTGGATTTCACCCAGAATCCTAGAAGCTTAGAAGTAAAAAGACCTTACAAAGTATCGAGTCAAGTGTTGGAGAGGATGTGGAGCAACTGGAGTCCTCAAACACTGCTCATGGGAATGTCAGATGGTGCAGCTGCTGTGGAAAACCATATGGAATGGTTTGCAATTTCTTGAACCATTAAACATAAACCTTATGACCCAACAATTCCACTCCAGGTATATACCTGAGAAAAATGAAAACACATGTCTACATAAAAACTTGCACACAAATGTTTTTAGTACCATTATTAATAATAGCCAAAAGGTAAAATCTACACAAACATCCATCAACTGATGACTGGATAACAAAATATGAACTATGCATGCAATGGAATATTACTCAGCCATTAGAAGGAATAAAGTACTGATCCACGCTACCACATGGATGAACCTTGAAAATACAAAGCTAAATGAAAGAAGCCAGTCACAGAAGATCACATAAGATTTCATTAATATGAAATGTCCAGAATAGACACATCTAGAGAGACAAAAAGTAGAATGGTGTTTGCTTACAACTGAGGCAGGAAGGAGGCAGGGAGACAAGGGGGTGATAGCTAAAGGGTTTCTTTTAGAGGTGATGAAGGTGGTAAAGGTCACACATATCTATAATTAGACTGAAAACCATTTAATTGTATATTTTAAATGTGTAAATTATAAAATATATAAATCGAATCTGAATAAAGCTGTTAAAAAAGTAATGTACATGGATTGGCCCCATGATTATTGACTTGGGTTGGAATCTCTGGCTTAGTAGCTTGGAGGCCTCTCCAAAAAAACCATAGTTGTTAGAATCATCTAGGACCAAATGAATAAAAGAACATCAATGACAAGCCTTAAAACGCCGGGCGCAGGGGCTCACGCCTGTAATCCCAGCACTTTGGGAGGCCGAGGTGGGCAGATCACAAGGTCAGGAGATCGAGACCATCCTGGCTAACACTGTGAAACCCCGTCTCTACTAAAAATATACAAAAAATTAGGCAGGCATGGTGGCAGGCGCCTGTAGTCCCAGCTAATCGGGAGGCTGAGGCAGGAGAATGGCCTGAATCCAGAAGGCAGAGCTTGCAGTGAGCCAAGATCACACCACTGCACTCCAGCCCTGGGGAACAGAGCGAGACCCGTCTCAAAAAAAAAAAAAAAAAAAAAAAAAACCCTTAAAAAAAAAATCACGGAGTCAGCGGGGTGTGGTGGTTCACACCTGTAATCCCAACACTTTGGGAGGCCGAGGTGGGCAGATTGCCTGAGCTCAGGAGTTCAGCTCATGGGCAACATGGTGAAACCCCATCTCTACTAAAATACAAAAATTAGCCAGGCATGGCGGCATGTGCCTGTAGTCCCAGCTACTCGAGAGGCTGAGGCAGGAGAATTGCTTGAATCTGGGAGGCGGAGGTTGCAGTGAGCCAAGATTGCGCCTCTGCTCTCCAGCCTGGGCAACAGTGAGACTCCATCTCAAAAAAAAAAAAAAAAAAATTTCACTGAGTCTAGGCTCCCACTGAATCTGGAGAACTTGTTTGAAGCTTCCTGGAAGGGTATCTGTTGCCTCACCAAAGATGAGGATGCATCTCATGGTGCAGCTCCAGCCAGCCAGCAAGCCAGCCACCCATCTATATCTATTCATCCATCCATCCACCCAGCAATCCACCCACCTACCCACCATTCATCCATTCATCCATCCATCCATCCATCCATCCTTCCATCCATCCACCCACCCACCCATTCATCCATCTATCCACCCAGCCAGCCATCCACCCCCCCATTTATCCATCCATCCATCCACACATTCATCCATCTATCCATCCATCCATCCATCCATCCATCCACCCACCCACCCACCCACCCACCCATCTAGCCATCCATTCACTCACCTATCCATCCATTCATCCACCCATCTAGCCATCCATCCATCAATCCACTCATTCACATATCCATCCATCCATCCATCCATCCATCTACCCACCTATCTAGCCGTCCATCCCAATCCACCCATTCATGTATCCATCCAACCATCCATCTACCCATCCATCCACCCACCCATCGGTCCACCCACCTGCCCTGCATCCATCCATCCATTCATCCATCCATCAATCTACCCACCCACCCATTCATCCATCTGTCCATCCACCCACCTATCCACCCACCCATCTATCCATCCAACCATCCATCCATCCATCCATCCATCCACTATCTAGCCATCCATTCATCCATCCATTCACCCACCCACCCATCTAGCCATCCATCCATCCATCCATCCACCCATTCTTATCCATCCATACATCCATCTATCCATCCATCCACCCATCTATTCATCTACCCATTCATTCATCCACCCATCCATTCATCTACCCATTCATCCATCCATCCATCCACTCATCTAACTGTCCATTCACCCACCCACCTGTCTAGCCATCCACCCATCCATCCACCCATTCTTATCCATCCATCCATCCATCCATCCATCCATCCATCCATTCATCCATCCATCCATCCATTCATCCACCCATTCATCCATTCGTTCACCCACCCATCCATCCACCCATATGTCCATTTAAAAAACACTAACTCAAGCTTGGTATTGAATGTTACGGACACAAAACGAAGGGCAGAGAAGCGATCACACAGTTATGACATCAAGGGTCAAGTGCTACAGGGGCCCAGAGAAGCAGCACCAACATAGGAGAGAAACACCAAAAACGTTATTTTTGATCTGCTTGCTCCACTTGACAGAAAAATGAAAACACAACTATTAGACATTAGAACTAGAAGAGATCTTAGAAAGCAAAGTCATCAACTGTAAGGCTCACCATTATTTTATGAACCACAGAGAAAATATGCTGTCAATTAAGCTATGCCATAATGCCTTCATGATAGTCTTACATGTAGACAAATTGCTCACGCAGGCCTCACCTGGCTCTGAGACTGTTTCATCTCTTCTGAGTCAACTTCTGGCAATTTCTTCCACCTTTCGTGGCATTGTTTAGCATGCATGAGACTGACAATTCTTACTGTTTTATGAGATTGCAGTCTTTCCTCCAACAATATTTGCTTCTCTAATATTAAATTGGTGCCCCACTGCTCTGTCTTCTGGCCCTTCTGCTAATAAATCATGATGAGACCCTTTTGTAGACACCTTTAACGACATTCATACTCAATACATGGCTAATCAACAACAAACCTCTTTTAATGGAGGATGTGACACTATGAACAGTAGGCCCATGTTCACACAGGCTCAGGCCATGACGACTATGTCCTGCCTGTCATCTGGCAACAGCAAGGGTGCTATGCCAGCGATAGTAAGATGCAGCCTGATTTAAGAAACATTAAGATGTGAAATGAACATGCCTCCTAGCATCAGTGAAACGAGCAAGCCAATTCTTCATATTATAGGTGAGGAAACATACCCACAGAGCTATGATATGACACACCCCAAATCCCAGAGCCTGGACTAAAATTCTTGCTTCCTGAGATTTGTGCCAATGTCTTTTATTTCTCATCCCTCAGGCTGCCTCCAGGAAACTGCCATCCCTAAGCTTGTCTTCCATTTTCTTGCTTCAAAACAAAAGTGTTTTAGAGCATACAAGACAGTGAGTTGAACATATCAGTATATGCAGTCTTGGTCCAAGAAGCCAGTGAGGGTGGGTGATGGGGGCCCTTGTCTCAATGCCATCTCAGAACCCTGCTTCAATGTGTCAGTAAGCAAAGAAAGACCATTAGTTTATAGCTGTCCTGAGACTGCATTTCCACTCCCCACAGGCTGGTCCCCAGGCTGTCATTCAATAATATTGTGCCATGTTTACAGATGAGGCTGGCCAGATGTTTTCTCAGACTCATATAACTCTCCCTACAGGAAGGACCCTCGGGGGGACAGCTTTCCCATCAGATCGCCTATGAGAAAGTCTGGCAACGCCCTTGCCAAACCCAGTGTTAAAAATCATTATTCCTGTTGTGCACGCACAGAATATATAGAGATCAGAAGGCTGCTAAATTGATTCTCAGTGTCTAAACATGCGGTCAGTACATCTACCTCACAGAGCAGTAGATCAAGGTGGGGGAAAACACATTTTTCTTTTGGGAGCCTGGAATCGCCGGGCTGGACCCTTGAAATTAACACAGATTAACACGATCAGGTCCTCTTTGCTTCTACAAAAGCTCTTTTTACTTTTCCTATAGCTAGATAAAGAACGGGCCTAACACCTTAGTGGTGAGGGCAGATCTCAGTTCAGCTGAGCTGAGATACCCTTCTCCGCAGGCCAGACCAAAGCCTGAAAGGACCATCATCCAAATTGGAAATGTGTCTACCCAACACGTAGGAGAGCAGTGGCCTAAGGAAACACAGTGTCTACGTGGCTGAGAGAGCAAGGAGGCGCCTCTCAGATTTCAACAAGCTTAACATTCTCACCAGGGACATGCCAATGTAAAATGTCACCAGTATGAGACAGGCTGCACTGGGATTGATGTAGCAGGAGGCTACTCAGGGCTGGCTGGGAATATTGCAGGGAAAGGGAAGAACTGGTTTGGCTGCAAAAGATAATGAAGAATTTGTCTATCTCATCCAGCACTATTCAGGAGAGGGGATGGAGAGACTGCCAGGAAAAACCCCAGCATTCCAGTCTGATTTATAGTGACAAGCCAAGAACAGAGCTGGGGACACCGAGATATCAGAGCTCAGAAGAAATATCCCTTCAGCTCACCCAGTAGCCTTTGCTCTGGCTCTGTCCTTGACTCAAAGCGCAACAAACGCCTGTCACTTCCTCAGTGTCTGCCAGGCACTGTGCTAGACCTTGGGATACCAAGGCGAATGAGAGATGGGCTCTGCTCAAGGACATCCCCAGAGTGGCAAGGAGAAGACAGAGTATGAAGTGACAAGGACAGCATAGGAAATCCTGCCCAGAGCCACATCTGCTTGCTCCAACTGACAGAAAATTAAAAACACAACAGTTACAAAGGTGCCCATGGGGAGTGACACACAAATGAAGCACATACAGACACAGGCTTCGGAGCTCATCGCCACCGCCACATGACCTTCAGGAAGTTCCTGAACTCTTGAGGCCTCAGTCTCCCCAGCGCCAAGTCACTCTTGTTACTTCCTGTGTCAGCCCCAGCTCCCCACCCTGGGAGCTCCCTAGAAGCAAGCAATGATGGGGCGCATCTATTGCATGCCTCGGGGGTTGGGGGCAGACTCTGCACACACTCAGGTTTGATTGCTTTTAGTGCTCTCAACCCCATGGGGTGCATGCTATTAGTCTCTCCAATTGACAGTGAGGAATCAGAGGCATGGAGATTATTAGACACATTGGTTGGCAGCTAGGTGAGTTGTCCCTTCTCACCTCACACCCTCAAAGTGGATTGGCCACTTGGAGGGTGTCACAGGTAGGAAAGCTTTGAGGTCACTGGGCTGGCTCAGGGAAGCCCCGTGACAGGCCAGGTAAGGCTGGGTCACGGCACCCTCTGTTAGGGCTCATCACATCACACTGGGGGCCTTGTCCATCTACGCAAGACACAGGGGTCACCCTTTCGCCTCCTAACTCCAGCACATGGTACCCACCCTGTCGCTAGAGGAGATCTCCTTCTAATCCTCTGGATCCTGTGAGCACAGCCAGGTGCCTGTGGACATGGGCAGTGCAGAGGCCAGCTGAGCAGGAAGGTGCTGGCATGAGGGGGACAGTCTGGTGGGCACTAAGACGTGCCCACACTCAGCTACAGACATGGCTTGCTAGCTTATTCAGCCCTCAGGAATTGTTTACGAAGGGCTGTAATAACCCGGGATTGCTCATGACACCATGATATGTAGGAAAGAAAACACAATTTTTAATAGACCCTGAAATCTCAACTACATGAAAATACATAGAAATAGGACTGTAAACTACAAATATCCAAAGACATCTTTCAGAGGTGGTATTAGGACTAACTTTTCTCCTTTTGCTGTTTCTGTATTTTCTTTTTATCTCCCCAAAATGAGATTTTGGCATTTTTATGAACAAGAAAAAAAAAAACCTTTAAGAGGAAAAATGTAAAGGTTGGCTGTTGACCCCCCTGGCTAGAACACTGGTTCTGAGGAGTCTGTGTCCTTTCAGATCCGGTCACATGCTGGACATACGGAGGGCATGCCTATCAGTGTGAGGCCCCGGCCACACCCTGGGCCAATAGAACCATCTGCTCAGACTCCTCCAGCAACACTGCTTTACAGTTCGCCAGGCCTTTCCAACACCCATGAGCTGATCGGCAGAGAGGAGATTTTCTGCTCTGTTAAAGCTCTCAGGCCCCCGTCGGGTGGGCAGTCCTCCCACGCAGAGAGGTCTAAAGTCTTCAGGTCAAAGGTGGCGGCATCCTATCCATTGATCACTCCATGCACCACTATTGAATCTGGAATCTGCTCCACTCGTATAGGGGCAGGGGTGAGAAAGAGTCTTGCTGGGATTGTCCCCTGCCCTTTCTCCAGGAAAAAGGCTGGGGTTGGAGGTGGAGACTAATCACAGTGTCTCCGTTCTGGGTCTCTTGCAAGGAAGATAGTCCCCATAAAGTACTTTTGGCCCATGCTGAATACTTCACTACATTCAAGAAATGCTGATGTCCTTATTGGTGCTATCATGCTCATTCTTGCCCTGCGTGCTGTTATAGAACCCTCTCTGTTGACCACAATGGTAAGTACAGGAGCCTGCCCGCCCACACCACCATGCCGTTTCACCGTTTCATGGCCCTCTGAGCTGCAGATCCTTCTGGCTGGCAAATACCAAAGGGTTCCCAAGTTCTGACCTTAAATTTTAAATGCACAGAGATGATACCTGCCATGAGCTTATTGCTGGCTCCCCTCAACCTCAGCAGGCCCTGCTGCATATATTCTGAGTCTGTGTATTGCTGGAGGCAGGACAGGCTTCATGCACTCCTGAGCATCCTTGGAAGGTGCTACCTTGGCCTCAGAGCGGAGAGGTGCCTGCCACACCTTCTCTCCTTGCTAATGACAGCACACTTCCAACTTCCTTCAGGCTGAGCCTCTGAAAACTTAAATATGAATGAGCAGAAGTTCACAGGCTAAGTTAGGTGGTTTTGATTGTTCGTTTGTGACTTATAAAGCAACTATGGTTCAGGGGATGCCTGTGATGTTCCTTAGGTTGCCAAGTAGGAAAAATCTGGAGCCCTGGTAAGACCATCAGAGCCTCCGCCAACTCCCCATTACCCTCAGCTGGGGTTTCCCTGCCCACCCAGGCCATCTACCCACTGTTTCAGAGTCTGGAGCTTACTGCAGGCCCACTGGAAGTCTAAGGGTTTGGCTTCAGGGTGCCGCAGCCAGAAGATGAGCTGGAAAGGCTGAAAGGGCATTGGAATAGAGGGTGATAGAGGCTCCATCCTAGGCCCTGCTGCAGGCAGAGATCCGTCCCCTGCACTGGCCACTGGGTCTCCTCATCTGAAACAGCCAAGTTCTCAGGCTGGAAAAGAGAACACCCAGCGTTGGCCCTCCTCCAGACAAGAGGGCTGGAGCTGCATGCCAGCACACAGGCTGCTTCCTCAGCCCATTCTGCCCAGACAACTGCTATCCACCTGTGTTAGGCCATTCTCACATTGCTATAAAGGAATACCTGAGGCTGGGTAATTTATAAAGAAAAAAGGCTTCATTGGTTCATGGTTCTGCAGGCTGTACAAGCATTGCACCAGCATCTACTTGGCTGCTGGGGAGGCTTCAGGGAGCTTT
This sequence comes from Homo sapiens, assembly GCF_000001405.40. NCBI lineage: Eukaryota > Metazoa > Chordata > Mammalia > Primates > Hominidae > Homo > Homo sapiens. The sequence goes on along the minus strand of NC_000018.10, from coordinate 48,597,635 downwards.
CACTCATGGCAGAAGGCAAAGTGAAAGCAGGCACGTCACATGGCCAGGGCAGGAGCAAGGCAGGGGTGGGGCGGGGGGAGGGTACCACACACTTTTAAACCAGGTCTCACGTGAACTCAGGGAGAGAGTTCGCTTATCACCAAGGGGATGGCACCAAGCCATTCATGAAGGATCCATCTCCATGATCCAAACACCTCCCACCAGGCCCCACCTCCAACACTGGAGATCATATTTCAACATGAGATTGAGAGGGGACACATATTCAACACATATCACTACCCTTCAAGTCCCAGCCTGCATGCCTTCCTTCCCAGGGCTGGCTTTCTGGTGACTGTTAGCTGACTGGTCATCTATCCAGTCACAGGTCTGTCTCCCGCTGGAGGCTGTGGTTCCCTTAACTCTATGTCTTCCTCCTTTTCCTGCTGCCTCATGCAAGGTAGGCAGTCAGCAAATCGATGATAAATGAATGAGGCAGTGAACGAAGAGGCCAGTTGATGTTACACTTCTTCGTTCACTGTTCTATCCTATGTTGCACTAGAACTTTATCCTCCAACATTTGCCCCTTATTCCACCCACTCAGCATCCCCAGGAGACCAGGAATTTGGGGCAGGGCCCACATGATGCAGTGGAGGTGGAAGATATGGCTTTACACCTTCAGGTTGAGGAGCCATTAAAAACAGCAGTCACTGCTAGTTGAATCTGGAAAATCCATTCTCTCCTTCCTTATTAACAGAATCCTTATAACACTGGGGGAGAAAATGTACCTAGAGAAAAACTACATTTTGCAGCCTCCCTCACAGATAGGAGTGACCAATGAGGTGTAAAGGGAAGTTACTGAACCCTTTAAAGGAACTGATTCCAGACATGTGCGGTGGCTCACGCCTGTAATCCCAGCACTTTGGGAGGCCGAGGTGGGCGGATCACAAGATCAGAAGATGGAGACCATCCTGGCTAACACAGTGAAACCCAATCTCTACTAAAATACAAAAAATTAGCCAGGTGTGTTAGCACACACCTGTTGTCCCAGCTACTCGGGAGGCTGAGGCAGGAGAATCGTTTGAACCCGGGAGGCAGAGGTAGTGAGCCAAGGTCCCGCCACTGCATTCCAGCCTGGGTGACAGAGCAAGACTCTGTCTCCCAAAAAGAAAAAAAAAAAAAGAAAGAAAGAAAAGAAAAGGAAAAGGGACTGATTCCATTGGCACATGCCTTTTGCTCTTCCCACTTTCTCTTTCTTGTCTGGATTGTGGATGTGATGAATGGAGTTCCAGCAACTCTCTTGGGCCATGAGACAACTTTGAAGATAGCGGTCAACTATTACACAGGGCAAAGCAGAAAGATAGAAAGAGCTTGGGCCCCTGTGATCACAGAGCCCTCACACGAGGCCTGAGCTGCCTGCCTGTAGACGTAAGAAAGAAATAAAGGAGTATGTTGTTTAAACCTCTGTTCTTTGGATTTTCTGTTCTATGTCACCGTGGTAAGCAGCTTTCTAAGATGGTGTTGAATAATCCTTGCCTCCTCCCATTCATGATCTGTGTAATCTCCTCCCTTGACTGTAGGCTGAACCTGGTGACTTGCTTCTAACAAATAGAGTATGACAAAGGTGATAGGATGTCACTTCTGTGATTCAGTTACAAAAGACCATGACTGCCACCTTGTTGACTCTACTGCCTCCTCAGCTTGCACGATTTGATGAACCAGCTGCCATGCTGGAGAGGAACTGTGGACAACTCAGTCCAACAGGCTGCAAGGAACTGAATCCTGTCACCACCCACACACATGAGCTTGGAAGTGGCTCTTCCCGCAGTTGAATATTGCCTCAGCTGACACCTTGATTGCAGCCTCGGAGAGATCCCAGAGCAAGGGATTCAGCTAAGCAGAGCTCCAATTCTTTACCAGCATAAACCATGAAATAACAAATGTATGTAGTTTAAGGCTGGGCACAGCACTTTGGGAGACCAATGTGGGAGGATCGCTTGAGTCCAGGAGTTCGAGACCAGCATGGGCAACATACAGAGACCCCAACCCTACAAAAAAATAAAATATTAGCCTAGTGTGGTGGTGTGCACCGCTGGTCCCAGCCATTTGGGAGGCTGAGGCAGGAGGATTACTTGAGACTGGGAGGTTGAAGCTGCAGTGAGCTGTGATCACACCACTGCACTCCAGCCTGGGTGACAGACTGAGACCCTGTCTCTCTAAAAAAAATTAATTAATTAAAAAATAAATGTACGTAGTTTCAGCTAAGTTTTGGGGTAATTTGAGGGGTAATTTATTACACAGCAATAGACAGCACAACCAACAATCCTAATCCTAACTGAGACCTGGAAGGGAGCCGCTCCCACTCTCCCCTTTGCTCTCAGTCCCCTCGTCTGGATAAGAGGCTGGGCTGGGTGAGCTCTAAGGTGCCTGCCACCTTTAAAATCCTAGAATCCTATGACTTACCCAAGGATAGGCCACAAGAAGCCCAGGTGCCAGGTCCCCTGACCCCATCCCTTGGGTGGCCAGGCTCGGGGGTCCATTTCCTCATGCCTGCTTAGTGCTGATTCTTTTGTTCATTGTGACTTGATGCTTCGAGACAGGGAAGGGAAGACGGATGTCAAGATGACCTTTCCAATGCCTGGCACCGGAGACTTGGCACCACTCAGCTCACGGCCACCTCCCTCTTGGCAGACTGGAGGCCTTCAGGGCCCAGCAGGCCCTGACAGCAACTCCTGCAGTTCATCAAGACAAGGGCCTCAGCTCTCTCAGCCTGGCCCCAGGGACTTGCAGCACATCCTCAGGGCATGCTGCAGCCTGACTGAACGCACCAGGTGAGGAGGAGGCCCAAGCGGGGCAGTTCTCGTTCCTTGGATAGTTCTAGTCTTCTCGATCTATCAAAAATAAACTCCTGTGGGGAGCTCAGATTGGGCCAGCTTCAGGATGGGCACAGGAGGGGGACAGTTATCTGCTGTGGGTGCATGGATTTCCGGCACCTTGCTTTTTGCCAACAAGGTCACAACGTGCACCTGGTGTTTCCAAGTGAGGAGGGAAGGGGCAGAGGCCGGGATGGAGGGAGGGTTGGAAAGTGGTGGCTGGAGAATGTGTGAGGACTCATTCCAGAAATCCCTACGCTGCCCTAAATGCCAGGCCCCACAAACAGCTCAGGCCTCAGCCCCTGGGCCTCTGCCGGCTACTCCATAGCCATTAGGCCAGCTCACAGACCTGCCACGTGGCAGTCAGGAGCACAGATCCATGCTTCAACAACTGTGGGGCCTGGAGCAAGCAGGACTGGCTATATAATTTTCGAGGCCCAGTTGGGGCGGGGTGGGGTGGGGGTGGGGAAGAATGAAGGGCTTCTTGCTCAAAATAAAAATTTCAAAACAGTGACTATGGAGTATTAACCAAACATGAACCCTTCTGAGTGTGGGACCCCGTGCATCCGCATGGGGTGCAGGCTCAGGAAGCCAGCCGGTGAGCAAGGCATCCCCCAGGACCCGCCGGAAAAGGGTAGGCCAGACTGCAGCCACAGTTCACGACACCAAAGAAACTGTCTGCTGCACATTGCAGGAGTGGGGGAAGGGGGCAGATAGGAGGGGGGGCTTGTGTTCATAGGAGGGATCTGTGGCACAGGAGAGGTAAAAATTCACCTCTTTGGTCCATGTCATCTGGTTGATAGGAAACAGTCCTCTAAGAAATTGTTCAGGAGCCTCTATCACACAGTGCATAACTAAATGCCAGATATTCTGAAAGAAAAGGATCTGAATGGGTTCCCAGCATCACTGGGCCTGGCCCTAACCCCACCTGAGGCAAAGGTATATCCTCACCTTGGCCTGCTCACCTCAGCCAGCCACCTTCATCTATAGGCCTCATTCCTATATCTATAAATAAGAATAATATCTTAAAAAAAAAAACAAACAAAAAACCTCCCAGAGTTTAAGAACATAAAAGTCAGCTTTAAAATACAAAAGAATTCGAATTGGCCGGGTGTGGTGGCTCACACCTGTAATCCCAGCACTTTGGGAGGCTGAGGCGGGCGGATCACGAGGTCAGGAGATCGAGACCATCCTGGCTAATACGGTGAAACCCCGTCTCTACTAAAAATACAAAAAAATTAGCCGGGCATTGTGGCAGGCGCCTGTAGTCCCAGCTACTCGGGGAGGCGGAGGCAGGAGAATGGCATGAACCCGGGAGGCAGAGCTTGCAGTGAGCCGAGATCGCGCCACTGCACTCTGGCCTGGGCGACAGAGCGAGAGTCCGTCTCAAAAAAAAAAAAGAAAAAAAAAAGATTTCTAGTTACATATTATTAATATCAATAATGATGACAATAATGAGGATAATTTTGCTTTAATTCAACCAAGTCCTTCAAATGCACTACAAACTTGCCCTTTTCTGCGAAGTCTTAAGAATCCCAGCGGAGGTGTTGACGCCCCTGCTCTCCATCTTGGGTGCGTTCCCCAGCTGAGGGTCTCCCGGGCATTTCTGCCAACTGTACACTGACCAGAGGGAATCTCCGCCTGAGCTTCCTCCTGCACCTTGAATGCTGCCATGCTCCCACCAGATACAGAGCCCCCTGATGATGCCCAGGGTGAGAGGAACAGGAGAAAACTTCACAGGCATCCTCTAAAAATGTTCCTGCTCATCTGAAGGCAGGACATGGGCTGTATAGACACCAGCCCAGCTGTGGTTCCACTGCTTCTGGGCCTCCCAGATCCCCGCTGCCTCCATTCCCTGATCCGCGGCAGCCTGCCTCTCCGGAACAAGAGGAAGCCCCCAGATGTTTTGCAGCGATTCCCTTTGTTCCTCTTTCCCTGGGGCCCAAGGAGCTAAAGGCCACCTGTGAACGGCAGGCAGGCTTGGATTCTTCCCGGCTGATGAGAGCGATTAGTCCCCGCCACTCCCTGCTAATCGCTATCCTCAGCACTGCCAGGCAGAGGCCTGCACACAGTCTCCAACTGTTAACAATGACAAAAGTTGCGTGTCATGGGAATGACAGTGGCCGAGGCAGGCTCGCGCTGGTTATTAATCCACTCACTGCACTTGAGTGGTTGCCCACGCACAGCTTCTCCCATGAGGCCAAGCCCCAGCATCCACTCCTTGCCCACATGGGAACGGAAGGCCAGGGAGAGCTGTTTTCTTTTTCTTTTTCTTTTTTTTTTTTTTTTGAGACAGGGTTTCACTCTTGTTCCCCAAGCTGGAGTTCAATGGCGCAATCTCGGCTCACCACAACCTCTGCCTCCTGGGTTCAAGCGATTCTCTTGCCTCAGCCTCCCGAGTAGCTGGGATTACAGGCATGCGCCACCACACCCAGCTAATTTTGTAGTTTTTAGTAGGTTTCTCCATGTTGGTCAGGCTGGTCTCAAACTCCCAACCTCAGTTGATCCGCCCACCTCAGTCTCCCAAAGTGCTGGGATTACAGGTAGGTGTGAGCCACTGCACCCAGCCAGGAGAGCTATTTTCAAACCAACCCAGGAAGCTGGGGTCTCTCGGCAGCTAGAGAGCTTTACAATAAGGTATTCACTGGTATCTAGGTTAATTGGGTCAAGGGTGAGAACTGCTCCTAAAACCCACAGATAATACCGGGGTGTTTCAGTAGAAAAAGCACAGCACTGACCAGGCATAGTGGCTCACACCTGTAATCCCAGCGCTTTCCGAAGCAGAGGCAGGAGGATCACTTGCAGCCAGGAACTTGAGACCAGCTGGGGCAGCAAAGTGAGATCCCATCTCTACAAAAAAAGAATTTTTAAACTAGCTGGGCATGGTGGTGCATGCCTGCAGTACCAGCTGCTTAGGAGGCTGAGGTGGGAGGATTGCTTGAGCCCAGGAGCTGGAGGCTACAATGAGCTATGATTGTGCTACTGCACCCCAGCCTGGGCCACAGAGCGAGACCCTGTCTCTAAGAAAAAAGAAAAGAAAAGAAAAAGTGCAGCACCAGAAATGCAAAGGGCTGGGTAGGTCCATTACTTACTCTAACTATCAATTTCCAAGTCTGTAAAATGGGGTTACAAGTACTGGCCCTGCCTACCTGCCAGGGTTGCATGAGGAAATGCGCACCACAATGATAGCTATGTGAGTGGCTACTGGGAGCTAAGCCTTTAGCTGCACTCTCTTCAGTTCTGCCTCTAATCTGAAGAATGGATCCCTAGAAATGAGGAAACTGAGGCTCAGAAAGGTTCAGACACCAAGGTCACACAGCAGGTAAGGGCACATACTGGACGTGGGGCCAGGGACCTGCCAGGCTGGTGTTGACCTTTTCTTGATGCTGAGTCTGTCTTCTCCCATGTGTCCTGCTCAGAGCTCCAGGCCAGCCTGTTCTGTCCTTGTGGGCAGCCATTGCCTGGAGCGGTGGGTACCACATCAGAGGGTGGCCCATCCACAGCCAGCCTGGGACCCACAAGGTGGGGTGATGGGAAGACTGCCTTAGAAGAGTCAGGGTAATTATAATGAGTGAGGCCATCGGACTGCCTCCTGAGTAGATCTGAGCTATAGAACATGAGATGGGTCAGCCAGTCTCCATGGACAAGGGAGATGGATCAGTCACTAGACAGGAGCTGAGACGTGCTAGGAGCATCTTCCCACACTTCCCAGGTTGGTTTGGAAATAGCTCTCCCTGGCCTTCCCTTCCTGAGAGAGCAGGTCCCAGGGGCTTCCTCCATTTCTGAGATCTGCCTGTTTCAGTCCATATGCACCTTGCAACATGTCCCGTAATGCTGTGTCTGGCTGTGTCTGGCTGACTCCAACTCTCACTCCATGGCTGTTGTCCAAGTTCCTCTGGGAGAGGACTGATATTCACACTATGGGGTAAATGACTAACATAATAAGCAGGTCTCAGTGGTGGGGGCGGGGTGGAGGGTGAGGAGTGGCAGAAGCCAGTGGAGCCTGGGAAGTAGCACAGAAAGAGGGGCAGGAAGTCATCCGAAATGGATGTCTGCTTTTTCCCAATTTGCGTGCTCCCGAGGGTGTGGCCATCCTCTTCTGGTCTCTGGCGAAGGTGGTGCCTGGAGGGAGTCCCACCCTGATAACGGCCTGGCCTCCTGGGCAGCATGGTTCCAGGGAAGGGCAAAGGATTTGATGTCCAGAAGCCCAAATCTAGTGGCTCTGCCATTAACTGTGTGACCTTGGGCAAGTCACCGCCCTGGGCCACCCCAGTCTTTCTTCTCTGCAGAAAGGGTGCACTGGACTATGTCACTCCGAGGCCCTGTCCAGTTCTGATCCTTCCAATTCTGAGGTGTTTGCTCACTTTCTTCCCAGCCCCCTTTCCCACAGGCCTCCTGGTTGACACAAAGGCAGGGGCAGGCCAGTTCCGGGCAGGCCCAGCAAGGTCCATGCCCCTTGGGCACCAGCTGCGCTGCACAGCAGGCCCTGCTGTCCTAGCTCTGGCTCCGGGCCAGTGTTCTGCCCTTTCTGGCATCCAGTGTGGCCCCAGAGCAGCAGCTGAGGCTGGATTCCAGACTAAATATGGAGCCCCAGAGCCAGGCTTCTGCCTCATGAGGCTTGGGTCCCAAACTTCCACGGCTATGGACTCGCATACCACCACGCCCCCGCACCCCTGAAATGCTGATCCACAAACTCTGCACATGGGCAAAGGCCAGACACAGGTCAGGAGGGCCAGAGCAACAATGAACTTCCAGAGCAATCAGAAAAACAGCAGCACGAGGCACTCGCCTGTAAAGGAAAGCAGGGGCAGGCCTACCAGCTCAACCCAGCAGTGAGGGACGCATGACCGCACGTCCCAGAGCACGAACAAGCTTAGTTTCCAAAGGGGAAAATGACAAAAAGTGAAAGAATAAAAGTGATGCTTCCGTGAGGTGGCTCTGCCCCACCCTAGGCTGAAATGTATAATCTCACCTGGAAAGATGGCCCAGGTGACCTCTGTCCTCCATCTCCCAGCTCCCCCCACACAAAGAAGCATCCAAGACTAGCAAAATGTTTATTAATGATACAGGTCTTACAAATACAATGCTGAGAACTTTCAACCTCAAAGGCCAGCTAAATCCACCCACAAGGTGAACCAGTGTGACCCACACCTCACGGTCCCTCTCTAGCACCACAAAAACAAGTGACATGGACCACACTGCATTAGCTCAGCTGTGTCCTCCCTCCTAAAAGGCATGTTGGACCCCTAGTCCCTAGGACCTGTGAATGTGGCCTTATTTGGAAATAGGGTCTTTATAGATGTAAACAAGTTAGGATGGGGTCATACTGGAACCCTAATCCAGGGACTGGGGTCCTTATAAGAAGAGGGAAATTTGGACACAGACACACAAGAGGAGAGTACATGTGAAGATGGAGGCAGGCAGGGGACCGGCATAGCCCTGGATCTGCCAGCCCTAACATGCCAAGGACTGTTGGGAGCTGCCTCGAGCCAGGAGAAAAGCTGGAACAGACTCCCCCTGACGGCCCTCAGAAGGAAACAGCCCTACAGATACCTTCATTCTGGACTTCCAGCCTCCAGGACTAAAAGAATGAGTTTCTGCTGTCTTAAGCCCCCCAGGTTGTGATAATTCGTGACAATAGTCCTGGGAAACTCATACACGCAGGCATGAGAGTCCCTGCCACAAACCTCCAACGACGTGACCCAGCATTTGCCCCTTCCCAGAGCCCTGGTTTTCTTAAAAAGTTGGGCTGGATTTGCTCCGACATGCAGCCCAAGGGTCTTGGATCTACTTAACCTCTGGAGGATTATGGGAGACAGGGGCGCCGGGTACATGTAGAGAGGGAGGGGAAAGGGAAAAGTCCGGTGCCCTCAGCCACTGTGTGGCTGAGGAGGTGGCAGAACAATCAGAGGGAAAAGTCTGACCTTGATCAAGGATAAGTCCAGTTCAGCTGCGCAAGCCTGCATTGGGCCCCTCCTGAGATGGGGAAGGGTAAAGAGACAGCAGTGACTCCCGCAGGGAGCCCGCCACAGGACAGCGGTGTTCTTTGTTTTAAATTTGGATCAAAGCAATAAAGGAAGACTGGGAGCAGGAGAGACTGTAGGAGGCCAGACCTCAGAAGATGCAGCCAGGAGAAGGAAGGACGGATGTGGAGCGAGCCGGGCAGGGGCAGGACAGACAGGTCAGGGAGGGTGGGGGCAGGGGTCAGGAGAGGCAGGATGCCATGTGTTTGGGGGATCAGCTAGGTGACAGGAAAGCCAGACAGGGACTGTGGATGAGGATCGCGAGCTAGATTTGGGACCACATGGTCTGAGACATCTGAGGTCCAGAGGTCCCTAAGGCAGCCAAGTGGGAGCTGGATTGGGCTCAGAAGACAGGCCTGGTGTGGAGCACACAGGTGCCAGGCAGGGCCACCTGAGAGGGCCAGAGGGTCTAGGAAGAGAGCAAGTGGAGAAGTGGCTGGGATGAAACCCCACCTTTGACAGGCCACAGAGAATGGGTTCTGGGGAATGCTGGAAAGCATGAAAGGCCTGGGGTGGTAGAGAAAGTGGAATCAGGGAGAGTGGGCTGGGGGGTGTCCTCTGTGGGAGAGGCCATGAGGATGCGAGCAAGGAAGAATGCCCATGGAGCTGCCACTTAGGAGGGTCCCAGTAATTCCCGGCTCCCCACAAGGCACAGAGGTCCTCGAAGGGTTGCTCAGTTCTGAGCCTCCCCGGGGAGATGCCCCATAAACAGTTACTGAGAAAGGAGAGAAGGAAAAGGTGGGATGAGCCAAGAGAGTAATTTAACCACATTTTCCCACTGTCAAGCACATCCATGCCTTCTCTCAGTGACTCCACAGACCCCAAGATGCCTTTGGTAAAATGGAGAAAGGCGATTGGCTGTGTGTAAGTAATCCTCTTTTCAGACACACGTAAAACAGCATAAATCAGGTAGAAATTTGATGGAATGCAAAAACGTCAAAATGGATTTTGTTTTTCATAACCCAGATGCTAAAGAAAAAATCTAAAACTAACCTGTCTTACAGGTGTCATAATCTTTTGGGGGAAAAAAGAAAAATACAGCTAAAACTCGAACTTGCAGATATTTAGAGCTGAGAATGACCTGGAAGTTTACTTAGTCACAGCCTCTCCTTTTACAGATGAGAAAAGTGAGGCCCCAAAAAGCTGGCTTGCCCACAGTCATGCCATGCATTAGTAACACAGCCAGGACTAGAACCCAGGCCTCTGAACTCCCTCCCAGGCCTCTGCTATCCGGCATGCCACAGCACAGACCAGACCAATGCCAAGCAAAATCAGATTCCATGCAGAACACCATGATGCCCACAGTGGTAGCTGGGAGGTTTAATTGTATTAAAAATTGTACCCTCAATGGCTTGGAGTTTTCGTTATTATTTTTAAAAGTGGCAGCCAGGCGCGGTGGCTCATGCCTGTAATCCCAGCACTCTGGGAGGCCGAGGTGGATGGATCATGAGGTCAGGAGTTCGAGACCAGCCTGGCCAACATAGTGAAACCCCATCTCTACTAAAAATACAAAAATTAGCCGGGCATGGTGGTGCGCACCTGTAGTTCCAGCTACTCAGGAGGCTGAGGCAGGAGAATCGCCTGAACCTGAGAGGTGGAGGTTGTGGTGAGCTGAGATCATGCCACGGCATTCCAGTCTGAGCAACAGAGCAAGACTCCGTCTCAATTAAAAAAAAAAAAAAAAAAAAGAATGTGGCTTAGTTCACTTTTTACAACACTAGAGTGGCCACAGTGGGTTGTGTAGGTTGTACAGCTGTGTTCTGAACAGGGGAGCCTGGCTAAGGGACCCAGGACAGGTTGAACTTACCTGGGTGCCACTCACTAAGCCCTAAACTTAGGATGGTGCTGTATGAGACAGGGAAGAAGCAGTTTTTCTAATGTTCCCAAAGACACTGTGTAGGAGTGGTGGCCTGATACCGCTTTGGAGTGAATCTGTTCCAAGCCTCTGAGTCTGGGTAGAGATAATATTTTTTGAAAACTGGAAACTAAGGAGGTACCCTATAAATTAAGACTCTAACTAAAATAAAAGAAAGACATAAATACATCAAAAATAGCAAAATGAGCAGAGCATAAAAAGCAAATTTATAAAGGAAGCAACAGAAACAGGTTATAAATTCCTGAAAAATCTTCGCAGTGACTAACCAAAGAAATGCAAAGGAAACTTTGGTACAATTTTACATCTATCAAATTTAAGGCCGGGCGTGGTGGCTCACGCCTATAATCCCAGCACTTTGGGAGGCCGAGGTGGGCAGATCACTTGAGGTCAGGAGTTTGAGACCAGCCTGGCCAACATGGTGAAATCCTGTCTCTACTAAAGATATGAAAATTAGCCGGGCATGGTGGCATACGCCTGTAATCCCAGTTACTTGGGAGGCTGAGACAGGAGAATCGCTTGAATCAAGGAGGTTGTGGTGAGCTAAGATTGAGCCACTGCACTCCAGCCTGGGCAACAGAGCGAGTCTCTGTCTCAAAAAAAAAAAAAAAAAAGTAAAAGTGTGGAAAGGAATGCTGATCGCCATTGTTGGGGAAACAAGTGCTCTCTGTCCGCTAACGGTAGTGAAAACATGTGCAACCTATCTTCTGCTGGGCAATTTGGCACGAGTATTTTAAAACTCGTTAAATATATGTAGAACCTAGAAATAACCAAAGATGCCTTTGACATTTCACTTACAAATATGTCTCTAGGAAAAGTGAGGGCAGAGGCCACCACCCCTGCGACAGGCATCCTCATCGCATATTTAGCTCTTGGAATCAGCATCGCCACCATCACAACACACAGAAGCAAGAGTTCACCCAAAGGGAAAACATTTGCAAGTTATTTTTTAAAACTCAACTATAAAGATTTATGAAATTGAGGCAGGAAAACAAAGCATCAGAAAAGAATCTATATGAAACAGAAAGGGAGGCACATCTGTGAGTAGCAGGCGTGCTCAGTGGCTGGGTCGACGGCTGAAACGCTCTGAGCCGATTCTGTCCCTGGGAGGTGGGAACAGTGGTCAATGCCCCTTAACAAAGTCCCAGAGAACCTCTTCAGGCTGGAGTATATTGCAGTGCTTGGATGCTCTAGCCCCTCCTAGGGATGGGATGAAAATGCCAAGTGTCCCTGTCCACAGCTTCATGTCTTAAAAATGTAGATTCTTCAAAGAGTTTTGGAGGATGCGCCACCTGCCAAGTCTCCAGGGGAAACAGTACTGTCATCCTTCCCAGCAGGTCACCCCCAGTGTGTGGATGGTGTGGGTGTCCAGGCTGTATTCCCAGGCCCTATCTCAATCACACAGAACACCATGGGATCCTCTGAATGGCTTCAGCAATGAATGCCACACACTGGCACTTCTCAAACTCTCCTTAAGGCTAGGACAGGGCAGGAGCAAGACTGCTACCCTTGGGGATCCAGAGGTAGGGTTAAGAGAAGCCCACTTTCCCCACTTTCTAAAAGGTGAATGTTTTGTCGTCAATATCCAAATGAGTTTTACATTCTGCTCTCTATCCATCCCTATATTTCAACATAAAGATAGATTTTCTTGCACGATCTTCAAATGGTGTTAACACCCCAAGAAGATGCAGCACTTTTACCCGGCAGCTTGGTCTGCCCTGGCACATGACAATGCTCTGGGTTTGAGAAATGTGGCTACACATTGTTCCCACTGCTCCTCCACCTCTGCCCCATCCGCAGGCCTCACCCTTCCAAGGAAGATTACAGAAAACCCAAAGACACACGCATGGAACAAACAGAAGTGATCTCTGTCCCCCAATAGGTGCCTCTGTCCTTTCAGAACAACTGATGGCCTTCTGGGGCAATGGAAATCACCTTTACTTGGATCTGGGGCAATGATTATAGGGGTATAAACATTTGTCAAAATCCCTCAGGCTGTGCACTTAAGATTAATGCATTTTACTGTATGTGAATTATGCTTCAGTAAAGTACTGATAATACACTAAGAGGGGACAAAACATTGATGGCTAAAGGAAGCACAGTTTGTAAACAAAATGGCACAGAGCCAGGTTCCTGGCCTTGGAGATCGTCAGAGATGGGAGAGCTTGGAGAGGACTGGGTTCAGCATGGTGGGCAGACAGTCAGAGGAGGCCTGCACTGAACATCGCCAAACTCAGGTCTCCTCTCCAGTTTGGGATGGCCTGGGCAAGTCACCAAACCTCTCTGGGCTTCTGTTTCCTTGTCTAGAAGTGGGTTAGATCTGTGGTGTGCAACTGGAGAGCTTATGAAAATGCAGGTTCTTGGACTCTGTCCTAGCTCCTACATCACACACAATGGGATTTTGGGGTACAGAAATCAGCGTTTTGATAAGCTCCTGGGTGATGGCAATGTTCAGGGCCCAGGACATTTGGGAACTGTGGACAATGTGCTTATAAAGGTCCTGACCTCCAGTAGTAATAGTCCCTGGTTTCTTGTGCAAAGAACAGCAACATATGGCTAACAGAATTGTGTAAGTAAATAAGACAATCAGAGTTGGGTGACACAGAAAGGCTTCCCATCTTATACTATCTCCAATCAGAAGCCTAAATCTAGACCATAAATCTCAAAGGGTGATCATATACAGTCGCGCAGCTTGTGTACTGCTCAAAAATATCCATCCTAGAGAGCAAGTGAGGGCCAAGAGCCAGCTCAAACCCTATTTGTTAAGCCTTGTGCCCTGGTACAAGGCTGCAGCCAGCTGGGTGGGAAGAGGGGAGGCAGGGGCCGCTTTCTTCAAAATTCATCCACCAAGATAAGAGATGTCTATTTCCGATTCTCACAAAGGTGCTGTAAGGGTTATAGAGGCCCTGTCTGATAAAAGACAAGAATCATGAAACCGTTCCTGTTCTTTCTACAAAGTATGTGTTTTCAGCCCTGTCTCCCTAAACACAAGAGAAGTGAGTGACTTAATATTCAAGGCACTTCCTGTCCTGCTTCTTCCCATCATTCCCCAACTTCATCCCAGGATCCTTGGCACTTGCTTTCCCCAGACATGACATACCTTCTGTCCATCCATGCTCAGTTCAGGCTGCCCCTGCCACCTGCTCAACTTCCCACTGGTCGACTGCCCAGTTGTTGGCACCTCCTACAAGCCCTCATGGTGGAATCGATCCTCCCTCCCTGCTCATATGCCCAGCATGGAGGACGGGGTAGTGAAGAAGACAGGCATGTTGCAGGCCCTTGCGGACCTGAGGATCTTGTAGAAGATGATTAAAACACTAATTACAGCAAAGTGTGAGTGAGGAGAGTGCATAGCAGGAGGGCACACTGTCTGTTAATTACAAACCGAGATCGGCGCCCTCTAAAAATAGTCCGACTCCTTTCCCCACCAAACTACAAATCTAAGAATAATGCGACCTGAACTCAAAGCTCTCCTGGGTTTGGTAACACTCTCATCCTCATGATGCCTAAACACTTCACACTCTGAGAAAATTAAGATAACAGGGCATTCATTAACATTTTCTGCAGCATCTAATTTCACGAACTGTGAATTCCTTTCCCCTGCTCTGCCTCCTTGTCCTTCCTCACTCTTTGGGAAGCCTAAGACTCTTAGGGCCAAAGCACTGTTGGCCCCACCCAGACAGGGCCAGATTTCCCCATGGCCAGGTCATGTGTGGGGGTCACACCAGGTGCAACTGGGGCTGTGCTCAGGCTTTGTCCAGTCCAATGGCCCAGCTGGCCCCCTGAAGGCCAGCAGTTCCCATCTGGGCACTCCCCCATCATCCTCCTCCCTCCCCTCCACCACAGCAGACATGGGGCAGAGAGGTGGGGCACACCCTGGGCATACCAGAGGTGCTGACCCTCAGCTGCCCATTTCTAAATGGCATGATGAAAGCGATTCTGCAGTGCTGGCCTGCTCTGCTGAGGAGGAAGAGTGCCCAGGAGCATGGAGTCTGGAGCCATGTGCTGGGGGTTCAGTCCAGGCTCTGCCCCTCACTAGATGTGGCACTTCAGGCAATTGCTGAAGTCTCTATGCCTCAGTTTCCTTATCTGTATGACCGGCCAACCCCACAGGGTTGTTCTAAGGACTAAACGAACTAGAGGTAATAAAACGTTTATTAGCGCAGAGCAGCAGCTCTAACCCCGTTATTACCACCACCACTACTACTACCGCAAGCACTCCCACCACCACCTCTGCACCACCACTAACCTATGCTAGCAGGGAAGCCAGGAAGGTCACAGCCGTCTCTGGGCCCAGGCACCACAGCACATAGGGGGAAGGTCAGTGCAGTGCAATGTGCCTCAGGAGCCCACGTGAAACACAGAGGGGACCCTGAGGCAGGAGGGCATGACGTGGTCCTATGCAGGCAACAAAGACGCCCTCATGTGCATGAGGCCCCCAGAAAGCCAGACAGAATCAACCCCATTCCCAGGCACCTCCTTTATCCCCAGAAGCCTGTCTTTAGGCCCTGAGGGACCTTTTATGAAAATGTCTCCCTCTCCCCTTCTTCTCTGTTCCCACGGGTGTGTCCACACCATGCGTGGTCCATGACCTCCCTGCCCTGCCCCATGGAAGCCAGCTTCTCATGCCTCCTGCCCCCTGCCGCCTTGCCAAGCCTCTACTCTCCGGCCCAGGACCCTTCCTCTGACACTGGCAGCTGTCTCGGCCAAGTCTTGCCATGCTTCCTTGCTGGCCAGAGGGTGATTACAGCACCACACTCTCAGGGTACCCAGCCCCCACACCCCACCACGCCTCCCACTTCTTGAAACAGACGGCCCCTCAGACACCAAATCGCACAGGAGGTCCCTCAGGGAGAATACAGTGACATCCTCCCTGTCCAATAAGGGTCCCTCTCCACCCAACTCCAAACCCATCATCCTTCTGGGTCTACTCACTCTCCTCAGACAGAAGGTCTGCCCCGCTTTGGCCCATATGACCTCCCCTTCCCCTGAAAGCCCCCAGCACTTATTTCCAAACCATTCCCTTTGCCACTTAATCACACTTTTCCTTGTGGAGAACTTTAACTCCTTCCCGTCTGCTGTCCCTCCCTGCCTTGCTATGACCGATAATAACACCTCCCTGGTGCCACGTGTATAAGCAGGGCTTAATAAGCTCTTGCAGGACAGATACTCATGCTAGCTCTCCAGTCCTGTGCAGGCAACAAAAAGAAAGAAATGAGGTGGAAGGGGTCACTGGCTGCCCGACCCCTGGGGCACACTGGACAGGGGTGGGGGGACCCTTCTCCCAGACATCTTTACCAGCAGAGAAAGCACTCGCTTCCCTAGCCAAGTGGCTCTTCCTCTCTCTCCCCTCAGATGAAGTGCAGTGGTTAAGGCAGTGCCAGAAAGAGACTCTGCAGGGACACAGCAAGAAGAGGAGAACCTGCCAACCCAACTCAGGCATGGGCCATGGAAAAAAAGAGAAATGGGAAAAAAGCTCTTGGAACCCAGAGATAAGATGAGGGCAGAGCCAAAACACAGCCTGAAAACCTAAGAGGGTGTCAAGAATTATTTCTGAAAATACAGGAGCAAAGTCTAATTTTCGACACAGGGCAGATAAGTTACACAATTCATGCTGGGACGTGGTACGTCTCAGGAATCTAACAACAACAACAAAAAAAACCCAAAAAAAAACAAAAACAAAAAAAAACATCAAACTCAGTCATCAGCCCCTGCATTTGCGAAAACAGTATTTGCTGTCTCACCTTCTCTCACTGTGAAATGGAAAATCTATAAAAAGGGATATTAGAGAGCTGATGCTGGAATGACGCTGAAGGAAAAATGTGTAATGGCACAGCAAAATTGTGGCATCGCATTGCTAAATGGAGAGAAGACAGCCCCCGGGCAGTACTGCAGAATGCTCTCATCTCTGGAAAGCAATACATGCGAAAGCAGTGTCAGCTGGGTGGGGCCGCGATGCCTGCAGCTAGTGGAATAGTTGATATCCAATCCCGTGCCCCCGGCCCTGGTGAATCCACATCCTGCCAGGCAGGGGACTTGTCCTCCTCTGAGGTTCAGGTCAGAACTCTAATCCTTGAGGTGGGAGTGGAAACCAAGCTGCAGGGCGGGGGAGCCAAAATTCCAAGAAAGAACTCCTCAGGATGGGAGGAGGAGCCCTGCACACTGGGACAGGCAGGACAGAGTACCCAGAAAGACGACGGTCCGGTAAACAGGGGAATGACAGTCCCAGTCAGAGAGGGTCCCGAACGGTGGTCCACAGTCAAAAACCCCACTTTCTAAGTAGTAGTGTGGTGCTCCCACCAATGGGTCATGGGGCCCAAAGGTGTCCAGGTTAAGTTAAACTTCAGGATGTGTAGAAAGCAACACAGGTGAGGTGTGATGGAAACAAAGGTGACAAGGATGTTACCACTGAAGGCGGGTGGTTGGCACAGGGCCCCCGAGAGTTAGAATGTTTCCCCAGCCTCCACCTTCATTCTTCAGTACTAAATTCTAATGCGCAGTATCTAGACAGAGATATCTTGGAACGGAGGAAGGGGCCCTGAGGCTACACTATCCCTCTGCTCTAACTCTTGTTTGCTGATTGGAGATGTGTCATTGACCCTCCTGAGGGGACCCACTCACTAAAAAGGCCTCAGTGCCAGTGACCCGCACCAAGCACTCTACCCGTGACGACAGCCACAGTAACCACAGACTCTGGCTTTCTGGTAAATTGGCTTCCACTTGGATGGGCAGCTAACCTGAGCCTCTAACAACATACAAACCTGTAGCAGAACTCTGACCCAGCCGGCAGACAGGGACCAAGCAACCAGCTCTTTTATTTCTCAGTAGATGAATGGGTGGACAGACTGATTGATGGACAGATGAACGGACGGATGGATGGATGGAGTACCACTTGAGTGAATCACTTGTCCATCAGAGACATCGTAGTTCCTTCATTTAATTATCTAACTTGTGAACATTTTTTGTACGAATGGATGAGGGTCTCCAAGAGGGTCATGACTAGGAAAGTTTACACCTGATTTGGGAGTCAGAAATATAGGCATGAAAAAATATACACACACACTAATGTGGGGTTTTTTGATCCCATGCAGCTCCTCCTTCATTCCCTTTCCCTGAAGCAGATGAATGCTAGCATCCAGAGAGACTAATAAAGACACAAAGAGACCTGGGTACACCAAGATCCATCTGAGAAAGGGACCTGGGAGTTAGGGTCAAGGTTCTGGGCTGGCAATGCAGGCCTTCCTAGAGCAGCAGGGATGCCTGGTACTTTGAGGCAGGCTAGCAGATGTGTGTGTGTGGGCTTGGGGGGAAGAAAAGGAGAGAACTAAGTTACTTTTTAGTAGGAAAGAGGCATATAAGAAAAACAAAAGGCAATTCAATGGAAAAAACATTTTCAACAAATATTGCTGAGACAACTGGGTATCTACATGTAAAACAGTAAAGATGGCCAGGCACAGTGGCTCACACCTGTCATCCCAGCACTTTGGGAAGCCGAGGCAGGCAGGTCACTTGAGGTCAGGAGTGCGAGACCAGCCTGGCCAACATGGAGAAACCCCTTCTCTACTAAAAATACAAAAATTAGCCAGGCATGGTAGCATGCACTGTAGTCCCAGCTACTCAGGAGGCTCAGGCAGGAGAATCACTTGAATTTGGGAGAATCACTTGAACCTGGGAGGCGGAGGTTGCAGTGAGCCAAGGCTGCACCACTGCACTCCAGCCTGGGCAAGAGAGCAAGACCCCATGTCAAAATAATAATAATAATAATAAGCTATGAGTATACCACTGCACTCCTGCCTGGGTGACAGAGTGAGACACTGTCTCTAACAAAATGAAACAAAACAATGAAGCTGAACCTCTAGCTCACAACATATACAAAAATTAACTCAAACTGCACCACAGACCTAAATGTCAGAGCGTTGTACAACCATGAACCTCTTAGAAGAAAACAAAAGTAAATTGTTGTGACCTTGGAATAGCCAACAATTTCTTGGATATGACACCAAAAGCACACCAATGAAACAGTAAGTAAAAGAGATAAATTGCACTTCACCAAAATTAAAAATATGTATGCTTCAAAGCAAATCATCAAGTAAAAAGACAATGCACGGAATGGGAGAAAATATTTGCAAATTCTGGTAAGGGTCTAGTATTTAGAGTATACGAAGAACTCTTACAATTCAACAATAAAAAGACAAATAACCAAACTAAAAGTTGGGCAAACAATTGATAGACATTTTTCCAAAGATATACACTTGGATAAACATCTAAACCTGAGCTTTTAACACTAAAAAGCACATGAAAAGATGTTCAACGTCATTAGTCATCAGGGAAATGCAAATCAAAACCACAATGAGATACCACTTTACACCCACTAGGATGACTATAATCAAAAAGACATAATAACAAGTGTTGGTGAGGATGTAGAGAAACTGGAACCCTCAAGCATTGCTAAAGCGATTGTAAAGTGGTGCAGCCATTTTGAAATACAACCTGGCGTTCTTCAAAAGGTTAATATAGAGTCACTATACCACCCAGCAATTCCAATCCTAGGTATATACCCAAGAGAATTAGAAACATACATCCACACAAAGACCTGTACTTGAACATTCAGAGCAGCATTATTCATAATAGCCAAAATATGGAAACAACCCCCAAAGCTCCATCCATTGACAAAGGAATACATAAAATGTAGAGTAACCACCTAATGGAACATTACTCAGTGATAAAAAAAAAATGAAGAGCTGAGATATGCCACAACATGGATGAACCTTGAAACTATTACACTAAGTGAAAGAAGCCAGTTACAAAAGAGAACATATTGTATAACTCCATGTTTATAAAATGTCCAGAATAGACAAATCTATAGAGAAAGCACATAAGTGGTTGCCTAGGGCTGAGGAAGCTGGGGAAAAATGAGAGTTATGGTAATGGGCGTAAAAGGTGAGGAAATGTCCTGGGGTTAGATAGTGTTGAGGGTTGCACAACATCGTCAATATATTTAAAACCATCCACTTTAGGCTGGACATAGTGGCTCATACCTGTAATCCCAGCACTCTGGGAGGCCCAGATGGGCGGATCACTTGAGCCCAGGAGTTCGAGGCCAGACTGGGCAACATGGTGAAATGCCTTCTCTACAAAAACTACAAAAAAATTAGCCAGGCATGGTGGTGTGTACCTGTGGTCCCAGTTACTTGGGAGGCTGAGGCAAGAGGATTGCTTCATCCTGGGAGATAGAGGCTGCAGTAAGCCATGATTGCACTACTGCACTCCAGCCTGGGTGACAAAGCGAGACTATCTCAAACAAACAAACAAAAGAAACAAGAAGACAAAAAAAATCCACTTCAAAAGGGTGAATGTTATGTTATATGAATTTTTTATCTCAAAAAAGCTTTTATCTAAAATAGGTACTAGAGAAAGAGCTGAAGATGAGGGCCACGCAGGGGCTATGGCACTATCCTTCAGTGTCCTGGCCAAAGACAAACAAAATATGGCAGAAGGGAAGTCCAGGTGTGAGAGAAGCCGGGGAAGGAACGGCGCATCTCAGCAGCAGGATCCTACACACCGTCTCTGGATTAAATCTCTTAGGGTGAAAGAATAGGGCCAACAAGACTATTTTCTTCTGGACATGGCTTTTGACATCACCCACCTTAAAAACCTAAATACCGTTGCTACCACCTGGTCCTGGGGCGGAAACACAGGTCAGATTCCAATCTACCCAAACTCCCCGCCTCAGGTGGATGAGGCAGCATTTGTCTAGAGCCACAATTTCTGTTTGTGATTTTCTCCTCACGTCTCCAACCTCAAGTCCTGGCTCCCCCAGGCCAGCCTGTGAAACTCAGTCAGTATCACACCCTGACACCAGGGCTCTGGGCAGACCCTGTCCCCGCAGATCATCCCAGGGGAATGGAGGCCACGACTTGCAATATCAAGGTGCTCTCATAGGACATATTCCACATAAGCAGCTCTCAAAGTTTTAAGAATAATTAACAATTTCACCCTTCTAGAATGTTCTCTCCTCAGTGGCGAAGCCCAGAAAACCAAAACCACACAAAAGACAAGCCCTAAACCACCAAAACAAGTTAATGGAGGAG
The DNA here is from genome assembly GCF_000001405.40 of Homo sapiens. NCBI lineage: Eukaryota > Metazoa > Chordata > Mammalia > Primates > Hominidae > Homo > Homo sapiens. The sequence continues at coordinate 48,576,799 of NC_000018.10, read as the reverse complement.
AATAGGGAATTACGGTGTAAATAGGAGAATTTTAAAAGTGCATTTGAGCAGACCGAATCCTCCCTGCGTCCTTTTATTCTCTGCTTTCTTAGTGTCATACTCAAATCCTGTACTCAGGGCACCATGGAACCTTGTTTCATTTGGTATTACGGAGAGACTTAGTGTCAGCAATTAAACGGTTACGCCCCGGCTGGCACAGCGAATCTGGAAAAAGAACCTCCATTCAGAGGTGGCTTCTCCCGGCTTATTTCTGCTGTTTGTGTTGGCTGAAGCAGAGAACCGCATAGAAAGAGGACTCTCAACGTGAGCAGAGTGGCAAGTGGGACCCAGGGTGAGGGCAGCGCCTAAATGGGCAGACAGCAAGGTCCGCAGATGAACCAAAAGGCCATCTCAAGAAGGGACTTCACTGGCACCAGTACCCCGCCTCCCTTCCCCAGCTACCGCAAATTCTTCTATCTCTTCAGCTTTGCAATGACAATGGCCAGGCCAGAGGACAGGGGAACACATCACGCGACACTGAGTGTTCCTCCCTTGGGTCAGCAGCTGGCCTGGGCAAAGCCCAGAAGGCCACATATTTGATCTTCCAAAGGTCAACCCTGCCCCGGGCAGCCTCAGTGCAAGTGACCATACACCCCCAAAACACAGGCCCCATCCTCGGCGCCTCTCGGGCCAGGGCAAGGGGGCACACCTGGGTGCTCTGTACACAGGCGCCGCTGCCCGAGGACCGGGAGGGACAATCCACAAGCCTGCATTGTTCTTCGGCGGCTCTCTGAGGCCGATTGTTCCACAGTGCACGTTTCTGCAGCACAGGCCCTGCCTGGCATGTGTGGGTCTCCACAAATGTTTGTGGTTGGCTCCCCAGGGTGAAAAGCAAGAGTTAGAGTCAGCAAAGCACTCTCATTGACTAGGCCTTCGTCCAGGCAAAAGCCCTTACTCCAACAGTTTACCTTGGAGAGAGAAGGCTGCACGGGGTGGTTGCTGTTCTGTGTTTACTGTGGATAACTAGGGCTTGGGGTTGCGGCCACAGCCCAGCACATGTGTGTGCACAAAGCAGCCTTCATCAAAAGGCATCCGGGGCAGGGAGGCTTTAGGACGGCCCCGGTCTGAGCCTGAGGGCAGAGACCCTCCCGGGAGAGCAAAGCTGCATCTCCACGGACCTTCCATCCCCTCAGAGGGTGAGGGAGCCTCTCAATGGGGGTGCATAGATAAATAAAGCCTGTGCTGGGGGTTGCAGGGCTTGGAGGTCCTGACACCGCAACTCTGTTCCACTCACAGTGCGCTGCTGTAATCCAGCTGGGTCAGCTTTAAACCCCTGAAGGCAAAAGAAAATCGAAAATTAATCTAATTAAAGTCGGCAGTGTTCACAGTAAGGAAAATTCTGGTATTTTGCCAAGAGTCTCTGTCACTGGCCAGCTTTGTGGGAAAAAGGCACGGGGTCTGGATCCCAGTGGGTTGAAGATGGAGTTCTGGTTCTGTTACTCGGCCGTGTTGCCATAGAACAGCTGTCGGGGGGCAAAGCATCACCTGCATTACAGAACTGTTTTGAGGGTACATGAGAAAAGATGTAAAAGATGTAAAGTCCCTGGTAAATTTTAAACACTCAACAAAAGTGGCTGGACTCAAGGCCTACGTGCTGACCTGACGGCGGCCTGCTTGGCCACCTCAAAAGGGGAAGCTGGGACCTTTCCCCTGCACCCTGGACCCTGCCCCCAGGAGTCCTGGCAGAGGCGGGGCTCCCTGTGTCTGGAACTGGGAGCTCCAAGGAGCAAAATTCTGAAAACCTGGTCATACCCAGTTCCCAACACCTGTCATCACTATTACTCTTTATCTCATTTGGCCCTCCAAGCAGCCCCTTGAGGTAGACATGTGGCTAGCCCATATTTCTATTCTCCCCATTTTAAAGATTCAGAGAGGGAGTGAGTCTTGGGCCAGGTCACACAGGAAGTCACCTACCTCAAGAGCTGGGTCTCTGACAGTCCAGGGCTGTGTCTAATGAAAGAGCTAACATTGATCGAGTGTCCCAGCATTTCACACCACACTCCTAGGGGACGAGATAGTCGCCACACTTCCCAGTGTGTGGCTGGATGCTCAGAAACGTAGCGCAAGTGACTCCGGGTCTAGCAGCTTTTGCTTTTCTGTTCTGAGGGAAGCCAGTCACCTTTCAATAAAGCCAACAACACCATGCTGAAAGGAGGCCCAAGCTAACCACACACAGACACCACGCAGAGAAGAATGGAGGGTCCCAAGCGGCCCTGGGCTGAACCACAAGGAACAGAGATGCCCTGACCTTTTCCCAGCCCACTCTCTACCCCCTAAAACTCCTGCCCAAAGTGCAGAACTCTGAGCAAATAATAAAAGGATGGTCGTTTTAAGACATTAATTTTGTTTCCTTTTTTAATGCAATATTATGCACTCGTTTTTATGCACAGGATAATGCAGGCTATGGAGAAAAATAAAACAGAGGAGGCAAAGAACTGGGGGAGAGGGAGCAAATTTAAACAGGATAGTCAGGGAATTATTTAAGCCCATTCACCACAAAGCCACTTGGAAAGAAAAATAAATTTATCCCCAAATGGGTGCAACTCCGGGCAGCTGGCATCTGTCTGAACTGAAGAGCGGCAGGAACAGAGACCCTCCCTCTTCAGAGTGACAGCAGGAAGCCGCCCCGGCAGGAAGGAGGAGCTGGAAGACAGTTTCAGGAAAGAAGAGGTGAGGGGAGGTCTTGCTGAGAGGAGGTGAGACCTGGTGAGATGACTGCAAATCAGACCTGAGGGTGCCCGGTGACACCAGACTCCACTCCGTGGAAGGTGACCTGTATGGCCAAGCACTGCTGGGGATGCGACTGCCTTCCCCCTGGGTAATGACACCAGCCACCAGGGGTGTCAGAGGGCCCAGGACAGCACCTGATACAGAGGCGGCCAGAGGCATGGTGAGCAGGATGTCCTCAGATATACTTGCACATTCACAGTGCAGTGTGCTGCCTTCCCGTCCCCGCACAGTGATGGCACACTGCGAATGGCCAGCGTGGGTGGCTGGATATGGCCCTTGTCCGCTGACCTGACCTAACCACACCCCTCTCAAGCTCCGCCCTGCCACCATGTGTCAACCTGGAGCTTTTGTCACAGAAACCACCTGGAGCTTTTGTCACAGAAACCTGCCTTCATTAACTCCCCATCATCTAATTAGAGGGATTCAAAAGTGGGGTGCCTGAGTGATCACTGGGTCATAGAAAGAAAATATTAGAATGCTTACTTTTTGAAACTTATCTTGTTAAATTTCTTTGTTGGTATGTTTTTAAAATGTACACACTGTACATCAGTGCAACATTACACATGTACAAAAATAAACAGACAATGAGCCAAGTGTACACATTTGTCTTTTCCTGCAAAGTAAGCCATTTTGGAGACCCCTGGCCTGGGTCACATGGAGGACACAGGGCCAGGCAGGTGACTGGAATAAATGGGGAGGGGGAGGTCATGAAACACAGGGATGTCCCGTGCTCTGCTGGCCTTCCAAGCCCTGCACGTAGTGTTTTAAAGCTGCTCTGACCCCAGCAGCTCTGTGGGCTGAGCCAGACCTGGCTGGAGGCTGCCGTTTTGTGACTTTAGGCCCTGAAATGAAGCCCAAATGCCTCTTAGTGCAGTCCAGGGCAGCCTTCCTGATCCAGACGCAAGGGCTCTTGTCCTTAAAGACTGCTTCAGCCACATGTTGGCTACCTCCGAGACGGCTCACTTCCCGCACTGGCCTTTGCACAGCCAGTTCTCTGAGCTGAAAATGCCAATTGCCCTTCTTTTTGCTTGTTTTTTTAAGACAGGGTCTTGCTCTTTTGCCCAGGCTGGAGTACAGTGGTATGATCATGACTCACTGCAGCCTCAACCTCCTGGGCTCAATTAATCCTCCCACCTCGGCCTCCTGAGTAGCTAGGACTACAGGCACACACTAATGGTAGTGGCCTGGCTAGGTTTTGTATTTTTTGAAGAGTTGGGGTTTCTTCATGTTGCCCAAGCTGGTCTCGAACTCCTGGGGTCAAGCAATCCACCCGCCTCACCCTCCCAAAGTGCTGGGATTACAGGTGTGAGCCACTGCATCCAGCTTCCAATCACTCTTCTTTATCTACCTCATCAACACCTTCTTCTTCCGGGGCCAGATCAAATTTCTCCTCCAGGATGACACACACCCCACGTATGAAGCAGCATTAACTCCCATGGGGTTAGGATGTGAGTTTTGTACTGGACTAGCCCAGGCCAGATTCTGCTTCTAGCTCCTACTAGCTGTGTAATCTTGGGCAATTTAATTTACCTCTCTGAGCCGGAGTTTCCTCAGTTATAAAAAGAGAGGACTCATCTTTACCTCCGATAGCCACACAGGCAACCCAGGCTCCTCTCCTCTGCATTCCCAGGGTCTTTTTACCCTCATCCTTCTTGGATCTGTGATGGTTAATTCTACGTATTGACTTGGGGAGGCTATGGTGCCCAGCTGCTTGCTCAAACACTCATCTAGATGTTGCTTTGAAGGTATTTTTCAGATGTGATTAACATTTATAATAAATTGATTTTGAGGAAAACAGAGTACCATCTGTAATGTTGGTGGGCCTCCTCCAATCAGTTGAAGGCCCCACGAGCAAAGACTGAGGTTTCAAGAAGAAAGGAAGGAAGGAGGAAGGAAGAAAGAGGAAGGAGAAAGGAGGGAGGGGAAGGAGGAGAAGGAGGAGGAGGAGGAGGAGGAACGGTGAGGGGGAAGGAGAAGGAGAAAGAGAAGGAAGAAATAATTCTGGCTTAAGACTACAACATAAAAATTCTGCCTGAGTTTCCAGTCTGCTGCCTTGCAGATTTTGGATTTAAGACTGCAATATCAACTTTTACTTGAATTCCCAGGCTGCCAGCCTGCCCTACAGATCTCAGACTTGCCAGCTCTCACAATCACATGAGCCAATTTCTCCAAATCTCTTTCTCTCTCTCTCTCATGGTTCTGTTTCTCTGGAGACCCTGACTAATCCAGGCTCCCTGAGGCCAGGAGCCAAGAGTGATTTGCCTTTGACTACACAGTATACAGTGTCCAAGCAAAAGACTGGGAACCACCCAAACATCCAGAAATAGGGGGTGGATGAATAAAGCATGGTATAGCCATACTATAGAATATTATATACCCAGGAAAAAAATAAGGAGGATCACTATGTGCTGGCATGGAAGACACTGATGGAATATTCTCTTAGATGAAAAAAGCAAGGTACAAAATAGCATTTTCAGAATGGCACCTTTGATATAAGAAAGAATAAGAATATATTCCTTGTCATGCATGAAGAAACACTGAAAGGGGAAACAAAATATTTTTAAAAGTGCTACCTGGCCGAGTGTGGTGGCTCACGCCTGTAATCCCAACACTTTGGGAGGCCGAGGAGGGTGGATCACGAGGTCAGGGGTTTGAGACCAGCCTGACCAACACGGTGAAACCCCCATCTCTACCAAAAATACAAAAATTAGCCGGGCGTGGTGGCGCCTGCCTGTAATCCCAGCTACTCAGGAGGCTGAGGCAGGAGAATTGCTTGAACCTGGGAGGCAGAGGTTGCAGTGAGCCAGTATCATACCACTGCACTCCAGCCTGGGCAAACAAACAAACAAACAAACAAACAAAAACAAACCCAAACTGTTACCTCCAGGAGGGCATAAGGCAAGACGGAAGGGGGTAGGTGGGGACAGGGTGAAAACAATACTTCCATACTTTGCAGATCATATCTTTCTTTTTAATTATTAAAGTGAAATTCATGTAACATGAAATTAACTACTTTAGGCATCTTAAAGTATACAATCCACTGGCATTTAGTACATTCGCACTGTTGTGCAGCCAGCACCTCTATCCAGCTCCAGAACATTTTCAACACACCAAAAGAAAATCCTGGGACAAGGTCTGGATCCCTCATCTCCACACATGTGGCCTTCTCACTCTGGTCCCCGCTCCACTCTCCAGCCCTGTCCCTCACCTCCCTCCACCCTCCTCAAAGTCTGGGTCCCTATAACCTGAGTCACCCCTACCCCCTGCACTCACTCTCTCACCTCCAGGCCTCTGCATATAAAGTTCCGTCTGCCTTAAGCACGCCTCTCCCACCTCTTGGCCACAGTAACTCCCCTTCGACTTTTGATTTTGTTCTCAACTTACTCAATCATCACTTCCCTAAGAAACCTTTCCTGATTCCCCAGGCACCACTGCTCCCCCCACCCCCCAGGGACTCCCCAGTGCCCTGTGATTCTCTTTTTCTGGCAGCCTCAGTGTGTGCGTGGATGTCTGTCTCCTCCGTTAGCCTGTGCGTCACGCCAGGGCAGGGACTAAGGCTTCCATGCTAGAAGGCTCTCTCTGACCAGAGGGACTGTTAGTGCCCTCAATATATAGCACAGTTCCTGGCATGCAGTAGGTTCTTAATAAGTACTGATGATGGAAGGACAGGACTCAGACTCTGGCACCCAAACAGCAACTGGCTTTATTAAAGCCCCATTTCCTCGGTCCCAGATGACAAGAGTTCTTCCTCCTAATCACTGTTGGCTTTTACCCGCTGAGAATCATGACCTGCTTCTCTGCAAATGAACCAGCCTCATGTGTGCTTTTCTGATTATACACATTCTGCCCATTCAGCCTCTCCACAGCTCTGGGAGTGGTTATTGTCTACCTCTTTTTACAAGGGGTTTGGATCTCTGCTCTTCCACTCACAGGGAGGACTGGAAGTAAACCAATCAACGTGGCCACGTGTTTGCAGCTCTGGTGAGGGAGGTAAAATGTTTGCAGGTTGAAATTGCTAACATGAAGTTCGGACAAAAGTCACTATTCATTTGTCTATGTCTGCCTGCCCCTAACTGAGGAGACCAATGTCACTGGCCCTAGAAACAGAGATAAAGAAGGACAAGGTAAGATTGCTGCTGGAATAGATCGAAGCCAATGCTGTGTCCTAGGACAGCAGGAGGGGTATGCCAGCCCCAGGCAGGGGGCCAGGGGCTGGTGCTGACACCCCCAAGACTGGTCTCATCCCTGTGCACACTGACCTAGAGCAAAGACACTGGGGAGCAAAGTTGAAGTGCCTCGGCTGCTTTCACCATCAACCTCTGCGAACTGAACTGGTCTTTGGAGGAGGAGGGTTCAGCAAAATTTTAATTACAGGTTGTCTGTCCTGCTTTTAATGGCTAGGCTCTGCAAACGTAGTACTTTAATCACATGGTATTAAATCAAATCACTTGTTAAGTATACTGGTGCGGCTGGGTATTTAAAGGAACCCTGTTATGAAATCTTTTTATAAAGCAAGTTAATAGAAATTTTTTGAAACCCAAGTTTTTTTTTTGTTTTTTTGTTTTTTTTTCATTTATGAATTTCTTGAAGTAAATCTATTCTAAGTTTGCTGGGTGCACCGAATCACTTGCTGATCTTTGTTCACCTTGTCATCTTTCTCAGTGGGGCCCCACCTCCCCCAGATCAAGTCTATGACAGCTTGCTGGAATTTTCCAGTTCTCTCCTTTTCCTCCAGCAGTGCGTTTTTCTGCTCAAAACTGTGCACGCTCTGGAAATCCTGAAGAAATGTGTTACAGGCTGAACTGTGAACTCACCAAATTCGTAAGTTGAAGCCCTAACCCTCAGTACTTCAGAACATGACTGCATCTGAAGAAAAGACTTTAGAGTGGTAATTAAGGTAAAATGAGGTCATGTCAGTGGACCCTAATTCAGTTTGAATGGTGTCCTTATGAGAGGAGGAGGCTGGGACACAGACAGAGCCAGAGGAAAAATCACATGAGGGCACTGCAAGAAGGTGACCATCAGCAGGCCAAGGAGAGAGGCCTCAGAAGAGAGCAACTGATCTGGGTTGGCTATGTCCCCACCCAAATCTCATCTTCAATTGAAGCTCCCACAATCCCCACTTGTCATGGGAGGGACCCTCCTGGTGGGAGATAATTGAATCGTGGGGGTGGGTTTTTCCTGTGCTATTCTTGTGACAGTGAATAAGTCTCACGAGATCTGATGGTTTTATAAAGGGCAGTTCCTCTGCACACACTCTTTTGCCTGCCGCCATGTAAGATGTGCCTTTGCTCATCCTTTGCCTTCTGCCACGATTGTGAGGCCTCCCCAGACATGTGGAACTGTGAGTCCATTAAACCTCTTTTTTTTTTTTTTTTTTTTTTTTTTTTTTTTTTTACAAATTGCCCAGTCTCAGGTATTTCTTCATAGTGATATAAAAATGGACTATTACACCAACCCTGCTGACACCTTGATCTTGGACATCCAACTTCCAGAATTATGAGAAAATAAATGTTCATTGTTTAAGCCACCCAGTTTGTGGGATTTTGTCATGGCAGCCCAGGCACACTACTACAGAAGGAGTGCCTGTCAGGGCCCTGTCTCACCAACTAGCTAAGTGACCTTGGGTGGGGGCCGCAGCTGTTCATCTCCGATTCCCAATGTTTCCCCACCTCATGGGGCTGCTGGGAGGATTAAATGCAAATGGCAGACATCAATGCTTGTGAGCTCACTGACCATCCTCCCTGGTCCTCTGGTGTTTCGATAATGTCATGTACTCACAGGAATATGAGATTTCTCCCCTACTTTTTGCTATCTCATAGGTACAGGAAGCCAATGTGAGAAGGGGATCCTGACACCAACAGCTGAGATTTTTCTTGAATTTACACTTTACTTTTTTTTTTCCTAAAGCATTGTCACATATATTCTTAAAGTTAAGACTCACAAAGAATCTATGAAATAGGATTTGAAATCTTATTTTCATTTTGTAGATGAGGTGAACTGAGGCTCAGAAAGCATGAGTGATTTATTCACAACCCTGTGACTTGCCAGGCAGGAGCCTGTTTCTCTAGAGCCACATTCAGCTGTTCTCTCCAGCATCACTTGCTATACCTGCCCTCCCAGCTCGCTCCACCTCGCTGACACCCTAAGTACAACCAGCACCAGGGTACTGCTCTGCTGCAAAACCTTCAATGGCTCACAGCTGCAGAGTGTGTCAAGCCCCCCACTGGTCTCCACTGTCCCCTGCCCTCTAACCTCTAGCCCCTCATTGCCAACCCCACTGTGACAGAGCAGTCACTCTGTCCCATGAGCACAAGCCATGCTCCCCTGTTACTAACTCCCTGAGAACACGTTCCCCACTTCTTTCTGACTAGCATGGAGACACCTCCTCCAGGAAGCCTTCTCTGACTGCTCTTACTGAGTTATTTCCATAGTGATCTCAGGCCCTGCCATAGAAAGTGGCTCTCAATAGACTTGCCCTTGTTTTATTTGCTAATTACTCAACTATCGTCGTCCCTGGGGCAAAGAACACATCTTTCCATGGGCACCATGTACCCAGGCACAAAGAAAATACTCAATGACATTTGCTGCTCTATTAGAAGACCAGTCAAGTATAAGTTACCTCCTCAACATAATAAACATGTTCCAATATGGCTATTTATAAGCTCAACTTTTTAAACAGAATATCGTTCTTCCCTGACTTCTGCCACATCATGAGGGTGCTGGACGTCCACCCATCTGACTGGTCACCAGTGACACTGCTTCTGTTTCCTTCTGTCCCTGGACATCCCAGCTAACCCCACTGTCCCTGTGCCTCTGTCACGATGCCTACGTGAACTCCAGGAGTTAATATTTAAAGATTCCAGGGATCTTTCTTTAAAGAAAGACTTCTGCTATCATAAGGCTAGACTATGAGGGCAAGATTTATTGTCTCTTCTGTTCACCTGCTATATCCCCAACTCCTAGAAAAAAGCCAGGTACATAAGTTGTTGCTGAAAAATATCTGGTGAATAAATGAGACTACTAACCCTTTGACTATTAGCTTCACAGAATTTTTTAAAAATTTAATGGTTGAATGAAAATCCAAATCCACAGTCTGTTAGACAGGCTGAGATGAAGGGCCCTGCCTGTGGGGTATTGCAAGTCATGTAGGAGTGCCCAGGAAGTGCTGTCATTTAGACATGACTCAGCATTCTTTACCCCTTCCAATGGCCCCACTCATGTTATCCACCCAGAGCCCAAAGGGGTTTCCACAGCCTTTCCAAAGCATCCCTTCCTTCCCATGAGACAACAAATGGGAACCCCCACCCCAAAGGCAATGGATGCTTTTCTAGCTGTCACCTCTGCAACAGAGGTGTCAAATATGACAGGTACCCAGAGCATGGGAGGGACATCGGCAGCAAGCTGTGGTTGGTGCCAGCCCTGATGCCACCACAGGACCTTGGATTCATGACTAATGTCATGCAGACCCCCTGTAAGGGCAATCCCCCCTAGACAACAGGACTTAGCCATGAAAATCTCCACCCTTGCCCCTCGAAAGGCCTCCCCTGAGGTGCTGGCCAGTCACAGAACCTATTTTGGGTTTTACCTTCTCTCTCTTCCCCACCAACTTTGGGGAGGCCCAGTATGTCCCACTCACTCATTTTCATAGCATGCACCTGTGTCATGGTCTTGTCTGTAAGCTCCATGAGGGCAGGGCCTGCCCTGATCGCCACTGCACCCCAGCAGCTAGAACAGGACTTGGCACACTGTAGTCAACACTGGCTGAATGAATGAATGAATGAATGACTCCCTTTCCCTTACACACCACACTTTCTCTTGTTGATGGTTTTATTCTTTTGCGTGCGTGTTTACTCACTGACACTCACTGAGAAAGTAGTGAGTGGGGCAAGGCTGAGAAGCAGAATGCCCAGACACTGCAGCCAGCCGGGGACTGTACAATGGGCTGGCAGAACTTGTTGCCTGTTAAGAAGCCCACAGAGTATGCCAGCATCCCTGAGTGAAGGGTGCTGTGCCCTGCAAACTATCATCAGCTCAGCTTTGTAAGCAGCCTCATGCCCACCCTCAGCCTCTTGGGCAACTCACTCTGGCAAAGGAAAGGGCACAAGTTCAGGAGGCCGGACCCCAAGATGCCTAGCACAGGACAGCAAGAAGGCACACGCTAGAGCCCCACCTTCCCATCCCACATGACCGTTATCTGGGCATGGATTTATCTGCATGGCAGGGTGGGGCGCCCAAGCCAGATGATCTGTCTGTCCCCCACATAACAAGATTGGAGGTACGGGGCACTACCCTCCTGAGAGCTTGCATGGTTGTGTGCCAGGCACTGTCCCAGGCATGTGGCAGCTCATCTAAACTTCATAGTGACCCTACAAAATAGGTACTATTATGATCCCTTATTTTACAGATCAGGGAACTAAAGCACAGAGGCCCTGCCCCTGGTTTCCATGGCTGGTTCTGGGGCTGCTGGAAAGAACATAAGATGGAGGGTCAGAGGATGTGACCTCCTGTCCTGGTGTCAGCAGCAAAATCCAAGAGACTTGCAGTCTCTCGGGGGATCTTTGTAAAACGGAAATGATAATACCTTCCTTCCCACATGCCCCAAGGCAGGAGAGCACTTGGAAAACTCATGAAAGACAACACAACTGAGTGGCAGGTGCTGTTATTTAAGGCTACAGCACACCAGCGATTTCTCAGCTGTTTCCTGTAGAAGGGAAGGCAAGGCCCTTGACAGCCAGGAAGCACAAACTACAACTAGATCCTCTCCGCCAAGAACGCGTCACTGATGAAGGCAGTGCCACAGCAGGGCTGTGGGGCTTGGACTCCGTGGAAAACAGCTTGCAAAGTCTCCACATCACAAGACACACACAGACGGTGACATCAGTAATAAACAGGACCGGAGACAAATCAAGACCCGAGTTAATTAAATATGCAAAATTATTTAACATGACCATGGATCAACCAATTGCCATTAAAGGAGGAAATTGACTTAATATGCAAAAATTAACACAGTATTCAAGTAATGAGAAAGAGGTGATTCTTCCCTTAAAATTTATCTCAATATCAGGGTGGCATCATATTTTCAATAACATTAAGTTGTTTAAAACAAGCCGACCAGGCTTGGTGGCTCACATCTGTAATCCCACCACTTTGGGAGGCTGAGGCAGGAGGATTGCTGGGGCCCAGGGGTTCAAGACCAGCCTAGGGAACAAGGTGAGACCCCCCATCTCTACAAAAAAATAAAATTAGCTGGGTATGGTGGTGTGCGCCTGTGGTCCCAGCTCCTCGGGAGGCTGAGGTGGAAGTATTACTTGACCCCAGGAAGTCGAGGCTGCAGTAAGCTGTGTTCGCACCACTGCACTCCTGCCTGGGTGACAGAACAAGACCCTGTCTCAAAACAAAACAAAACAAAAACCTACACAACCACCTACACCAAGAAGGTAACCTCAATGAGAACTAAGCTTCTGTTTTCCAAAATATCTCCCCAAACTAAACAGCTTCATTTTATTCAAGTACCTAATGTTCTGTCAATAGTTAACTATTAGATGAAAGAGGGCAAATATTCTCCCAGGATAAGCCACAGGAGAGCCAGGCTTTGGGGACCTTCACAGAGGCCTAGCGAAGGCCGCCTGCAGCAGGTGGGGCTGTCCCCGGGCTGTGACACGGAGCTGTACTCATCTACCCTTCCCCAGCAAGGCCTCCATCCACACATGGGAAGCTCCCTCCACCACCCACAGAGGTCCGGTCCTGCTTGCACCCAGGTGGCAGGCAACACGTCTGGGTACCACCTACGGCCACAAAACCACTTTTCTCTGTAGAACAATCTTCTAGCCTCTAGGACACCCGATGCCTAAGTCCTTGCCCCTAAGATAGACAGGACCATGGGGAATGCAGCTGCCAGGAAGGAACACTTCAGAAAAGCTGGCTCCTGAAAATGAGGAAAACCCCAATTTGGCTAAACCAAGGGAGAGCCAAGTGTGGTCTGAAAGCAGCCATATAGAGAGCAGCCTTTCCCCCAGATCAAAAATCTCCAGCAGAGATGAAACTGAGATTCCGGGTTCTCAGGAAGTCTTTGAGCCTTTTGAGGGGGTAGGGGACTGGTGCTGATGGCTGGGGCGGGGAACAGGGCCAGAGACCACAAGCAAGAGGGAAGCACCTGGGAAGACCCCACCCCACTCAATCTCAGGGGTCCCAAATCTTACTGTGTCAGGCACAGGCCAACCAAGGAGAAAACAGAGACAGCAAAAACCTTAGAACAGGGCCAGGCACGGTGGCTCACGCCTGTAATCCCAGCACTTTGGAAGGCTGAGGCAGGCAGATCACCTGAAGTTAGGAGTTCAAGACCAGCCTGGCCAACATGGCCAAACCCTGTCTCTACTGAAAATACAAAAATTAGCCAGGTGTGGTGGTGTGCACCTATAATCCCAGCTATTCAGGAGACTGAGGCAGGAGAATTGCTTGAACCCAGGAGGTGGAGGTTGCAGTGAGTCAAGATCGCGCCACTGCACTCCAGCCTGGGTGACAGAGTAAGAATCTGTCCAAAAAACAAAACAAAACAAAACAAAAAAAACCTTAGAACAGGAGACCCTTCTGTACAGGGCAGAGGAGCTGCAGGCCAGAGTGGGGTCCCATAGGGAAACTGAGTAGATACCATAGTTGAAACTGTCTCCCAAGATCCCAGAGAGATGAATACAAAAGTCACCTTCAAACCACTACCAAGATTGAGGTCAGCTTTTCACTGGCAGGAAAGTGAGTCACCCCAGCCTTTCCTGCTCCTAGTACAGTTTACATCCCCAAGGGTGGAGGAGGCTGGGTGTCATCCCTGCAGACTAACCAGTCCCTTATGGGAATGGTGGGGGTGGAGGAGGGGCCAATCAAGTCACTAATCTGCAAACAGGGAGCATCCTAAGAAAGGGCCGGTCTGCAGCCCCAGGCTCCCACCTGCCCAAGAGGCGGGTGCTATGCTAAAGCTCCTAAATGCCCCCCAGGCTATGTGGGGTCATTTGCAGGAGGAAGCAGGGAAGGTGACATTCAGCGTGAATCTCCTTTCAGCGTCAATATCTTTTCAGTGTGAAGTGTCATTTCAGTGTGCAGTCTCCTTTGCTGATTTTTATGACAAGAGTCTAAGGCAAATCACTCTGGCCCAGGGAACTGGTTCCAATAGATTACTGGTTTTCATATTTGTGTGGGGCATGGCAACTATTGAAATATGTCTTCCTTTCAGTTACGGTTTTGAAATGTGGACCTAAGTCTCTAGCACTCATTTTTATCAGGCATAATTATGATCATGCTCGATAAAAATGAGTCTATTTGTCTGGAGTCCTCAGTCCCAGAGAACAGTGCTTTCTACAGTTCTTGGCCTGCATAAGTTCCCAACAACCAGGATCAATTCCTCTTGTAGCAACCAAAACAAACTGATGTCCCCTCTCCAAGCTTAGAAGCCTAATTTGCCAGATGTTATAGCCTCCAGAGGTTGCCAGAGATGGCCCTGAGATCCCGGGGGGCTGCAGAAAGAAGAGTCAACAGGCAAGGGGGAGATGCTGACCATGCCACATCAGTTCTAGTTAGTGGGGCCTGCTCCACCCAGTTTTTATATAAGGCCACCAGTGAGAGGCAGCATGGCCCAGTGGATAAGAAGGCAAACTCTAGAGCAGGACTCCTGAATTCAAATTTTGCCTTTGCCACTTAGTAGCTGTGTGACCTGAGGCAAGTTACTTAACCTCTCTGTTAACTCTGCCTCAGTTTTCTCCTCTCTAAAATGTGGGTGATGATACTACTGCTCATCTCATAATGTTTTCATAAGGATTAAGCAGTAAGTTAACAGTTTTAAAGCACTTGGTACAGTGCCAGGCACATGCCAAGTGCTGTGAGAATTGCTTTTATTGTTAAAAATAAAGAAGAGTTGTTTCCAGAAAAAAAACAGTATGGCTAAAATGAAGTTGAAAACCATTGTTTTAGATCAGGGGTGAGCAAGTGTTTTCTGTAAATGGCCAGACAGTAAATATGTTAGGCCTTGTGAGCCATATGTTCTTTTTTTTGTAACCAGCCAAAAGCAACCGTAGATGTACGTGAAGAAACAGGCATGACTGTGTTCCAGTAAAACTTTCATTTAGAAAAACAGGCATTGGGCTGGAGTTAGTCTGCAAGTTGTAGTTTGCCAACCCCCAGCCTAGACCAAATTCCCTATTTTACCGATGAGAAAAATAGAGTGGGGGTAATTATCTGACACAGCTGGAAGCCAGGTCTTGGTCCTCCTAGACCAGGGCACTTTCTAAAATCAAGTGCCCCAGGAAGGAAAAGAGAAGTAGTCAACAGTTCATTCAGAATATAGACACACTTCCACTGTGTTCTGCCAGGGGACAAGGACACCCTGAGAAAAAGTGACACTGAGGCCATTGCTTTCCATCAGTGATACTTTGGGCTTCCTGAAAGTGGGGCACAGGGATGGAGTGTCCCCTGATCCATCTCTGCAGCCCCCAGCAGCCAGCACAGGGTCTTGCCACAGTGGAGTTTCTCTGAGAAGGGTCTTAACTGTGGATGGTCTTGCTGCGAAAGACTCCGTTGCTGCAAAGCCAAGAGCCTGCACTTCCCAGTCTCAGCAATTTCTGGGAATGGCTGAAGAAATAAAGCTCCACTATATGCCCAGGACAAGGGGGAGCCACTTTTAAATTATTAGCCACTTTTAAAGAATTAGCATATAAAAGGGGCTTCAAGCAAAACATTTACTAACTATAACTGAGCTCAAATGATACAAGCAAGTTTTTATAAACACTCCTTTTTTTTTTTTTTTTTTTTGAGACAGAGTCTCACTGTCGCCCAAGCTGAAATGCAGTGGCACAATCTTGGCTCACTGCAACCTCCACACGCCAGGTTCAAGTGATTTCCTGCCTCAGCCTCCCATGTAGCTGGGATTACTAGCATGTGCTACCACACCCGGCTAATTTTTGTATTTTTAGTAGAGATGGGGTTTGGCCATGTTGGCCAGGCTGGTCTCGAACTCCTGACCTCAAGTGATCTGCCTGCCTTAGCTTCCCAAAGTGCTAGGATTACAGGCGTGAGCCACTGCACCCAGCCAAACATTTCTTTTTCACTCCTCCACAAAAGACTGCAAGTAGAAGATGAATCTAAACCTCAGGGAAGGTCTGTAATAAGGAAGGATAGGCCGGGCAGTGGTTCATCCCTAGAATCCCAGCACTTTGGGAGGCCAAGGTGGGAGGATCACTGGAGCCTAGGAGATCGTGACCAGCCTGGGCAACGTGGTGGAACCCTGTCTCTACAAAAAATACAACAAATTTTGTGGGGTACAGTGGTGTGAGCCTGAAGACCCAGCTCCTCAGGAGGCTGAGGAGGGAGGATGGCTTGAGGCCAAGAGGCGGAGGTTGCAGTGAGCTGAGGTCACACCACTGTACTCCAGCCTGGGCATCAGAACAAGATTCTGTCTCAAAGAAAAAGAAGGAAGGATATTCCTTTTTGTGAGACCAGTTGTTATGGTTAAAACAGCCTCCAAGCCGGGCGTGGTGGCTCACGCCTGTAATCCCAGCACTTTGGGAGGCCGAGGTGGGCAGATCACAAGGTCAGGAGATCGAGACCATCCTGCCTAACACAGTGAAACCCCATCTCTACTAAAAATACAAAAAATTAGCCGGGTGTGGTGGTGGGTGCCTGTAGTCCCAGCTACTCCAGAGGCTGAGGCAGGAGAATGGCGTGAACCTGGGAGGCGAGCTTGCAGTGAGCCGAGATCACACCACTTCACTCCGGCCTGGGCAACAGAGCGAGACTCTGTCTCAAAAAAAAAAAAAAAAAATAGCCTCCAAATTCTATGAAATTCCTCCTAACAAGAAGTAGGGTCTGTGTCCCCACCGTCTTGAATCTGGACTCTGTGACTGCTTGACCAGTAGTATATGGAAGTGACACTCCAGAGACTGTTAGATAACTGGCATTTCTATGCCAGCCCTTAAGAAATTAGCCGTCTCTCCTTCCTGTTTCTTGGGCCATTCACTTTTGTGGTTTGGTTTTTTTCATATTCTTGGGATAAACTCCACTTGGTCATAATATATAATTATTTTGTTTGGTTTATTTGTATTTATTTAGGGGGTACATGTGCAGGTTTCCTACATGCATATATTGCATAGTGGTTAAGTCTGGGCTTTTAGTGTACTCATGCCTGAATAGTGAACACTGTACCCAACAGGTCGTTTTTTGATCTTCACCCGCCTCTCACCTTCCCACCTTTCACAGTCTCCAATGTCTATTACTCCACTCTACATTGGGATTAACTTTTCAAACCCAGCCACCATGCTTTGAGGAAGCCCAAGCAGCCTTGTGGAGAAACCTGCATGGAGAAGAACCAACAGCCAGCACAACTTGCCAGCCATGAGAATGTGCCATTTTGGAAGTGGATCTTCCAGCTCTGATTGCAGCCCAGCTGATGCCATGTGGAATAGATGCAAACTGTAGCTCTTGAGCCCTGCCCAAATTACAGACTCATGAGCAGGACAAAGGATTATTGCTGTTTAAGCCACTAAGTTTTGGGGTGGTTTTTCACACAGCCTACAGTAACTAGAATACCTAAAACTAGGCTCTTAAATTCTAATCATTTATTCAGCCCACCAAGCTATCTGCTTCCACAGGTAACATTAGAAAATATTCTTTTGTTTGTTAGGATTGGGGGGGGTGGTAGGACTACAGACCTCATTTAACATTCTATCATATTAATAAACGAGCTAAGATATTCGGGGAAAACTAGGATGAGGAAATAAGTCTCAGGATGGTCTGAAGGTAGGGCCAATTTTTTAAGTAAAAAAAAAAACAACAACAAACTTTTTTAAAATTTGTATGAGCACATAAACAAATTTGACAATGAGACTCCAGAGTCCCCATCTAGATAAAAGATGATAGTTAGGAGAAGTTCTGATTTCAAATATCCAAATACTCATCCTGATTTTTGATTCAGAAAATATGATCACCATCACTCAACAAGACGGGAGAGGATATTCTAGTCTAAAAATGCTGAGTCCAGTGCTACAGGTGATTATCTCTCCTACAACATAACTCTTACAGATTCTGAAAAAGATCTGCAAACGCTTATCAGGTTTTCCAGTATGAGTTTACCAGGATGGGTTAGCTCTCAAATACACCCCTTACTTAACTTTTGAATAAGTGTATTTATTATTGGTTGGAGAATGGATGTCAAAGAGAACACTTTTTATTGCAGCATGTTTGATGCTAAGATGATCATTTGAACAATTAAATATATCAACTGTCACTGTGCTGATGTTTTTCAGGTGCCAGCTGAGAAGTTTCTGATGACCAAAATCCTAGATAACAAGTTGCTGTTTAAGAATCTAAATTTGCAAAACAGATGCATTTGAAACAAACCAGATACTATAAAAAAGGATTCTTTACAAAAATATTTACTACAGTTGTCTTTAGGTGCTGACCACTTTTTGTGACTCGAAATTACAATTATATGTATAAAGGTTTTATGTAAATAAACATTTAGGAACCCATATTTGTTACATGAAAAGAGGTAGCCTTAGGCTGAAATTGAACATGTATTATTCAAAACTCTACCAGTGCCAAGTGACACAAACCCAACCCAAACTAGTTCATGCAACATTACCCAGAATTCACTACCTTGGAGTTTTCTGTCATACCCGTGTACCAACTGTAACATTACTATTGACCTTGTACTGACTTTTTATTAAACTCAGCCTCCTGCAGAGCAATACTGAATACTCCCTTCACTTGTGAACATCACAAATTCTATGTACTAGTTGTGTTTGTCATTCTTTAATGCACACATAGATGAATACATGGCTTATATTTTGTACCAGTCCATAAGTATCTAACTGAAAATCATTGTGTGTTCTACCAGTGGTATGAATGCCATTCCTTAAGGCACAGAAAGGGAATATACTCCAGCCTGAGCAACAAGAGTGAAACTCCATCTCAAAAGAAAAGAGAAGAAAAGAAAAGAAAAAGAAAGGGAATCTACTGAATAGAGAAGTGTTACAGACTGAATTATGTCCTCCCAAAATTTACATATTGAATCCCTAATCCCCAGCATAAATATGTTTGGAAACAGGGCCTTTAAGGAGGTCATAAAGGGTAAGTGTGGTCCTAAGGGTGGGGTCTGATTAGGATAGAAGCGGTGTCCTTATAAGAACAGACACCAGACAGCTGTCTCTTCCCATGTGCACAAACACAGAGGAGAGACCGTGTGGGACCCAGCAAGAGGGCAGCTGTCTGCAAGGCAGGAAGAGAGCCCTCACCAGAAACTGAATTTACCAGCACTGTGATCTTGGACTTCCAGCCTCCAGAACTGTGAAGAAATAAAATGTCTGTTGTTTAAGCCACCCAGTCTGTGGAGTTTCATTATGGCAGCCTGTACGGACTAATACAGAGACTATAGAAACTAACAAATTCAGCACCAAGCCAGAGGAAGACAAATCGAGCAGAGGTATTGGTTCTCTTAAGTTTCCAGCTCTGCTTCTCTTCAGCTGCTAGTGCTGTGCTGTCTCCCCAGGACAGGTCTCTCCACGGCAGTGGATGTGGCCAAAGCTGCCAGGCTTCTTTCATGCCATGCCCTCAAGAAGAAAAGGACTTTCTCTCCCAGCTTCCATTCAGAAAACTCCAGGGAAGGTTCCTGGTTGGCCTGGCTCTGGTCACGTGCCTATCCCTCATCCAAAAGCTCTGGCTGGGACAATGGGGGCACAAAATGGTTCATGACCAGCCTGAGTTCCAGCCCCCTCTGTAGCCCAAGGGTGACTGACACCTGTGAATTTCCAGGTCTCCAAACAAGTTTTGCAGGGGGCCTTCAAGGTACTGTTTCTGCAGTTCTCTATCTCTTCCCCACCATCCTCCTGTCCCTACCCCCAGGCCACAATCTCCCCTCCTCTGCAATCCCATCTGCTTTTACAGCCCCACCCCTCCTTCAGTCCCTGCTGGACTCTTCTGACCACACTGTATTTGCCTATGATCATAAGAACAGCCATCCTTTCCAGAGACTCAGCTCCATGCCAAGCACTGGGCTAAGTGTATAACATATATTAGTTCTCATTCTAACAGCAGCCTTATGAAGTAGACACTGTTATGCCAATCTCATAGCTGGAGAAGCAGAGCTTTAGAAAATTAACTCTCCTAAGGTCACAATGCCAGTGAGCAGGCTGGACATGGAGGTTCACACCTGTAATCTCAGCACTTTGGGAGGCCAAGGCAGGTGGATCACCTGAGGTCAAGATTTCAAGACCAGCCTGGCCAACATGGTGAAACCCCATCTCTACCAAAAATACAAAAATTAGCCAGGTGTGGTGGTGCGTGCCTGTAATCTCAGCTACTCAGGAGGCTGAAGCACAAGAATCGCTTGAACCTGGGACGAAGAGGTTGCAGTGAGCTGAGACTGCGCCACTGCACTCCAGCCTGGGCAACAGGGTGAGACTCCATCTCAAAAAAACAAACAAACACAATGCCAGTGAGCAGCTGAGTGGGTAACAAGCCAGTTCTCAGCACTCCAGAGTGTGTACTTTGAGGATGTCCCAGCTTGTTCTCTGTGCACCTGTGAATCACTGACATCTCTATTCTTGGGGCGGGGTGCCTGAGCAGACCATCACCTCCCCTTGCATTGGGGCTTTCCAACTCCACTATCAAAGGCAAGGTGAGGAAACCAAGTCACAAAGAGTTTAAGATTCTGTAGTGAGCTTTATGCAGAGCCAAGCCTGGAATCCTGGAAGCTCGTGAGCCTCAAAACTGGAATTCTTCGCTACCACTCCACAGTGATGCCCCCACCTATTGGCATCCTGACCTTCCAGATGGGCAGCTGAGAATCCATCTAAGGCAGAGATGCTGCTGAGACGATCCGGAGCACTCACCACCCACCCTTCACGATCAGATCGATGTGCAGGCAGCTCAGGACAGACAAGACCAACGGGCAGCCCAGGAGTTAAAACTGCAGGCTCAATGTTTAGAATAAAAAGACAAGCTCCAAACCCTCATGCTTCCAGAAATGGCCCAGACTTGGGGAGCTGAAAGTCCTGCCTGCCTCCTCCTGGCAAAAGGAAACTTTTGATACACATTTCCCATCAGCCAGCATGCTCAGGGTTTCTCTCTCCTGCTGGCTGAAGGCTCCCTGAAAGCACAGTTGAGTCTTCCTTTCCTTTGCCCCCTATTCCCCATGCCCAGTGCCCCAAACTGAGCCCTGTGTCACACACACATACCAAGAGACTTCCCTGGGGGCAGACACCACAAGAATGTCTTCAGTTGAAACACAGTTTCCTCCATGGCTCAGCCAGGGAAGTCATCCAATATGTCCATGTCACAGGGTCTCTATGCAACTGGGCAAAGGTGAGCACCAAACCTTATCTCTGCTTCCTGAGCAAAAAAGAAATGAAGCCAGAGGCTGGCAGGCCCAGGGGGAGGTGGCAGTGCTAAGACACAGGAGCTGGTTCCCAGTGGTGAGTGGGTGGCCAGATTTTCAGGGGTAGGAGCCTGCATGAAACATCCCCACCTTCTCCAGGCCTGGAAGCCCATCCACCCCAATCCCCATCACAGTCACTTTGGGCAGAAAGCTCCAGCCTTCCTCTGCAAAGTGGGTCAGGCCTCAATAATCTCACCAGCTTCTGAACACCCTTGACCTTAGCTCCCTGGGCCACTCAAAGGGGACTCAGATGAGGTGGCCTGGGCTACTCATCAGGGCTGTGAACAGTCCAGGCTGGGGAAACAGATCTTTGCCACAGATTATTTTGGCAGGAGCTGTGAAGGAATGGGAATCCCCATATCTAGAAGCTGCCCATGAAGAAAAATTACACAGTCATGGGCTACATTAACAGAAATATAGTGTCCAGATGGAGGGAGGTGACAGCAGCATGATTCCTGCACCACTCAGGTCACACCTCGAACACCGTATTCCATTCCGTGTCCCCATTTTAGGAGAAGCATTGATAAAAGAGATGTACAGAGAAGGGAAGCCAGGAGAGGTTTGGACACCTTATCCAGAGAAACCTTAAGGGAAGAGAGCTTACCTCCAAAAGAAGATTTGGCACTCTGAATACTTGGTCACCCTGGAAGGAGAATGGGATATGCGTTCTGTGTGCCTCTCAGATCACAGCCAGGGCTACTGGGAGGCACACCTTGGTCTAAGATAATGTCTTTAGGCCCGGGCTGCCAAGTAATGGCCTGGGCTGCAAAGCTGTAAGCTTCCAATTCCCGGGAGGCTACAAGGCAGATGCCTGCAGGAGGCCAAGCCTCTCTCAGGTCCTTCTGGGCTTTCAGATCTGTGATTAAGTCATTTAGAGCCTCTCCCATCTTCTAGATTGAAGTGGGAAGGAGAGCCTCAGGGACCTCAGGCAAATCTCAGGAAACCTGGAAGATTCTTTCTCTCCGAAAAGCTGGTGTTAGGCTGACAGAGAGGAGAACTTGGGAAAGGGGCCATGTTCCCAGCCCACCAGAGTACGATAATGCTCCTCCATCGTGGATCCTGCCTTCAGGGGGCTTTCAGCCCTATCCCCACAACCCTACAAAGGCATAACCTCTCCACTGCAGTGCACTGGCAAACACAGTGAAGAGGGTGCCTCCATCGCAGTGCCTGCCTCGGCCTGGGAGGAGACAGACAAGGGCCGCTGGGTACAGGGGCAGCCTGGAGCCAGTTCCTGAGGGAGACACAGGAACCCAGAAATTTCCACACAGTTCATTCTAGAGAGGCAAGAGGGCACAGTTCAGAGAACCAGTCCTCAGTTTGTCTTCTCACTGGCAAGCCTGGTATGCGAACTTGGCCAAGTCACTGGTTTCTCTTGCTTAAATGTTCCCATTGGAAGAAGTGCACTAGCCCTGCCAGCTCCCTAGGCACCTCACAACAATGCCAGGGGTAAGGACCCCTGGTGGCACCAACAACAGCAAGAAATGAGAAGACAACTTAGCTGGTCACACTGGCGGACAGCCACTCCACCACAGCAGCTGGGTGTGCACAGCCTCTTCACCCACTGCAATCTGCAGGCCTCTTCCCATCCACCCAAATACTGGTGTCAGGGAGCTTGGGAGTCTGGAGCTCTGAGGTCATGAGTGGGCCGCAGAGAATCAGGAACTTTGTGGCTCATGCCTGTAATCCCAGCACTTTGGGAGGCCGAGGCAGGCAGATTACGAGGTCAGGAGATTAAGACCATCCTGGCTAACACAGGGAAACCCTGTCTCTACTAAAAAAAAAAATACAAAAAATTAGCCGGGCATGGTGGCGGGCACCTGTAGCCCCAGCTACTCGGGAGGCTGAGGCAGGAGAATAGCATGAACCCGGGAGGCGGAGCTTGCAGTGAGCTGAGATCACGCCACTGCACTCCAGCCTGGGCGGCAGAGCGAGACTTGTCTCAAAAAAAAAAAAAAGGAAAAAGAAAAAGAAAAAGAAAGTCACTCAACCTCTTTTCCAGTTCTAAAATCTACGACAGATACATTAAGTAAACTTTTCTAATGAGGTGAGTAAAATCACGAACGCCTCGTGGGATGAGCCAGGAGCTGGGCGGCTGCAGGTTAACAATCCTTGTTCTGACTGCCCTGGTTACAGTCTGCATTCCGGGAATTACCCCATCACCCGCTCCTCACCGTCATCTGCCAGCCACCTGGGCCTAAAGGCAAACGGAAACAGGATGGAGGGAAAGACACAGAGGTCTTTGGCTCAACTTGGGCCTCCAAGGCTTGCCACGCCCGTGGCTGGCTTCTCTCTGGTGCGAATGAGGCTGCAGGCAACCACGTTTTTGTTTCACCTAGAGGAGGAAATCACAGTGACATCACTTCACCAGCAACCCTCTCCCCACACGCTTTTGTGGACGTCACTCAAAGCCCACACCATCAAAAGCCTAGAACAAACCTGGCACAAGGTGGGGATCATTTCTACCTTGTGCAAAGAGGTAATTTTGTAGGGAAGGAATGAATGGCCAAACCACACTTCCAACTGGCCGTATCAGGAAGATGTGCAACTGTTCCCTCAGGTGTAGGCAAATGTCAAAAACATCTCAGGGATTCTCCCTCCTAATCCCTGTATTATAGAAGGATGGGCACTGGGAACCTCAGAATGAGAGGATCAGAGACTTTAGTATTATATCGTCCAAGCCCTGAGGTCACCGAGGACAAAGCACCCAGATGTGAAGTGACTTCCCTGAGAGCAGCCAGATCACAGGTGGCCAATCTAAGACCAGTGACCTTTTCAGAACATCAGGGGACTACAGGGGAACCTGCCAATCCCTGTGTGTGACAGGCAAAGCTTGAGCAAAACTGGTTATGCCACTTCTTAGCTGTGTGGCCTGGGGTAAAACACTCAACCTCCGCTACTGTCTGAATGTATCCCCCCAAAATTCACAAGTTAGAAATCTAACCACTGACTCGATGGTATTAGGAGGTGGGGCCTTCAGGAGGCAATTAGGTCATGAGGGCAGAGCCTCATGAATGAGGTTAGTGCCCTCATAAAGGACACCCCAGAGAACGTCCTCACCCATTCCATCATGAAAAGAAGCAGTGAGACGGTGCAATCTATGAAAAATTGAGCCTTCACCAGACACTGAATCTGCTGGCACCTTGATCTTGAACTTCCTAGCCCAAGAAATAAGTTTCTCCTGTTCATAAGCTACTCAGTCTATGGTATTTTGCTATAGCAGCCCAAATGGACTAAGACACAGGAATCCAGAAATTTCCACACAGTTCTTTCTAGAGAGCCAAGAGGGCACAGTTCAGAGAACCCGTCCTCAGTTTGTCTTCTCACTGGCAAGCCTGGTATGCAACTTTGGCCAAGTCACTGGCTTTTCTTGCTTAAATGTCCCCGTTGGAAGAAGTGCCCTCATTTTCTCATCTATGAAACAGAAGCTGTAATGGCTAATGAAGACAGCACATGCAAAGTGCTTACTATGACACCACAATACTTAGCAACTGTTAGGCTTTGAAAGTTATTATTAGGCCAGGCACGGTGGCTCACGCCTGTAATCCCAGCACTTTGGGAGGCCTAGGCGGGCGGATCACGAGGTCAGGAGATAGAGACCATCCTGGCTGACACAGTGAAACCCCGTCTCTACTAAAAATACAAAAAAAATAATTAGCTGGGCGTGGTGGCGGGCGCCTGTAGTCCCAGCTACTCGGGAGGCTGAGGCAGGAGAATGGCGTGAACCCAGGAGGCGGAGCTTGCAGTGAGCCGACATCGCGCCACTACACTCCAGCCTGGGTGACAGAGTAAGACTCCGTCTCCAAAAAAAAAAAAGAAAAAGAAAGTTATTATTGGATCACCCAGGTTTCAGGAGAAAGACCACCTGTTCAATCCCTGCGTTTACAGACATCTCCCCACTGCCCAAATGCAACAGCTTGCAGGCCAGAGTCCACACAGGCCTGGGTTTCTAGCCTGGCTTCCCTGTGTGACCTCAGGAGGAATGCTAACTTTTCAGGTGTATCTGCAAAAGAGAAGAATAACAACTACACTCAGAGCTGAAAGATGAAATACACTTAGGGGGTGAAGTCCTAAACACAAGCATAACACACAATGCATGTGTATTAGTATCCATGGCTGCCATAACAGAGGACCACAAATCAGGTGGCTGAAAGCAACAGAAATGTATGATCTCATAATTCTGGGGGCTAGAAGTCCAAAACCAAGGTGTGAGCAGGGCCACACTCCCTCCACAAGCTGCAGGGGAGAATCCTTCCATATTCATTTGCTAGGGCTGCCATAGCAGGCCACCATAGACTGGGTGGCTTCATCAGCAGAAATGTATTTATTCTGGAGACTGGAAGTCCAAGATCAAGGTGTTGGCAGGGCTGGCTTCTTCCAAGGCCTCCGTCTTGACTTGCAGATGGCTGCCTTCTCGTTGCATCCTCACACTGTTGACCCCATCTGTGTCTTATCTGTGTCCTCTTCTTCTTTTAAGGACACCAGTCATACTAGATTAGGGCCCACTCTCATGATCTCATTTTACCTTAATTACCTCTTTAAAGGCCTGGCCACCAATCCAGTTCTGAGGCGCTGGAGTTAGGACTTCAGCATATGAATTTTGAGAGGACACAATTCAGCCCAGAACAGGATAGTTGATTACCTTTCTTCCTCTTAGGGAGGAAAACATGTAGAGATCCGTAAGTTCTCGTCCAGGGCACTGTGCAGTGCCACACGGAACTGGTTTGGAATCTGGACAGATAACCAAATGAACAAGTCCCTTTCTAGAAATATGTATCTTGCCTTAAAAATACTTTTTTTTCCATGAAGCATGGACCCTGTGGCCGGCACCACCCTAGCCCTATAGGAAATGCCCTGATGACTCCCAGGACAGTAGCAAGGTGCTCATGATCCCAGGGGACAGATAGGCAAGTATCCAAGGAATGATGAGGAGGCAGGGAGTGATGGGAAGTGCTAAGTGCTCTAGCAACCCACAGACTGTGCTGTGGGAAGAGGGGGAGGAGGACACAGTGACACCCTGAGCAGAGTGGAGAGGAGCCCAGAGGGGACAGATTTGTCTCTTAGCTTGCATGGTCAGCCCCACGGCCTGGGCTGTTTGCATGTGTATGTATAGAGGGGATAGTGGTTTGGGGAGGGGAAGGTGGCATCCACCACCATCTTCCCACACCCTGCATTCCCTGGGGCCAGGCTTCCCAATCAGCAGGGACAACAGAACTCATTCTGCAGAATGTGCAGGCCACAGCTGAGCACCAATTCCTCTCCCCAACCCACAGCTGCCTGCAAAGGTGACTGCCATCCTCTACCAACCCACTGGAGCCTCAGGCCCTCAGGCCTTTCCAGTCCTGCTGCCTAGGCCACCAGTGACATATGCTCCCTCCCTCTGGACAATTCTGCCTACTGGGGTTCTCCACCTGGCCCCAGTGTCGGGAAAGTGGAGGAGCTGCTGGGAGAACAGACCACAGAACCCATGTCCTGGGACCACAAAAAAGGCATCCATGGAACACCTGGGATCCTATGCACCAGCATTACCTGTGGCTTAAGAAGTAATAATTACCAGAAATGGCAAACCTATAGTGATATAAACCAGGTTGGTGGTTGCCAGAACTAGGGGGTGAGATTTTAAAAAAACAAACAAACAAACAAAAACCTCAACAATATTGAGATATAAAAAAAAGTAAAGCTAATTCACTAACTCCCCCCCAATAAATAAAAACATCTTGAAACTTGGTGAAGTAAATGTTCCTCTTTGCTTAGCCAACCATTGCTCCCTTCCCCACTTCCTTGCAAACACAGCTTGCCTCTTGCTCTAGATGAGGCGAAAGCACCAGGGACTTGCTTTCTCCTCCTCCACTGGAGCGGAGGCATGGGTACTGACCCGTTTCTCTTCAAGGAGCCTTGATAGAATCTTCAGCAGGGGAATTCTGGGAAAGGCTTCCCTTCCTGACAAATTAAGACAGACAAGGAGAATCTAACCTTCCTGCCTGCCTTTGGACGCAGTTATGTGAGAACATGATGCCCGGAGCAGTGGCAGCCATGCTATGACCATAAGGGGACTGGCCTGAGAACAAAGGCCAATGTGCTGAAGATGGCAGCCTAGGTTAGACAGAGTCCTTGAAATGATCGCTGACTCCCTGAATGAACCAACCCTAGAGCTCCTACCTTTAGACTTCTGGCTGAGTTGAAACACCTTGTTTTTAAAGCCATCGTTAGTACACTGTTCTTTTACCTGTAGCCAATAACATCCCACAAGCCCGATGGTTTTCATCTGTCCATACTTCCACCCCAATCCCCAAACTGAGATCATGGTGAGATATAAGATAGAACCCTGTGGCTGTAAACTGAGCCCCATCTGAATTCTGAGTTCAGTCCCCACAGATAATGCTTTCCCCTACGTCCTCTAAGCAAAGGAAGGAAACAGCTGCCAATTCCTCTTGTGCACGAGCACCTCCCCCATCACCCCTATGTGCACCCTGCAGTATAAATGACTGATAACAGTGTCTGATAATAGTGTCAGGTATGACCCACATGCATACGCCCTCCCTGGCCCATGTGTCCATAAGCCCTCACCTACCCAGGACAACCTCAGTTTATATCTGTGTCCCAGCATGATTATCCATTGGAAAAAAAAAAAATTCACAGTCATCCGACTTCTGGCTGCCTTGGCACCCTTTTCATTCTCCTGACCCCATACTTACCACCTTACACTAGCGCAAGGCTATTCTGTCTTCCCCAGCAAGATGGGCAGATGGGCAGCAGGGACCCTGCCAGGCTTACCTCAATTCATCTCACCTCACTCCTAGAGCCAGACCCACTGCAGATACCATGTGTGTCCACTAAACTGAGGCAAAGGTTAACAGCTAAAAGGATTAAGGCAAATCAATAGAATGTGGGCAGAAGAAACCATTTTTAGAGGGAGAAGAGGAGAAACTGGGTGCTTTCTCGGAATCCCTGACCTTCACTATTGGCCTTGTCTGCACAGGGTCCTTCATGCCAGTGGCAGAGCACATCCAGGCACGTCCAGCCATCTGATGCAACCTTGCTGCAAAGGCAACGCATGCTCTTTATTACCCAATCTGCTGAATATGTGACCCACACAGATGCCAAGCATCAAGGAGATGGAGGAACAGAAAGACATTTTGCTTCCTGAGAGTGCCCAGGGTACTGTAGGTAGATACCGGAGACAGATAAACCGCATGCTGTAAAAAATACTTTGCTTGTAAACACCAGCCTGTTTGGTGACATGCCAAGATGTGAATTCTCTAGCAGGTCACTTTCTTGATCTCATGGTTCAAACGTGTAAGTATCTCAGCAAATGCCCCAAGAGTGTGGGACAGGCCTGTGTGTTCCCAGCTACTGGTGAGATCATGATACTGCCTACCCCAGGGGAAGGCCCTATAAGGGAACAGCATGGGGAATGTGTCAGCTCCACCCACTCTGGATGGAACCACACACATTCTTTCTGAATCCCTTCAGGGCTCAATTGTCATAACTACAGTTAGGCATTACCATATCTCTGCCTCTCTGTCTCCCTCAGAGAGGTTACTTTCATTTAGCGAGGCACACAGAGAGCGCCCAGCATTGTGCCTGGCATTTAACAGGCACTCAATAAACTCCCTGCACTCAATAAATTCCACACAGCTCCCTGCATGGGATTCCCAAGTTACTTACTTATAAGCTGAAATGTATTCTGGGCGTCGGAGGAAGGAACTTGCAGCAGGTGCTGCTGCCTCTCTCATGATCATCCGAAAAGCACCGAGCCAAAGCTTCTCAGAACTCCCCCATCACAGACTGCGCCTATGCAGCCGGCTCAGCTACCCTCACATCTATCTTCAAAAGCTGCCTCTGTGTGAAGTAAGTTAGGACAGAAGTTGGCTGGATTCTCACAGAATCTCAGCTTGACAAATGGAGGCCCTTCCAGCAGAAGCAAGCAGGATGGTGAAAGGTCTAGAAACCATCTCTCACAACAGCTGCAGGGGCCATGGGTGAAAATGGCCAGCGAGGAGGGTGGCCAGAGCTCAGTACAAGGCCTTTCCAGCTATAACATAAGGGAAGGCGCTGCCTCCAAGGCAATAAACTCCCGGCCACAAGCAGCAAGCACATTGGAACCAAGCGCTGCTGCAGTCAGGATTCCCACACCAGGTGGAGGGTTGACCAGATGACCTCTAAGATGTCTCCTGAGTTTGAAACTGTAGGAACTAAAGACTCTGAGCATGGGAAGACAATGTAGTGCCCAGTCTAGAGGACCAGTAGCAACTGCAATCTGCACAGGGCACCCTTAAGGGGACCCTGGAAAGAAACCTTATCTGTAAGAACCTGACCTGAGTATGCAGTAGGGAGAATGTTCTGGGCTTCCTAGACGGGGCTCATCTGAAGTTTTTTCCTAAGAGATGAAGGCTTGGATGGAACTGTCCTTCTCTGCCATCCTGCACATGCCTCCCCGAGTTGTGCAGCTGTCTCCAAGGCCCTTTTAAAAGGTTCCTACCGAGGGGCACCTCTGCCCTTTCTCTTCTCTCTCCTCCCTCACTTACCCTGCCCTGATCGCAAAGCATCTCCCAAGGTGGAGATTTAAGTCAGCAAAGGGCAAAGAGCCCCAGACTCTCCCCAGGCCCCTGATGCCCTAGAGCTCACAGTCAGGAAGACACTGGCCCCCAAGTCTTTACATGCTAATTTCTCTCTTGAGGGCCTCCTGGACCACATGTGTAGTGGACATTCAAAGCTCTAACAGGCCTGAGGTCTCACATTTCTAGGGAAGATTTTTCTCCACCTCACATCCAGGTCAAGACAAAAAGCAGCACACCCACTTTCCATCCCCCATGCGGACGGGCTGCTGTCTAGTCCATCCTTTCTCCCAGCATGCAAACTTTTACCAGGTCCTGTTTTAGGCAGGGCTCTTGATTCCTGGTATCATCTCTAGTCTCGGAGGAGATGCAGTCACGACTCAAACCCTTGGGCTTTGAGGCCAGGAAGCACCCCTCAACACCTCTCCCAACCCCCAGGCCTAGACGAGCCTCAGCTGGAGCTCACCGTCCACACTGCCTGAGATCCCTGGGGATTTCCCTTACATTCCATGAGCTTAGCTCTTCTTTGAAAGGACGCTAGCTACAGCTTACACAGCCTTTCTAGGTGCTCTGTCATTGGAAGGTTTTCAAGATTTTTACTCCACTGTGGTACTAAAAGTATTCTAAATCAGTCTTGGGATGCCCCTTTTGGACGTGCTTATGGAAACCTTCCCTGACTGACCTCCCACCCCAGACGACTAACTCTGGGTACATCCCTGCAGATCCACAAACATAGACTGAACACACACTTACAATGTGCCAGGCACTATTGTCGGTTCTGAGAATTCAAACATGCAAAGACTGGACGTTTGCCTAAAACACATCAGCTCTATAAAAATGAAGTATGGCAGGAAGAGAGGGATCTGCAACACTCTATTTAAGTTGCATTCCACTCTTCCCTGGGGTTGTTACAGCTTTTTAGTGGCTTCATATGTTCATATCTTCTCTCCCCAACAAAACTACCTGCTCCTGGAAGCAGGTTCCAGGGCTTCCCCACTCTGTACACTCCAAGGGGCTGGGACAGGGCTCTGCTCACTGTGGATGTTAAAAAGCGAAATGCCTCTCCCCTAACTCACTCTAATGCTTCCAGCTGAAACACGCTCTTGGCTGTCGCTGGATTCTGCCAGCTGGGCCTCCAGCATGACACAGCATCCCCGCCTGGCTTCCCTGACGACAGCGGCCGGCATGACAAAGGATTATCTGACAATGGGAGGAAGAGGTCTGCTCTCATTGTCTACAGCAGCCCTCACCGTGGTTACGCTCAGTGGCCAATGCTTCCCCGCTCCCAGGGCTCAGCTTGGGCACACACTTCTGCAGCCTCTAGCTTGCACAGTGCATTGTCTGTAGGGCAGCACCACCCCACTATCCTACCAGCAATTCCAATTCAATACCGGAGCACTGAACTCACCATGATCTTCCCTCCCACCCCAACCCCAGCAGACCCTGCTCCAGCAACCAGAAGTTCGCACCTGAGTTAAGAGCTGCCGTCCATCTAGTCAGTGAGGCCACAAACCTGGGAGCCACTGAGATGATTCCCTTATCCCCCAAGTCTAAGTAATCACTGCGGACTTTACTCCCAACTAATTTTAATGTATGACCTTTGGTCCATCCTTAGATGCATGGCCCTTGTTCCAGGTCTCACCCCCTATGACCTGGATGCCGTGGAGAGCCTGTTACTGCCTCACCAGTCCCATGGCCGCCTGGCTCCCAGTCCTGTTCCCTTCCGATCCAAGCAAGGCTGTACACCTCTCTGATTAAAGTCCTTCCTCTATGCCTTACCTGCAGGCTAAAAGCCAAGGTCTGAAACCAGGCTTACAAAGCTCCTCCACTCTGAGCGCTGTCTGCATCTCCGCCTTTGCATTTGACCTCACTGCTTGCGGTTCCTTCCTACACCCAGGCAGCCTCATGCCTCCACACCCTGCGCACGCCATGCCTTCTCCCTGAATGCCCGTCTCCCATCTCCTTTCCTGGCCAGTTCCTTTTCATCCATTAAGATTCAGCTCCTGAGCCGTCTCCTTTAGGAAGCCCTCCCTGACATCTGAGGCCGGAGCAGGTGGCTGCCCCTTGTCTGTGCCGCTGTAAGGGCCTTGGGCTTCTCTCTACCTAGACTTCCCACATGACGTTGAATGGAACTGTTTATGCATCTGTCTCTCCCACTAGAAAGCTGGCTGCTTGAAGGCAGGGGGCTGTACCTGTTCACTGTCATAGCCCCAGGGCCTAGCACAAAGACAGGCATAGAAAAGCAGCCCGACAACTACTGTGAAGCTCGCACCGACTGCAGGATGATCAAGTAAACCTCTTAGGTCTGTTCTACCCACCCCAAGCACCTAGTTGCCCCCTAACCATTTTTGGGCCATTGCCCCAGCCTAAAACCTCCTCCACCATTACCCAGGCCTACTCCCAAATTCACCTCATCCATGAAACCATCCCAAACTGGCTCCACTCTACAGATCGTTGCTATGGTAACTGCCTCCCATACTTTATCTCCCCTACCCCTTGGGTAAGTGAGCATTTGGGTCTGGCTCTGTGGCCGAATATGAGTGAACAGTAGGCATTAAGAAGCTCTGGGAAGTTCAAGGCTTTCTGTTCATCATAATGATGTCAGACAGCAAGCCACCTCAGCCCTGAGCACTGGACCTGAAGTCTGAAGTCAGGGTTCATATCCCTGCTCTACTGCTTACTCGTGACTTGGGCATGCCACTAACCATGAAGGCTCAGCTTCCTGCTCTGCAAAATGGGTATAACAACAACTGCCTCACAGGCTGATAACGATAACCACCTATTATAAAAGGCAGATGGGATAATTTGTGTGAAATAGTTTGCAAACTG
The DNA here is from genome assembly GCF_000001405.40 of Homo sapiens. Classification (NCBI taxonomy): domain Eukaryota; kingdom Metazoa; phylum Chordata; class Mammalia; order Primates; family Hominidae; genus Homo; species Homo sapiens. The sequence goes on along the minus strand of NC_000018.10, from coordinate 48,544,231 downwards.
TAAAGCCAAATCAAGTGCAGCGTATTAAAGTAGCCCCAGTGTCAACCAACCACTATCCAACCTTTCTGTCCTTCTCCCTACCAGTAGTTTTGTCCTTACTTGAGTCAGTTGAGAATCAAATGAAATCTGTAGATTCTCTTCCTAGAAAAGTACACACGCATCCCAGCTTTGCAAACACTTCCAAAAGGTTCCTGAGGACCCTGCCTCAGGGCCAGAAAGCCACAGACCAAGCTTAAGAGCACTGTAGGACACCAAGACACCCTATATTTCCCAAATACAGACCTTCATTTGCTCATGAATGCCAAAGATGAAGATAAGGCAGGAAGGGCCAGTTGTGAAGGAAAGAGAAGTCAAATGAATTTCAGAGCCCTTCCCAGAACCAGAAGACAGGAGAGAAGAAGATAAAGAGTTCTCACTCTTTGGGAAGAACCTAACTTTTTTCCAGAAAGCATTACGGTACATAGAAAGAAGATTGGATGAAATCTCAAATTCCAGGATTTTTTACCCACTCTGCTAAGGGCTCACCATGACCTTAGGCAAGTCATTCCACTTCCCTAGGCTTCAGGTCTTCACGTGAAGATCAGATCATCTTCAAAGTCCTCCCCAGCTCTGGGTGCCGGAGATCCAAGGATGTGTCTGTTCTCACCCCGTTGTGAACCACAGCTCTGGCCTTAATTCCAAAGTCAGAGGCATGCTGAGAGCACGGTGCTAACACAGGGAGAAGGCCACCATTATAGCAAGGTTCTAAATTAAACCGCACACAGCGGGAGGCAGGGGCAAAAGAAAACCCAAACCTGAAAGGAAGCAGCTGAGCTCAGGGTGCCGGTGAGTCAGCAGTGAGGCCCAGAGGTAGACGCCCCCTCCCCCTGCCAAGCCAAGGACATCAAATGGGGCTGTGTTATCAGGTAAGTTATGCAGAAATGCCACCACGTGTGGAGAATTCTCAGAAACTGCAATTTGCCTGCATGTTTGTACCTCCTGTTCTCTATCTGGGCTCAGGATTCTCTCTCCAACCTAACCACCCATCTCCTGCCTCCTCCTTCATGACCTGAGCTGCAAACAACATAACCTTAAAACAAGGGCAATGGAGCCCAAAACAGAAATGAAATTAGAGGACAATATCTGGGACCAGACGGTGAGTTTGGGATTAGATAAAAAGCAGACTTGTATTAACACACCTACACAGACCTGTAAGGCAGAAACTCCTACACCCAGGCAGGGCCTGAGTGAGACCTTGACCAAAGCCACAGCCTGTCCCTGAGTCACAGCACATCTGAGCTGGGGCGGGACCACGGAGAACATCTCCTTAGCTCCGTGTCGCCAGAAACCTGTTGGTTGGCTTCAGGGTAATTTCCATCAGCTGCCTAACTTCCACAGAAGAACATACCTCTGGGCCCTCCCGGGAGGTTGCAAACAGCCTGAAGTTCAGGGTAACAAGGCTATCAAGGTGTTTTTTCCCCATCGCTTCCTTCTGCATTTGCTCTAGAATAAGAACTGGCATCTTGGGCCCCTTGAAACCAACATATGTGAAACTAAGTTCCAGGGTGACTGCTCTAAAATATTTATGATTTGTTCCCTCCTGTAGGCTGTGTTATTGCATTGCAACTTAACTATCTCTGCTCTACTATCTTTGTAGAGAAGCAGAGTATCTGGCCTAAGTGAGGCTGGTGCTTCATAAACATTTGCTGGACTTAATTAACATTTGTTAAGTTTTCTTTGTATGCACTTCTAGATACACAAACATGTAGGTGCCCAGTACATATTGAGTGAATGGTTAATTAATTGATTAGTTGGCTAAACTTAATAACCCTCCAGGCTGTCTGACAGCCTTCACATGCATGAATTCTGAGAAATCCATGCAGGCATGTATAAGTTCTTTGCTCCTTGAATTCAATAAAGACTCAATGAACACAGCCATACAAACACAGGTAAGTGTTACATGAACAGGCATACCATATACATTTATTATATGCACATATGATTCTGGTAGAAACTGGATGTATCACAGCTGCTATCCATTCACCAACAGCAAATTATTAAATGCGTGGTAATAACAGCAATGCAGACTTCCGTTCTTTAGTGGCTGCTCTCATTAGGAATGGTTAACAAATCAAGAGTGTTTTGAGAAAGAATATGTGTCAGCATAATATACTCTATTTTTTAGCTTCAGTATTTCCTGAGGTGTCAAGAATCCATACTCAGAAAAAAAGTGGCCACTATTAATTAAATGCCATAAGCTGAGAAAAGGGGGAATGTGGCCCTTCCCCCACCCAGAGGCCTTATGCAAGCCACATTTTTGAGCCTCAGTGTGTTCATCCGTAAAATGGGGCTAATACTCTCCTACCTCACAGGACCCTCTTAATAAATGCTATGATATCTGGCGGGGGAGGGGGGAGGTTCTGGGGGAAGAAAACCTGCCCTGTAAGGTCATACAAACATATTATTATTCTAGCAAGCTGTTAATCACTGATGACACTGTGCCCTAGAATGTGTTACAAAATTGCTGCCTCTGAGCATCCATTATCCAGGACAGATACTTGACACAGATGAGGTGATCTGTGTGTAAATCGAATCCTGTGTCAAACACTCAGGAGTTTCCCCAGACAACCTGAGCGTGTCCTGGCCATCCTCTAGCGTCTGTTCGGTGCATTCTGTTCACGTATAATTGGGTTTTCTTGAAAGCCAGGCCATCTCCTCGCGCAGCCCGAGCCTGCTAGGAGCCTGGATTCCTGAGGTTTTCAGCCCAGATCGGGCCCTGGGCAGGAGGAACTGGGAACGGACAGCCGGCGGCCCCTCCCTGCGCTCTGGGCGGCTCCTTCCTCTCGGCCCTGGCTCCAGCAGCGGCGGCGCTCTCTCGCGCTGTGTCACTTTCGCCCTACGGAGGCTCTAGCCGCGGCCGAGCCGGCGGCTCCAGCGGCTTCCTCCTTGGTCGCGCGGGCCCCTGGACTGGGGGATAATCCTCGGGCCGCAGAGACACAGCGCCGGGCGGGCGGCGGCCTGGGCCGGGCTGGGGCGCGCTGGGCTTGGGCTCCCACTGTCCCCAGACTGAAGAGCCGGGGCTGCGGTTGGCAGTCGCTGACTCTCTCCCCGGTCTGCGAAGGCAGCGGCGGCGAGCGCGGGCACGCACACCCATAGAACGCCTCGGTGCGGGGTCACCCCAGCGTGGACTGGGGGCGGCGCAGCCAAACCAACCCCCCGCGCCGCCGGGTGGACCCCCAGTCTGCCGGGTCACGGGGCGTCGCGGACGCGGAGGGAGGGGCTGTGTGACTCCGGCCGCACAGCGGACCTGGGACTCCTGCACCGAAGACCAGCACACGCGACCCTACGGTCTTCCCCGGCCCACAGCCGCACGGTCCCCTCTCCAAGTAACTCGGGCGCGCGCGCGCGGGGACACACGACCCCGACTTAGACAAGGAGGGGGCTGGCGGGACAGGTCGCGCGGAGGATCGGGGCCCACGCTTGTCCCCACTACGCCGCGGTCTGCGGTCCCCGCCCCCCACACACACCGGAGCCGTGTGTACACACAAACAGCCGGGCGGGGGAGGCGACGCCTCACTCCTCGGGGTGGAGACGCACGCGGCGCCGCCAGTCAGCCCTCCCCTCTACACGCCGCACACCCCGCGGTGCTCACACCCCCCAGCCCCAACCCTGAAAACTCCGCGGAACCAAACAGAGCCAACGCCGCCCAGATAACGGGCTCGGACCACCCCCCTCCCGATTGTCTTTTACCATCAATAGAGAAACACTCGGCTCAGGCGCGCGGTGTCCCGGACGCCCCCTCCGGCCACATCCAGGCACCGGCACGCGGCCCTCCGAGGCCCCAGACCTTCGCCGCAGCCCAAGCCATCGCCCCCCCGCCCGCCCTCCCCCATGACCGGCGCCCGGGACAGTTACCTGCTCGTCGTCCTGATGAACCCGAGCCGGAGCCCACCCCACGGCCTCTCGGGTCACTCGCCACCCAGAGGTGGCTTTTCAGAGCCTGTCAAGTGAACCCCTCTCCGCCGGGCGTATCTATTCCCCAGGCCCGATTGCACCGCAGCGACAGGAATAATAAAAAAAGCCAACAGAACCACAACCGTTGGGAATAACCAAAGGGGAGACCGCAACGGGTCCACCGATTTGGTTTCTTCCTCTGCTCCCATCCCCCGCTCCCCCCGCGGCCCGCGGGCTCACCGGGGACGCAGGGAGGGGGCTGCGCCCTGTCTAGACGACAGCCATCCACAGACATCCCCGAGCCCGCGGGGACGGGCGCGCACACTCACACACGCCCGCTGCCACAGACACAATCAGTCACCGGGGAAGGGAGGGGCGGCGTGGCGACACACTCTCGGGGTCCCTCCCGCAGCCCCGAGTGCCGCAGCCCCCGGCCCCCAAACGCCACCCCGAGACGGGCTCCCTACCTCGGCGGAGCGCGGTCTGAACAGCTGCAAGTTTGGCTGATACTAAACCAACTGCTCGATGCAGCAAATGCGGGCTTCAAAACAAAAGGGAGAGGAATCGCGCTCGCTCTTTTCCTCCTCCCAGGTCGGAACCCGGCACATGACAGCGGCTACACCGCGCAGCTCCAAAGCGAGCCGGGCTCCAGCCGTGCGTCCCCCAAGAGCCCCCCTTGGCGCCGGAGCTCCAGGGCCACGACACCCCGCGGGGCGGGGAACCCGGCAGGGAATGGGACAAACCCAGGGAGGGGGCGACACTGTGGAGTGCAGTTCCCCACCGAGGGGGAGGAGGGGATGGTAGATGGGTGCGGACACCCCGCTGGCCCAGGAGCAGGGATGGGGGGAAGGGGGCTGATTGTTTGGGGCGGTTTTCCCGGATTTATCTATAAGCACGCCCACGTCACGCAGCCCTCCTCCCGGGTCCCCGAATCGATCAGCAAGCTGAGATGACTATAAGAGGAGGACGGGCGAGGAGATGCTCACCTCGGGGTTCCTCTGGCCGCCGCGCCAAGCCCGAGTCGGGGGTGGGGGAAGGGGGCAGGGAAGGGGAAGGGAGGGACGAGGCTCCGGAGAGCCGACTCCTGCCTCGAGTTCGGAGCGTCCCAGCTGCGGAGGGGATCGGGCGCCCCAGCGCACAGACCCAGCAGAGAGGGGAGGGAGGGAGGGAAGGGAAACAGGGAGGGAGGGGCGGGTAGGGGGGAGGGAGTAGAGGAAGGAAAAAAAATGATCCCTGATCTGACACAGGGAAAGAGAATGTAGGAGAGTGACGTTCAGGCCCCGCCCTCCCCTCCGGCCACGTGCAAAGACTTGAAAGGAAAGAGGGCGGCTGGAGGCCTGCTGGGTAATGTAGTTCGCCTTTCTTTTCCAGGATGGCGGGCCCTGGAGAGCAGGGTGGCCCCAGGACGCTCGGGATGTCGCCTTAGCTGCCAAGACAGCCCAGTCTAGCGACGCCAAAACCCGCCGCCCAGCGACCCCACGGCGCTGGCGCAGCCCTGGGTGGGGGCCTCTGCGGTGGGAGAACTGGGGGCTTAGGCGCAGTCCAGGCTTACAGGGAAACGTTGGTTTTAGAGTCCGAAAGGCTTTAAGGATGAGAACGTCCGTGCCGAAAGTGCAAAGTCTGTGCTAATGGCAGATGAAAAGGAGCTTTGTGTATGCACTGGGGGGCCCAAGTGGCGTGATTAATGCTGCACTAAATGCCACCGTCGGTTATTGAGATGCATATGTTATAATTAACATTTGAGCATCTCTGTGTCGGGGGCTGGCTGTTGTAATTAGATACGCACTTTGCAACCAATTAATTTTCCTTCGGCCAAGCTAAGGGCTGGGACGGGGTGGTTGGGAGAATTCAACGTAGTGGATAATTCAGTAATGACTTAACCAGATCACCAATGTTTTGGTTAAAACTGAGCTTGGCACAGAGAGGCCTTCAGGAGAAATACTGAATAAAATACTGTATGCCCCAACAGGGAAGGGGGCTAGAAATTCATTAGAGGAACTGTGTGATGCAGTATAAACTGCTGTAGAAACCCATTTATTCATTAGTTTATATTCACATTTAGTGAGCACTTTCCACAGACCAGGTGTGTCTAGGAATGCCAAAACAGGTAAGACTCACAGTCTCTGCGCTCAAGGAGCTCAGTCCAGTATTAGGGACTACAGTCAATGAAAGTATTATACAAGGGATAAGTCAGCGCTTAACACAAAGTGCTGTGAAATTCCCCCCACCACACAACCTGGAGCAGCCAACTGGATGGAGGGTGGGTGGGGTCTGGGAGAGGGTCAGGAAGACTTCCTGGAGGAAGTGATACTTGAGCAAAGAATTTCTAAGTTTTTTTTTCTTTTTTTTTTTTTTTGGAGACTGAGTCTCTCTTTGTTGCCCTGGCTGGAGTGCAGTGGCGTGATCTTGGCTCACTGCAAGCTCTGCCTCCCTGGTTCATGCCATTCTCCTGCCTCAGCCTCCCAAGTAGCTGGGACTTCAGGCGCCCGCCACCACACCTGGCCAATTTTTTTTTTTTTTTTTTTTTTTTTGTATTTTTAGTAGAGATGGGGTTTCACTGTGTTAGCCAGGATGGTCTCCATCTCCTGACCTCGTGATCCACCACCTGAGCTTCCTAAAGTGCTGTAATTACAGGCTTGAGCCACCGTGCCCGGCAAGAATTTCTAAGATTTTTAACAAAGAGAGAGGAAAGGATAAGCACCTGATTAAGGTTAAAGGGTACAAAGGCTTCAGATGAGAGAAGAGAGCTAATTCGAAAGGTCCCAGGCCTACAATCCCAGCAGTTTTGGAGCCTGAGGAGCTCAAGACCAGCCTGGGCAACATAGCATGATTCCTTCTCTACAAAAAATTTAAAAAATTAGCCATGGAGAGTGGCATGGGCCTTGAAGGATGGGTGGGATTTTGTTTTGTGTGGAGAACTTGTCTCCCGGGCTTGAGACACAGAACAGCATAGACATTCACATCCTATAGAACAACTCATTTGATTCTTGTACCAAAGGCCATGGTGGCTGTCATTCCCTCCCTTCAGGAGGGAGGCAACAGGCCCAGAGAGTTAAGCAACTCATGCCCAGCCATGATTCGGTACAGAGTGGGTACTAGAGGCCAGTTGTCTGGGTGGCAGGCAACCGTCGTCCACTCCAAAGCAACAGGTTTAAGCACACCTGACTCTTCCCGTTGGTTTGTCCCTCTTAGCATTTATGCCTCATTGGCTCAGCAGTGAGTTATTTGTATGCTTTAACATCTGGACAATTTCCTGGGTTTACAAAATATTATATAATAATACTGGAATATACACATTCAGCAAATTCCCATTTACTTACCCTGTTGTCATTGTTGGTTTTTACATATTGTGTGACAGGCATGCCACCTGCAAAGGAAATAAGAATAAAATTGTCTGGGTTTTGGCTTTGCTTTTGCTTAAATCGCACCCTCAGGTGAGGAGAGGCTAGAGGTTGAGCAACATGTGGAACGTGAAGCTTCCACGGAGAGCACACACCTCCGTTTGGGGTATGCACCTAGGGTGAGGGGGCAGTGGGAACCACAGGCTCTGGTGTCAGTGTGACCCCTGGGTTTGAATCCCAGGCATGATACGTCCTGGCTCTGTGACCTTGGGCAGCTTACTTAACATTCATAAGGGATGACCTTGGGCCACTTACTCAACAACTTTTCTTGGCCTTGTGAGAACCAGTGGTGATCGTGGGTTTATGCTGACTGTGTCACATGGAAAGTGCTCAAAGATGGCTGATGCCCTTTCTTGTCCTGAGTCTTTCTGGCCCTCAAAAATGATCCCTGAATTTTTCTTTCTGCAGACTCACACCAGCAGAGCTAGTAGTGCAGGAAGGATTCCTGAGGGTGACACATCTTAATATGTGAAATCAGTTAGGTTTGTCTTCAAGGAACCTGGACCCAATTCTAACCTTCCCCTGCTCCTGGCCTAGCTCTCTTAACCCACATCAGCTAAAGTTCTTCATGCTCCTCTGCTCCCTACCCTGCTGCCCCACCTAATGCTGCCTCCTCTGGGCAGTGCCTGGGGCTTTGCATTGCTGCTGCCTGCCCACCCAAACTTCCCTCCTGTTTTCCACATCCTCAGTGCCTGGCTCTGGGCTCTACCTCCAGTCTAATAAACTGTCATTAACATATAAGATATTCTTCTGATTCTCTCCTCTAACTCTGACACTTTTGTCTTCTTATTGAGCGCTCTCTTCAGTGGCCTCTGATGATGGGCATTTCAGGCTGGAATGGGGATCTTTGAGGGGAAGGCCTTGTAGATGCCTCAGACCAGAGTTCCCCCAGGTGGGAGGCCTGGGGCTTATGTGGCCCGTTGTCTGTTGTTCCTTCTCTGCTCTGGGATTGATTTCATGCCCAACCTGCAGGCTTGGGTCGGAAGAGCTAATGGGTGCAGAGTGAAGGAACTGGAGATTCCTGAAGCAAATGATGCTAGCATTGGTTTAATTGTGACCGATTTTGAGTGGCCAGGAGTTTCCCTGTCTGCCTAGAAATGAAAAGTCAGAATGTTTCTGTTTGTTTTAAGGAGTTGCTTCTCCTCATTCACACTTGCCTAAGATAATAGCAAAAAGTACTAGTTCTCCTTTCTTGCCATGACTTCTCTCCACTCACCCCCGTAGCCATAGCTGTTCCAGGGAAAAGTTACTGGTCAGTCCACACATTGACTGAAGGCCTGGTGGGAGCCTAGGTAGGTGCTGGGGGAGAGAAGCTACCTACCTTCAGGAGCTGAGACCAGGCTGATGCCCAGCAGATAACAGGAAAATGAATGAAGCGCTCCACTGTGTGAGAGTGATGTCAAATGAACTAAGAGTTCCCAGTCGGCTACAAGGATCAGAGAAGGCTTCTGGGAGGAAGGTGGGGCTACATCCACTTGTTACTTCCCACTGGGAGAAGGTCAGCAGTGGCCAAAATTCCTGTTATGCGGTGTTGGCCCAGGAGGCATTGCAGAACTAGTGACTTACTGTGGGAGCTAGAGAGTGGCTTCATCATGCAGTTTGGAGGCCACTGACAGTGCAGAAGGAAGGAAGTTGGTAGTCTAGTGTCTACGCTCTGTTACCGTGGTGTTGGCCTGGAGAGATAACAGCTTGATAGAACCAGGTGAAATTTCACCCATGCCTCATCTCACCTTCCACTACACAACCCCAAAGACCAACACCTGAAAGGCACATGCAAAGTGATCCCCTAAGATTGAAGTCGGTGGTAGAGAAGGGATGTGAATAGAGAACAATGAGCTTGAGAAAAGCAAAAGCAGAATATGAAATAAAGCAATTGAATATTTGTTGGGACAATGCTGTGCCTAAGACATGGCAAGGTACTCTGGGGAACACAGTGTGTGAAACGGGATCCCGGGTCCCACCTGCCCCTCTCCTGCTGTGTGACGTTTCCTGTCTCTGGGCCTCAGTTTCCACACCTGTAAAATGAGAAGGTTGGCCTCAATGATCTCTAAGATCTTCACCACACCTGAAATTCTCCCTTCAAGAATGTTATAATCTCACTGGCAAAAGAAGCAAGAAAATTAAGTAGCCAAAAGGATGAATTTTAAGCTGTTTAATTCCAGCAGAGCAGGAAAGGTTTGTAATATTTGTTAAACAAAGCCCTGAAGTCCATGAGGGAATATAAAATAAGCAGATTTCCTTTTGCAAGATTTAAGGACATGGACTGATTCAATGTCAGCCTGTGAGTCATCAGACATTCCTCAAGTCTCCCAGAGTTCAAGGTCAGACCTCCTAAGTCGGTGGCGTGAGCACCACAGCCTTGTTCATGGTGAAGGCCTGGACAAAGATACACCCCACATCTCTGCAAGAGACAAGTTTCCTTGTTTGCCAGTCTACACTCTAAAAAAAATGGGAGGGGAAGGCAGTGCTGATCACACCACAGGTATACACCCGATCTATGGGATCTTGGGCTAGGCTGGACTTGAGTGGATGTGGCTCCATCAGAGGAACTGAGCCAATCAGAATTCCTCTTGTAAGAATCTGAAGTAAGAGGCTGAGAAACCTCTCTCTGCTCATTGGTGATGGCTGCTCAGGTCAAGGCTTGTGTTTTAGGTGGGTCGAGTGCAAGATAAGTAAGCAGAAGAAGTGAGTGGAGGGGGGAAAGAGGAGGGAGAGGGAAAGAGACATGTTTAGAGTAGCCTCAGTTCCTTACCTTTTCAGTTCTCCCTCACTATGCCTCTCTTGGACTCCATATACCTCTGCGATATCATTTGGATCTGTGTTCCCTCTGAATCTCATGTGGAATTGTAATCCTCAATGTTGGAGGTGGGGCCTGGTGGGACGTGGTTGGATCATGGAGGTGGATTTCTCATGAATGGTTTAGCACCATTCCGTTGGTGCTATCTTCACAATAGTGAGTGAGTTCATGTGAGATCTGGTCATTCAAAAGTATGTGGCACCTCCCCACCTCTGTCTCTCTCTCTCTCTCTCTCTCTCTCGCTTCTCCTTTCACCATGTTACTTGAAAGCTCTCATTTCACCTTGCACCATGAGTAAAACTTCCTGAGGCCTCCCCAGAAGCAGATGTCAGTGTTATGCTTCCTGTACATCCTGCAGAATCATAAGCCAATTAAACCTCTTTTCTTATAAATCACTTAGCCTTAGATATTTCTTTATAGCAATGCAAGAACAGCCTAATACACTCCATATTCTTGTAGTAATCCCCTTTAATTTGCGCTAGGTTGAGTGACTTCCGATCTTTGTAGTTTGAAGAGCCACATCTAGAACAGCCTGAAAGACAGGAAGTGCAGAGAGAGGAGTTAGGCCAATATGATCCCTCTAGCTGGGACTGTCCCCCTGCTGAAGATGCCCTTCCGTTTTCTATCCCAGGTGTCTCCCTCTTCAGTCAGTTTATAAATCCTGTCTGCTCAAGTCTTGTTCTGAAATATCTGCAAAATAATTGCCCTTGAGCCTTCCAGGATCTCTAAGTCCCCTTTCAAAGAACAATAGCTACTATATTAATTGAGCTATTACTATTTACAGAGCAACAAGCGAAACTTTTTTTGTGTGCTTTGTCTCACTTAGTTGGCAAAGCAACTTTTACAGGGGAACAAACTGAGACCGGAAGGGGTGAAGTAGCTTACCAAGGGGCACGCAGCCAGTGGGTAGGTGGTGGTCTACCCAGAGCTGTGGGCCTCAGAGCCAGTGAGTTAACTACGCCCCTCATCTCAAGACATTAGGATCTACCTTCTCTGAGTCCCTGGTGAGCACCTGTACTCCAGCTGCAGGAAATTTTGGAAACATCATTCTTCCTCAATGGTGCATTTATAATAAAGTGTTCTTTCTTTTAAATTGAGACTTCAGAGATGTGTATGTGTTCATTTATGTTAATGATTCAAAAGATCCTTTGCGCTTAGGGAAGTTTACTCTTTTTGCCTATTTTTGACATAAAAATAAATTTCAGTAAATATCACAATATTTTCTTCAGACATGCTGGTGGCTCATTTTGAGACATACATAGTAGGGGGTCCACATACTACATTCTGGATTTTGAGTGTTTGTCACATTCTCTAATTTGTTAATAAGAAAATGATTGCAGGAAATAATGAAGATGCAGTCACTAAATCTGAATGAGGTTCCATGCCTTTCTTGCCCTATTTATTACCCTGTATATTTTATGTTTCAAATTTTCTACACGTGATTTATCATGTGGAATTATAATAGCTGAGATGGCATTGCTTATGCATGTTTGCATGTTGCTTTTCTCATGTAATAAAATTAAACACATATTTTCTGTGTTATTAAAAACTCTTTATAGATAACATTAAAAAATTATTTAAATGATCCTTTATACCCTAGTATTTATTATATATAACGCATTTGTTCAAAGTTGAATATGAATGACCAGCACACACAAAAGTGGGCATTAATTTAGGCTTACAGAACCTCACAGTTTAGTTCAGATGACATACACATTTTAAACAGAAATGGCAGTAAAATATTAAAATCCAAGGTGTGCCATATGTGTAATATAGACAGAGTGATTGTTCAGGGAAAAGGCAACCCTTGTAAGCTAGAGCAGCAGAGAGACATTCAAGGGAGAAGTGGAACCGAGCCAGGCATGAGTGTGATAGGATGGGACCAGGGCTGGAAAGGGGGCTTTCCCAGTGATAGGCAGGCAGGAGCTTAGAAGTGGGAACTCACATCGGGGAGGGGCTGAGCAATGGGGAGGAGGAGGCACGAAGTCCAGAAAGTTAGTTGTGTGTCATTGGTTCAAGACTGGACTCAGGAGGCAGACACCAGGATTTGCATCCTGCCTTCCCCTTTTATCACCACTTGACCTTGGGCAACTCTAAGCTTCCATTTCCTCTACAAAAGAGAGAAATAATAGAACATATCTCAGTAAGTCATTATAAGGCTTAAAGGAGATGATGTATACAAGGCATTTCACACATAGTAAGGACTTATAGTAACACCAGGTTTTATTTTTTGGTTATTATTGTTATTATTTTTGCTGTTACCCAAGTGATAGGCTGTGTGGGACCAGGAACAAAAGTTTTGACCAATTAGGACTTTATTCTATGACTCAAGAGGGTGAGATTAGATTTTGTTTTTCAGTTATAATGCGGGTAGACAGTAGAGTATGGCCCAGACTGTGGGAGCCACTCCCAGCCTGACCCAGACTGTGAGATCCAACACTGGCTTGTGCCCTAATCCCAGTAATCCTCATCCTCATCTTCAGCAGGGCCTCTGAGGGTTCAGTAGAACTTGCAGAATCAGGATCTGTTCTCATGGTTCTTCATGAGCTGTCATTCTGTCCCTTTCTCACATGCAGATCCACTACCCTCACCCCACCTCTTTTTCCGTTTTGGCAAAATTATCAGATTTGTTTATACTCCACTCTTTCCAGAAATGACTCAAGACAGCTTTTTAAATTCTAAAATGTACCTACTAATATATAAAAATAGAAATTTACACAAAAGACACTTTGTAAGATGGTTATCCCTTTTACAAAAGAAGTAGCCATCATTTCTTTAAGTAGCAGCACGTCTGGTACATGCAATGTCAGACCTGATAGACCAAATTTTGCCTCATCAGCAGCTTTCTGGAATGTGTCTTCAGTATCAGTGTGGTTCACAGCATTACTCCCCATTATCACCTTCACAGGAGTCAGCTGATTTTCAGCAAGTCTGGGACTTGAACAAAGGCAAAGGGTGTGTGAAGCCTTTGAATTTATTTTGTGCAGAGCTAGGTGATTGAATGGGATCTGCTCTAGAAAGCACCAAGCTGCCACTTGGTCAGGGAACCCTGCTTGGGAGAGGTGGCAGAGGAGGTTTTCAGAAAAACAAGGGAGGATGCCTATTAGCTTATGTGGACTGGGAGACCACCCAGGGGAAGGGAGCAGTGTAGGGGAAATGCCGGGCTGCTGTGCTCCCTGTGGGGCAGTGGCAGAGGTGGCAAGCCAGCTTGGGACCTCAGATTGCGCCACAGAAGAGAGGAGAGCTGCCTGGTGACAGTTCACCTGTCCTACCCCTAGAAGAAAATTTTGGCTTGACACAGAGATAAGATGTGAAACATTCTCTCTTTGCTATATCCATATATTTCAGGACTTAGCAATCATGCCCTATGCTATAGTGAATATGTCCCAATGCATTATTTAACACATTTCTTTTTAACAAAAAGCATGTGTTGGGAACTTAATCCCTAATGCAACAGCGTTGGGGGGCAGGGCCTACTAGGAGGTGTTTAGGTCATGATGGCTCCACCCCATAATGGATTAATGCTGATTATGAAAGGGCTTCAGTCTGTGAGTTTGATCTCTTGCTCATGTGTGCTGTCTTGTCCTTCCACCTTCCACTATGGGATGACACAGCAAGAAGGTCCTTGCAAGATGTGGGCCCCTATACCTTAGACTTTCAGCCTCCAGAAAGGTAAGAAATACATATCTTCTCTTTATAAATTACCCAGTCTCAGGTATTCTGTTATAGAAGCACAAAATGGACTAAGACAACCTTTCAGTGGGCATGTTGCTGTGGCAACCTTAAAGTCACTGGAGGGCATCTATAATTGGCAGAAAATGGTATGAATTTAGTTACAGGTTTGTTTTTTTTTTTTCTGGGAGGAGTTTTTTAGTCTTAGGCTACTTAAAGTACTCACATGTGATCTTTTTGCCTGAGCAGACTAATAATCACCTCGCAATTTAATTACTAAGCCAGTACCAGTGAACTCTTCTCCTATCAATTGAGTTGTAATTTTTGAATACCAGCTTCTTGGACAGGGCCCATCTCTGGAAGCTGTGGTTACCCAGACACAAATCACAACCAGTGTTATGCTTTGTGAAACCAGTCGACTGTGGAGTCAGCTGGAGGGATCATTGACAAATGCAAGCATGTTCTGAGTGGCTCATCTGTCAGCTATGACAGGCATTCAGTTCTGCTAAAGAGCATTCTGGGTTGGCCACACTGTCACTTCTCCATTCCCTACAATCTTCTACCACTGGATGTGTTCCCATTTCCTAGGTATAGAAAACTCCTAATCATGGTGGTTATTTTATAATTTTAAAATAGTAAAAATCTTTTTATTAAAAAAAATGGTAAAATACACATGACATAAAATGTACCATCTTAAACATTTAATTGTATGCTTACTGCACACTTAAAATTGGCATTAGTAAATTCACACTGTTATGCTTCCATCACTAGCATTAATCAACAAAACTCTTCATCTTGCAAAACTAAAACTATGTGCTCACCAAAACACAATTCTCCATTCTCTTCTGTCGCCAGCTCCTAGAAACCACTAGTCTACATTTTGTTAATATGAATTTGGCTAATCTAAGTGCCTCATGTAAGTGGAATCATACAGTATTTGTCCTTTTGTGACTGGCTTACATCACTTAGCATAATGCCCTCAAGGTTATTCCCTGTTGTAGCACGTGTCAGAATTTCATTTCTTTTTAAGGCTGAATAATATTCCATTGCATGTATATACCACGTTTTGATTACCCACTTGTGCATGGATGGACACTTGGGTCACTTCCACTTTTTGACTGTTGTGAATCATGCTGTTACAAACGTGGGTCTACAAATACCCCTTTGAGTCCTCGCTTTCATTTCTTTTGAATATATACCCAGAAGGGAAATTGCTGGATTATATGGTAATTCTACTTTTAGTTTTTTGAGGAACTACCATACTGTTTTCCATAGTGGCTACACCATCTTACATTCCCACAACAGTGCACGAGTGTTCCAATTGCTCTGCTTCCTTGCCAATACTTGTTATTTTCCATTTATTTGTTTGCTTGTTTTGGATAGTGGCCATTCTAATGGGTGTGATGCAGTCATAGTTATTTTTTTAAGGGGAGGGCTTGTCTAACCTGAACGTTTAATGATAATACGACTTCGAAAAGCAATTATAATAGCTGACATTAATTGAACACATAACATAGACACTCTATGTTGCCACATTTGATCCTCAAGTCAACCCCATGAGTAATGTGCCATCATCATTCTCATTTTACAGATGAATAAACTGAGACCCAGAGAGTTTATATAATTTGTGATTTGTCCAAGGTCACACAACCAGGTAATCATTCTGTACCATTGAATGTAGACACTGAGGAAGCTATAGGATTCCTCAGCACAGAACAAGACCTGCTTATTGGTGGATAAGACAACCTCTAGTAAGGCAGCTCTTTTCATGTATTTCTAAAATTTGGTGCCTTTCCTGGTGATGACAACAAACAACATTGAAGACAATGATGATGATGATGTTAAAAAAAGAAAAGAGGAATTGAATATAAGCAAACATTCAGCTCTAATCTCCATATGTAAAAAAAACCCTGAAATCCCCATTATTTGAACATTACATATTCATAGAGAACTAAATTAGAGGGTGATTATTCATATAATGGAATTATTTGCCTTATAGAAGGATTCACTGCATTATCCTCTGCTGTGACAAGCTTTCCCAGTTCATTTAAAATAGGAATTAATTTATAACAATGTGATGTATATATAGTTTTCCCCCAGAACACATCTACTGCTCAGCATGAAGCCAAATCAAGTCGCTAAAATGATTTTGATTACTGGATAATGATAATGGGGAATATTTGCTCACTTCAGCATTTGAGGATTCCAACTAGGACAGGATTTGTAGACCCAACTGTCAAACCACTATCCTTAATCTTGGTGGAATTATGAAGACCAGAAAAATGCCAAAAGACAGCGGGAACAGATCATTAAACAAAAAGTTTGCAAGCACTTACGAAGAAGTAATCATGTGGAGACTCCTTAACAGGACCTAAATAAAAAGACAAGCCAATCTTTTCTTATCATCATAATGTTAATAGAAAATTAGAACACAGTCATATCTTTGTTATATATCTGACAATCTTGTCTGACCTCATGAAAAAAAGTAATGCTGATGGGTAAGAACGCATGACTAGATCAGCAGTTACTTCTGACTTTTTAGTGTGTTGGTGTAAGATTTCTGTCCAGCTAATCAGCACTCAGTAACACATTCCCACCCTATCAATTAGGAATTGCATTCAGCTGCTAATAACAGAGATACAAATTACAGCGGCTTAAGGAAGATTTCTCTCCACATTAAGAAAAATGGTACGGCCACTTTGGAAGACAGTTTGGCAGCTTCTTACAGAACTAAACACACTCTTATCATACAATCTAGCAGTAGCTCTCCTTGGTACTCACCCAAATGAGTTGAAAACTTATGTCCACACAAAAACCTACACATAAATGTTTATAGCAGCTTTATTCATAATTGCCAAAGCTTGGAAACAACCAAGATGTCTTTCAATAGGTGAGTGGATAAACAAACTGTGGGACATTCAGACAACGGAAAATTATTTAGCGATGAAAAGAAATGAGTTATCAAGCTACAAAAAGACATGGAAGAATCTGAAATGCATGTTGCTAAGCAAAAGAAGCTAGTCTGAAAAGGCTACATACTGTACGATTCCAACTATATGACACTATGGAAAAGGCAGGGACAGTAAAAAGATCAGTGGTTGCCAGGGATTAGCAGGGAGAGAGGGATGAATAGGCAGAGGATTGTTAGGCAGTGACACTACTCTGTACAATACTATAATCGTGGATAAAAGTCATCATGCCTTCATCAAAACCCATAGAATCTACGCAAGAGTGAACCCTAAGGGAAACTGTGGATTTTAGTTCACAATAACATAACAATATTTGCTCATCAACTGTAATAAATGCACCACACTCATTCATGATGTCAATACTAGGGGAAACGGTGGGGGTGGTGTCGGGGATTTGGGAAGTCTGTACTCTCTGCTCAATTTTTCTATAAACCTGAAACTGCTCATAAGTTTTAAAAAATCTATTAATTAAAAAATACAAAAAGCAAGACTGAGGAAGAAAAATGACCAGAGTTAGGCAGTCTCATGTTGGTGTGATGGCTGCGTGGCCATCAGGGTCCCAGCTCCTCCCATCTTCCCATTTCACCTTCCCCAGTGTGTGGTTTCCGCTGTCAAAGTTTACTCATGGTCACAAAGTGGTGAGTTTGTGAAAGTGGGGACTTGGGCTTGGGCCATCTGAATATCCTGTAACAGCAGAAGGAGAGGGAGAAGGGCAAAGGGCCACCTAGTTTTCTACCAAGTCAGTCCCCTTAAAGAGATTTCTCAATTGAATACAGACTGCATATTAGATGATATTAAGGAATTATTGTTAATTTTGTTAGGTATGATATTAGTATTGTGGTTACATTAAAAAAGAAAGTATCCCTTAGAGAGACACACTGAAATATTTATGGGTGGAGATAATATAATGTCTGGTCTGTGCTTTAAAATAATCTAGAAAAAAAAAAGACAAGTGGAAGGACCGATGAAACAAGAATGGCAAATGTTGATTCCTGCCACACCAAGTTGACAGTTGATAGCTATAAAACTATGTGAAGAGTACATAGAGGTTCTTGCACTATTTTCTGTACTTGTGTGTATGTTTGGGCTTTTTTTATTATAAAAAGTAAAAAAAAAAAAAAGATTAGGTGTAACGGTTCACGCCTGCAATCCTAGTGCTTTGGGAGGCTGAGGTGGGAGGATTGCTTGAGGCTAGGAGTTTGAGACCCGCCCGGGCAACATAGTGAGACCTCATCTCTACAAAAATAAAAATAAACAATTAGCCAGGCATAGTTATACATGCCTGTGGTCCTAGCTTCTCTGGAGGCTGAGGCGGGAGGATCACTTGAGCCTGGGAGGTTGAGACTGCAGTGAGCCGTGATCACTTCACTGCATTTCAGCCTGGGCAACAGAGTGAGATCCTGTCTCAAAACCAAAAAAGTTTAAAAAAAAATCTACACACACTTCACTGTCCATCCCTGTTTGCTGGGGAGAGGCTGGGAAATGGATTTTTACCTGGGCATTTGTCATATTCAAGAATGTGGAGTCCTGTTGGTGAGGAAGAAGGAGCATGGATATTTAGCAGGCAGCCAGCATGCCTGCCACACTCACTAAAGATAAGCCATCAAAAACTGCTGTTCTGACATAGCCTTCATATCAGATGGACCCTGCTCACCAAACCATATTTTCCTCATTATTGCCAGGACAGCCTATGGCTTGCCAGAATACTTAATCCTGCCCTCATTCCTACTACCTGGAATGTTCTCCCTGAGCCAGGATTCATTTCTTCCCTCTCTCCCACTCCTTCACTGGGCTTTACACCCCCTGTTTTTTTAGGACTCCCCTCACAAGCTGCATCCTCCAAAAACTGCCTGCCTCCTCCCCAGCCCCACATGGTGTTAAACTCCCTCCTGGGCTCCCACATCTCCTGTGTTTGCCCCTGCAACAGTACTTATACCTCAAAGTGTGACATCCTTTTACTTATTTCCTTCCACCACCAAACTAAAAATCCCTGAGGACAAGTGCTAGGTCATCTGTGCCTCAGAACCCCCCATACCTGTCAGAGTACCTGAGACACAGCACAAAGTGAAACTCATGAACTGGATTACAGCACTTATCCTTGGAAGAACAACATCAACATCAATAGTCACTAGCCTTTCTTCACATTTAATATGTGCCAAGTTTCACACATGCATTATTTTATTGGATCCTCAGGAAACCCCTGTGTGATGTGTATTATCATTTCCATTTCATAAAAGAGAAAACCAAGGCTCGGAGAGATCATTAATGTGTGGGTTTTGTAAGAGGTGTGTCGTGGATTCCAACCTCCTTCCTGCACCAACCGCAAGTACCCATCACTCCCCTTGGCAGCAGCAGGCCCCATAAGGCAGCGCAATAGACCCAGGAAGTGTATGACCTTGGTGAGGGAGAATTTCCTTAGATGGTCATGGGGGCAGATCCTGGCATGCAGATGTGGCCCCACCCCCTGAGTAAGAGCATAAAAGGGCAATTCCTGCCACACCAAGCAGGTCCTTCCACTTGGTGAATTCATCCCTCCGTGTGGTGTGTGGTGAGGTCTGTGGCGACCAGGATCAGTGACCACTGCACTCCAGGGACAGGCCTGTGAGGAGGCAAGGAGGCAGGAGGCTCACATGGGGCACAGACTCTCTTCCACACCTTTGCCCAGCTTGCCTCCTGGTTGGAGGTGGTGATCCCAGATGAGGGGCTCTCTGAGCCGTGGGTTTTGCCATTCAATCCTGCAAGTTTGCCCTGGTGCAGGGCTCACATGGATGGCAGTGCTTCAGTGCAGGGCTCAGATGTAAGGCAGATTCTATCGTCAGGTCCTCGTCATCCTCTGGCACATGCTTCCTAAAGGAAATGGATGGCAGACACCAAGGAGGTACTCTCTTCCGCTTCTCTCACTCTGAGGCGCCTCTGTTGACCAACACTGGTGATGGGGGAAAGGAAGAGGTAGCTGCAGGATCTCATGGTCTTACTACGTCCTGTCTTCAGTTTAATGTTCCAGCAATATGAAACAATCAGTTCTCCTACTGCCTTACACACACTTAATGGGATGGTTCTTGCCCCTGGTTGTCATAAACCCTGGTTCACCTAGTTTCCTTTGGCTAAAATGCGATCCCCACCCCATCTCTAGCCCTCTGTTCATCTCACACTCAGTTGTCACTTCCTTCAGGAAGTCTTCTTGGGTTTCTTGCTCTGTACTCCCCAAAATACCCTGTCTGTATCTCTACATTGCAGTGGTAAGAATACTATGTAGGGGTTTTTTAAGGGTCTTCCCCCCAATAGATTATGAATCTTAACACCACACATTTGCTTTTTCTCCCTTCATATGCACAGTGCCATGCCAGCCAAAAGATATGTAGGTATTCAATAAATATCAATAATTATGCCTCACTTTTTAATTTTTATTTTTTATTATTTATTATACTTTAAGTTCTGGGATACATGTGCAGAACGTGCAGGTTTGTTACACAGGTATACATGTGCCATGGTGGTTGGCTGCACTTATCAACCCGTCATCTAGATTTTAAGCCCCACATGCATTCGGTATTTGTCCTAATGCTCTCCCTCCCCTTGCCCCCCAACCCCCAACAGGACCCGATGTGTGATGTTCCCCTCCCTGTGTCCATGTGTTCTCATTGTTCAATTCCCACTTATGAGTGAGAACATGCAGTGTTTGGTTTTCTGTTCCTGTGTTAGTTTGCTGAGAATGATGGTTTCCAGCTTCAACCATGTCCTGCAAAGGACGTGAACTCATCCTTTTTATGGCTGCGTAGTATTCCATGGTGTATATGTGCCACATTTTCTTTATCCACTCTATCATTGATGGGCATTTGCGTTGGTTCCAAGTCTTTGCTATTGTGAATAGTGCTGCAATAAACATACATGTGCATGTGTCTTTATAGTAGAATGATTTATAATCATTTGGGTATATACCCAGTAATGGGGTTGCTGGGTCAAATGGTATTTCTGGTTCTAGATCCTTAAGGAATCGCCACACTGTCTTCCACAATGGTTGAACTAATTTACACTCCCACCAACAGTGTAAAAGCATTCCTATTTCTCCACATCCTCTCCAGTATCTGTTGTTTCCTGACTTTTTATGATGGCCATTCTAACTGGCATGAGATGGTATCTCATTGTGGTTTTGATTTGCATTTCTCTAATGACTGTGCCTCACTTTTATCTAGCAATTACCATGTACCAGGGAGCATG